>NC_000001.11:60462925-60765956 GCF_000001405.40 Homo sapiens | reverse complement strand
TTGTGAAAGAAGGGCCCTGGGGATCTGAAGGCAGAGATGTTTCTCTCTGAAATGTATCAAAACTAATAAAAGAAAATCTGGAAAGAGAGGGGTATATATATGATATACACTGCTCTGAACCCCACAGCTCTAGCTACAGACTGAATAATTTCTTGACATTTGTACAAAAAGCAAGCTGTACTGAGCTCATCCACAAGTGGTGTGCAATTCAGATTTGTTTCATCTGGTAATCTCCGAGATAAACTGTTGTGTTGAGTAAATAAGGGTTATGTCTTTGCCTGTGACACCAATGTCAAAATTTCACTTCTTATATCTTGTTTATTTATACGTTTTTAGGTAAAAAAAAATTTATTATAGTGATAAAAAGAAGACATTGTACAATAAAGGATGTCATTTTTCAAGAGTCATTATGACAAATTATTAACACTACAGTCACAGTGTGAGGTAAGTTTGCAACTCCTCTAAGGTTGCATAGCTAGTAAGTGGCAGAGCCTGGATTTGAACGATGTTTAGTCTGAGCTGTTAACCATGTCGCATAACATCGCCTCTACTGCCCAGTAGGGGGCATTCATTAGCTTGCCATTCACTTGCCAAGTACCCTTGTGACCTTAGGCAAATTATTAAATTGTCTTAATTTTATGTTTTGAAAGCTTTAAGTGTGTAGATTGGACTTGAGTAGCTTAGGTCAGGGGTCGGAAAACTTTTTCTATAAAAAACCCGGTAGTAAATATTTTAGGCTTTGCAGACTATGTGATCTCTGTAACAACTAAAGTGGTCATAGAAAATAGTAAACAAATGAGCACGTCTGTGTTCAATAAAACTTTGCTGACCAGGTGCAGTGGCTCATACCTGTAATCCCAGCACTTTAGGAAGCTGAGGCGGGCGGATCACAGGGTCAGGAGTTCGAGACCAGCCTAGCCGATATGGTGAAACCCTGTCTCTATTAAAATACAAAAATTAACTGGGTATGGTAGTGGGCGCCTGTAGTCCCAGCTACTCGGGAGGCTGAGGTAGGAGAATCACTTGAACCCGGGAGGCGGAGGTTGCAGCAGTGAGCTGAGATTGTGCCACTGCACTCCAGCCTGGGTGACAGAGCAAGACTCCATCTCAAAAACAAAACAAAACAAAACAAAACAAAAAACAAAAAAACTTTGCTTATACGAACAGATGGTGGGCGCATTTAGCTTGCTGGCTGTATTTGCCAACTCTTGGTTTACTTCTCTGTACGTAAGCCTCTCTCTTCTTTGATAAGCAGGGAACAATGGAAGGAAATTAACATTGAGCATGTACTATGAACTAAGCATTGTACTCAAGACTTTTATAGTTATTGCATTTAATCCTCACAATTTAATCTCTATGCTATAGCAAAGAAAGTGGAGTTTCAGGAAGCTGAAATAGATTGTCCACAATCACACAGCTGGTGGGAAGCACAACCTTCTGACTCCAAGTCTCTTTCTTCTCATCATAGCAGCTTCTCTTCTTTGCCGTCCGTATATATGCCTTTCCCAGCATCTCTGGCCATCCTTGCTTCTGACTTTATATTAAGAATGTTGAGAAAGAAATAACAATAACAGCAGTGAAACTTTATGGGTGGATATTATTCAGTCCTCACGAGAATATATATATATGGTTATATCTCCACGAGAATCTCATAAAGCATATTTTCCCCATTTCATAGAGAGGGAACATCAAAGTCACAAAATGGAAACTGGCAACTCTAGGAAAAGAACTCCCGTTTCCTAACTCCTGATTCCCTAACTAGGTCTTTATTTCTAGTCAACATTGTTTAATTAACACAGGAGAATATTTTCCTTTCTCTGAACCTCTCTAAGTACAGCTGCCAAGTCAATTCCAACCAACAGAAGTAGCTGAGACTGGATTAATGATTTTGGGGGGAATATCAGCTTCAATGCAACAAAATTCTGTTAAAGCAATATGGATTGGTGTCCAGGAAATATCAGAAACTCTTGTGCTTTGTCAACAACTTGGCTATTAGGCTGACAGCCACCTGGATTTCTCTTTAAGGAGTTCCCCACATGAAAAATGGCTCCTCAGAACATCTGACTCTTAGATTGACCAAAGTTCTGGTCAGGAAGAAACCTCTGTCTTTGCTGACAGTTTCCAAAATATAAATACAGAGGCTTGAGGATAGGAAATCTTTTCATTTTTTAAAGCTGTGTATTGAAAGAGAAAACCTGGGACTCTTCCCTGGTGACGCTACTGGAAACTTTTCAGTGCTTTTTTTTTTTTTTTTTTTTGCAGCCCCGTTGGAGCCAGTTTTCAGCTTGGATTTCAGGAGAGCTTCTAAGGAAGAATAAGCATGCCTATCTCCCAGTCTTCCCATTTGTGTCCTGGGCCTCTTATGGCTTTGGTCTGTAAGCAGCAGAGACTGGCTCAGGCTGATAAAGGAGAGAAGAAATTTATTAGATGGTATCGGGCAGCTCACAGAACGGTTGGAAAGCTGCAGAGCAGGTGTGAGGTGAGGGCTGGAGAGGAATGATCTGATGAGCAAAGTGCTCCCTGATCCCCCAGCATTGCTTGACTGTGTCAGGGTCTGACATTGCAACCTCAGACATTGAGGTGGGGAGAAAGGGAGGATAGGAGAGGAGAAGGGAGGAGACGGAAGGGGAGGGTAAGAGAGGGGAAGGGAGAAGAGAGCAGAGAGGCAACGCAAGGAGAGACATGTTTCCTTGTGTCCCTAAGATCTTGATTCAGTCCTGTGCCTTAGATGCAAATGAAACCAGGAAAGCAAGTATCTAGCATTGCTGCCTCTTTAAGGAGAAGCAATTTTATCCTACAACAAGACTCATACTGGGCAGCAACAAAAATGACTAATGTCCATGACAGTTTTCTGCCTCAAAGCCTCAGCCTTCACCAACCCTTGGTCTCCAAGGAACCCTCTAGCAACATCCTCTGTAGATACTGAGTGCTGAACCCTTCCTTCTTGTCTTCTAAACCTCAGAACCTTCTCTCTTACAAGGGCTTAATGCATCATCCACAGAATCCTGGCATCTCTGTTGCAGAAGCACCTGAATGTTCATCTAAGGCAATGTTTTGAGTAATGCTCCGGGGAGCCACAGGGCTTCCTCAGACACCCCACCAGAGTGAAGGCCCTTTCCTCCCTCTTCCCACCACACACAGCCTGCTGTGATTTGGAGCAGGTAAGTTTTGAACTGTTTTGCATATTGGGCTTTAGTTTTTTTGAAGACAGATTCAAAGTCTAAAAAAGTCTTATAGGTGTAGCCCAAGCCCCTCTGTCATGTCTTGATCATCTTTGTAACCCCGCATCTACCACAGGACCTGATGCAACAGAGGTGCTTCAAAAGTATTTATGAATGGAAACAAATAAATATTTTATTCGTTCATCCATTCATCTACTCACTAGAGAATCACTTGTTCAACTCCTATTAGGTCGCAAGGACCATTTACCCATCACTTTCACTGACTGCCAGTCTTGGGTTAGTCAGTGTATATGACTAGAAATGTCCCATTCCTCTCCCACTGCACTGTCTCTGTGCAACCCATGCTGAATCTCAGGCTGTGTCAGCCTGAGGGTTAAAAGTTAGGTCTTATTAATAGTAACAGGCATTATTATTATTCTTGGCTTTACTCCCAACCTGCTATTGCACAGTTTCTCTAGTTTGGTGACCTCATTTCTCTTTGAGGCATGCTCTACTGTAAACTTTGTCTCTTACTAACACACAAGATAGAAGTGGTGGGAAGAGCCTTTTCCTGCAAAGATTATGGAGTTTTAATAGAATATATATCTGAAAGTGCTTTGAGCAAAGGAAACTGCTCTTCAAGGGTCAGAAGTTGTTATTAAGTAGGGCTGCCTGGCAGAGAGCTGGATACTTGTAAAAAATTTAGGATGCTAAGGAGAAGATACTCACCAGAATAATTTATGCTGTTAATAAAAAAGCACTTTGCATTCAAGTCTCAGTCAAACCTTAGTCTTCCCCATGGGGAAACCATTAGCTTGTTGTTAGTAACTTTATTTGGTACTACTATCATTGTGCCAGCTATGGGAGCTAGACTATGGCCCTTTGCTTCATTCAGCTAACATTTAATGAGTACCTTTTAATGTTTCACTTGCCCATCCATCCATCCATCCATCCATCCATCCATCCATCCATCTATCCATCCATTCACTAACTCATTCAACAAATACTTACTCATTCAACAAATACTTACTCATTCAACAAATACTTACTAAGTCCCCATATGTGCTAAGGATTAGAAATACATGAAAAGTCAAGAATCCTTGCTCTTTTGGAGTTTCCATTATAGTGGTGGCAACACACAAATGGGAAGAGAGATACAGATATAGAAATATATGGAGTGTCAGACAGTGGTAAATGCAAAGAAGAAAAGTAAAAGTAAGGATGAGAGATAGGGAGTGTTTGAAGGTGGGACTATAATTTTAGCTAATATGGCCTATTAGCTAAAAGGTCATGTTAAAAAAAAAAACTCCACAAAGATGGTAGCAACTCTGTGAGCTAAGTGTTAGTTCTATTTGATAGGTGAAGTACTTTGACTCAGAGAGGCCAAGGAACTTGGTCGAGGTCACACAGAGAGTTTGTGGCTGAGTAGGTATTTGGACCCAGATATGTGTGATCTTGAAACCAGGCTCTTTCTACAGTGCTACCCTGGTCACATTTTTTTTTAATCTGCATAACTTTAGGTGGGGCAAAGTCAAGACACACAGAGTTTTTCCTTTCTGGCTTTAACATGCCTTGAACCAGTGGTCTTTTCTGAGGGCTACAGAACATTCTTAGCTACTTTCAGCAGTATCAGAGATGGCTGACATATTACCCTGTCTCCTGCTCACTTTGGAGTGATTATTTCTGGCTAGAGATTTGGTCTGAAAGTTAAGCCCTTAACACGCATACATCATACTGAAAAGTGGAATGGAAGAAACTCCCTGATGCTGCAGGATGCTGTTCAAATTTTGCCAGTGAGGGAAGAGTCACTGTTATTTATGGTAAAAAAAATTATCTAGAATTTAAAAATCTTCATAAGGATTCTAGAAAAACAAAATTGAAGAAATCTGAATACATGAGATGCTAAGGAATTCCAGGAGGGGGGCCCATACAATCAGGCTATAGGTGGGGAGTGAGAATGCAGGGGGCCAGGGGATCCCGTGAGGTCTGATGGAGGAGACATGCTGCTGGCTTGAAGTGCCTTGAAGGTAGAGCCTCCAGAAGCAAAAGCTGGATCTTGTAGCTAAATTTTAACCATGAGGGCAGGGATTGCCCTTCCATTCCCCTGCATCTGTAAGACCAGGTGCTATGCCTGGCACTTAGCATTCTGATAAATGTTAGATGAATGAATGAATGCATGATGACAGGGAGACCTGAAACCACATAATACAAGAGATAGAAGATAGAACTGGGAATATACATTCCTTTTTCCACATTCCTCCATCTACTCCCAAACCTCACTCTTGCTCCCTGTATTACCTCCTAAACAAATTATTACAAGTCCTTTTCTCAGTTCTGCTTTTCAAGGGAATGCAGCTAAGCTAAGCCACGATCTCTCTCCTAGCTACTTATCTATTTATCTACGTATCTATCTATCATCTATGTATCTATCTATCATCTGTATATGTATCTATGTATCTATCATCTATGTATTTATCTATGCATCTATCTATCATCTATGTATCTATCTAGTTTGTGTGCGTGTGACATAGAAATTGCATTCAAATAGTAGATCTGGTCATCTTCTCAAGACATTCCGTTAGAAAAATTATAATAGTGTCTGAGAAGGAGTAGACATTTTTTTCACGCATGATATTTAAGCAGCTTTAATTGTCTAGTAGCTTTTACAATGCTCTGCTCATTCCTGAGTTGTCATATGCTGTGTAAGCCTCATTAAAGGCTATATAAACCCCTTTTGAGCTTTCTCACAGCTAAGTAATTATGCCTTGATTGATGGAAAAGTAAGCACACCTTGATTACTTATGTAATTTTGAATTAATTACATTACTTCCAGATTTGTGTGTTATTGAGAAAGGTGCTCATAGACTGATTCTAATTAATGTATAACTTTATGATATTCATAGAAGCTTTAAACACTTAAGATATTACAGCTCCCCAGGTTCAATTCATTCATTCATTCATTCATTCATTCATTCAACAAATATTCATGGATGTTTTAATATGTAGAAGGTGCTTTGGGAGTTGGTGTGGTAATGTAGTAAATGCATAACACTTGGTGCCTCCTTCCTAAGGTGGCAATGAAAGGCATACAAATAACCACAAGGTGAAATGGTGATAAATCTGCTCTGGCTTTCTATTGTCATCTTCACATGTATCAGTCCATGTGATTTTTTTTTTAAGAAAACAAAAAACCACTTTGAGGAAGTTTCATGTAGGGAATTGGTTACGTGGATGATGGAAAAGAGGAGAAGTCAGTGACAGCTGGTAAGGCCACAGCAGGAAGTCCCTGCTTCCTGTAGTCCAGACTAAAAGGAGAGAGTGTTTCTGAAGCCCTGGGGCAGAGGTCACCAGAGAAGGCTGGACCATGGCAGGCCTGGCAGATGGGAGCTGGAGCCATGGCAGTAATGCAGTGATGCGGCTCTTAAGCATAGAGACCAGATGAGGGATGCTTTGGCCTCCCCCTTCCTTTTGCCGTCTAGTCTCCTCTAGCCACTGTGGTAGAGAGAGGAGAAAGGCAATGAATGGGTGTGAAGGCAAACTGGCCTGAGACTTGCAGAGAACTCTAAGACTGATCATGGCCTCATACACATTACACTTGAATGTAGAGAAAGTATTTATATCATACAGAAGCCACACACAAAACCTGCTGTTGCCTAATGGAACCCTCAGTCTGTGTGTACCTGTGTGTGTGTGTCTGGTGTGCACACTGGGGGCTGGGGTGGAAACAAGATGGGGTAGACCGCACGATTGGAAGAAAAGGGAGATTCCTCCCAAGCAATGGATCAAATGGAGATGCTCAGTAGTAAGCTGTTGGACATCAAGGTAAGATATTTGGAGAGAGAGAAAAAGGATTAAATCTCACTTTGTGACTGAGCTGAGGTGAGGATCCAGTGATTTAGAGAGTGTAAAAATATATCCTTACTGGGAAGTATTTAGGAGCTGTTTAATTCATTAACCAATTAATTCAACAAACATCTATTAAAAACTATGAACTGCAGACTAGGTGCAGAATTAGGTGCTAGTGAAAACATGATGAGCAAAAACAGACTTGCATCTGGCCTTATACATTTTACAGCCTAGTGGGTGAAAAAAATATTTATTTGTAAATAATCACCAATGTGAATAAGTACTAACTGTGATAACTACAATAAAGAAAGAGTGCAGGGAGCTAAAATGGTATATTGTAGGGGATCCTGGTTTAGCCTGGGCTCAGGGAAGGCTTCCCAGAGGAAGAGGCAAATCGCCTGCAATTTTTAAATATCACAGGAGTAGGACTAAAAAATAGGAAGAAGGGAAGTGGGGAAGAGTGTTTCAGGCATAGAGAAGAGCCACGCAAAGGCCCTGGGGTGGGAGCGAACATTCCAGTGGGACAGGCTGTGGTGGGAAGGAGAATCTTTCAGGGGAGTTTTTTCAACAGTTTAAGTAACTGTAGTTGAGGGGACTCACATATTACACTTTTCAGTAACCTTCCAACCCTAAAATTATATGATTTACAGCATTTAATTGCTTGCTGGTGCTGAGTTCAAGCCAATGAAAGATGCTTTGAGAGAGAAAAGGACAGCATGAGATAGGGTGCTTAGGTGAGTAGAACATAACATGCCAACAAGTCGAGTAACCACATATGACAGCATATGATTAAGTGCTACAATGATGGGCCCGTATGACTGGGAAGATTGGAGGTCAGGGAAGAAAGTGGAGTAGGATGGGACTTCCCATTGTCATGTCTCCTGACTAGACAGTTGGAATTCTCCACTCTGTGGGAGGAGATCTGACCGAAGAGAATTCTCAGGCAGCCAGTGGCAATCTGTATATCAGCTGTCAGCTGCGCAACTATCAGGAAAGAGCAGTGACACTGGGGTACCATGGCTGCTTTGGGCTAGGTGCTTTATATGTATTGTCTCAGTTTTCGAACCAAGTGTATGAAATAGTAAGTAATATTCCCATTTTACAGACAAGGAAACCAAGATTTAGATGACATGTGATTTAGATGACATGCCCACAGTCATACAGTAAGATGCTGGCTGACCTGGGGTCAGAACCCGGTTCTGTCTGGCTCTGGACTCCATGCTTCACCACAGCCCTAGGCCGTATTAAACTGTAGTTTGTGTGACTTTGTGTTTGTGTGCATTCTTGCTTTATTTCATTATCATTATCATTATTAAAAACATATGCATGTACTAGAGCATGTGTTCTTAAGGATGGAGGGAGAGTATAAATGAGACAGGAAAGTAAAGTTTTTAAAAAATCTGTTATACATCAAGCAATATGCCTGCCAATTACATAGACTATTTCACTTTATGTTCACCGCCAACTTCATGCTATATATTATTCTCTCCATTTTACAGGTAAGGACAATGAGTTAAGTATCAAGTGTGAGATCTTTCATCAATCAGGGGAACAGAGCTGAGGTTAGATTCTAGGTATAATTGAGTCCAAATTCCATGTTCTTTCCTAGTTCATCACATTAGTCTCTGGAACCCTTTAAGTCATTGTTTGTATCCTGCACAGTGTTGTGGGCCTTCCAGTGTCTAATTAATATTTATTCATTTATTACTTATTTAATAAATATTGTTTGTGCACTCATTTTATGCTGGACACTGTAGAAAGCACAGAGAATGGAAAGGAATTCTTTTAATTACTTTTTTAACTTATGAAAACAATGTGGCATTTAATTGTTCTCATACTGTCTTGGAGTTTACTCAATGAATATTAGAACTTAAAGAGACCTTAAAGACCATGTAGTCAATGTTTCCACACTAAAAAAAAAGTTCTCGTAATCAAGATGTGAAATTTCCCAATAAAATACTACCTTACAGAATCTGGCAGCATATTAGAGAATACTGTACCATGAGGAAGATGAGTTATTTCAGGAATATAAGGATGAATCAATATAGGGACATATATTAATAAAAATCTGCATATTAATAGACCTAATGACAAAATCTCTATAATCATTCTCCAGAGATAATGAAAGGTAACTAATGCAACATCACAAATGTCTCATGTACATACAAACTATATATATTACATGTACATATAGGTGCAATCATATACACATAGTCATGCACTGCATAACTGTTTTTGGTCAACAATGGACAGCATATATGACAGTCCACATATAAGATAGTGGTCACATAAGAATATAATATGATATTTTAGCTGTACCCTTTCTATGCTTAGATATGGGATTTTAAAAATTTTTAATTTTTTAATTTTTATTTTTGTAGAGATAGTGTCTTGCCATGTTGCCCATGCTGGTCTTGAACTCCTAGACTAAAGTAATCCACCTGCTTCAGCCTCCAAAAGTGCTGGGATTATAGCTGTGTGCCACCATGTCCAGCCTAGATATGTTTAGATATACAAATACTCACCATTGTGCCACAATTGCCTATAGTATTTCACACAGTAATATGCCACACCAGGATGTAGCTTATGAACAATAGCTATAGGTGTGTAGTAGGCTACACTAAGTTTGTGTAAGTACACTCTATGATGTTCTCACAATGATGAAATTGCCTAAGGATGCATCTCAGAACACATCTTTGTCATTGACACCTACATGAATGTATGTGTGCATATCTATACGTGTTTAACACATACACAGCATATTTGTGAAATTGCACAAAAGAAGAGCTGAACAAATAGAAAGCATATACAGCGTTGTTGGATAGGAAGACTCAACCAAATAAAGATATAATTTTCCCTTGCATTAATTTATAAATTGAATATAATTTTAATAAAAATACATAAAATCTTTATAAATTTTTTCTTATGGTAAAAGAAATAGATAAGAATAGCCAGAAAACACAAAAATAGAAGAGCAATAAGGTAGCACTTATTTTAGGGAATATTAAAACATATAATAAACCTTTACTAAAACGATGAGATATTGGCTGATAAGTAAAACTAGTGGAACAGAAAAAAAATCTAAATATATATGGAATTCAAATATATAGGGGAATGGGTATATAATAAAATTGGCAGCTCAAATCAGTGGTGTGTTGAAATTGGGGGGCAGACTAGTCTGTAATAGTAATAGATGGGTAACTATTTGGAAAAAAAATTGGATTCACAGTCACACTGTGCACCAAGATGAGTTCCAAATGAATCAACTATTTAAAAGTAAAAAATTAAATCATAAAGGTAGTAGAAGAAAATATGTGAGGATTATTTTATTGTCCAGGAATGAGAAACATCTTTTCGATATTATACAAAATGCAATAACTGGACAAGAAAAATCTGATAAATCCAACTTTATATATTTAAAGTATTTGCATGCAAAAGTACTAGAAACAGAGTCAAAAGACAAATGATCCGAGGCAAAATATGTGCAACTTGTCACAGACAATATCTTTAATATATAAATAGCTTCTATAAGTCAATATGGAAAAGATAATCAACCCACTGGAAAAAATGGGCAAAGGATATGCATAGATAGGCCAGATAAAAGGAAAATTCAAAACTAGAGATTCTTATAAAAGTGAAAGCAAAAGATTCAAACATTTGATGCTTGATGTTGCCAAGACTGTGTGGTAACACTCATATGCTGCTGGTGGGAGGTAAATTAGTACAATTTAAACAGTATCAAACAAAATTACAAATGCATCTATTCTTTGATCCTACAATTCCAATTCTAGGAAATTACACTATCAGTACATTTTCCTGTGTGAAAAATGACACATGTAACATTATTCTTCACAGCAAAAGATTACCTAAATATTCATCAACAGAGGACTGGTTAAATGGAATTATGCAGCTGAAGTTTTTAGGAACTGTTATAGGAAGATCTCCAAGTTGCATTTTTAAGTGAAAAATCAAGATGTAAAACAGTGTATATGGTATGGAAGGAAAATGGAAAAAAATACTTATATTTATTAAAAACATCTTTGAAAGGGCATCTGAAGAATTAATAAGAGCAGTGACTTTTTTTTTTTTTTTTTTTTTTTTTTTTGCTTTTTCCTTTCGGGGGAGCTATACTGGGTGGCTGGGGGACTTAAATGGGAGAAATATTTTTCATTTGATGCATTTTTTTTCTACTTTTTGAATTTTGAACCAATATATAAATTATTTCTAAAAACCCTATATCTGAAATATGTGAATGAGAAAACACCACAATTCCCGTTTCTCTTTCTGAGTGAAGTTTGGGGTGTGGACCGAGAGGCTCATCCAGTTAACCCTTTCCACTTTGCAACAACCTCTATAGCAACACTGTGGAATCCTGTTACTGCAATGACAGTTTGAAAGCCAACTTTAAAAATTCAAAAGTTAGTACATAGAGAGCATCTATAAAAGGCCTGGCATGTTGTAATTATCTTGGCAAATGTTAGCTATTTTTTTAAAGTTGTTATACTTCGTAAGTGGGCAAATTGAGTCACATGGATAGAAATAGTGAAATTTTAAGATCCCCTTTTATAATCATCATATGGTGTGTATCGATGTCTTGACACATATCAGATACCCAGCAAGCACATGGTGATTGATTACCTCATTCTATGGTATTGTCTGTGGTTAGTGAAGGTAATATTGTTGGTGAAGACCTACAGGCATGAAGGTAATGTCAAAATATGGTAGCTTGTCCTGTTGTGGGGCTGAGAGTCTTCATCTTCTGAGAGAATAGTGTTCAGCAGGCAGAATTTAATTTCAAATTACAACCTATGGAGGCACCATGGCATGATGAAAAGCACATGGAAGTCAAAGGACATAATTTAGATTCTTGATGCATTAACAGAGTAGCTTAGCAGGCCCTGGGCAGGTCTTTTTACTGTATCAATCCTCAATTACATCCTTTGCAATATGATTCTTTTCTCCTCACAAATGTATATAAAGCCCAAAAGACCTAACCGGATTTGAAAGCATTTTGAAATTTTCAAGTATTATGGACACGTGTAGAAGATACATGACAATTTCATAATAATGTCAGGCCTGTTCACACTCTGTACATCAGTGATGGAGGATTTGTTGCTGGTGAGGACAGTGTTAAATTTACAGAGCAACCCAAGGAGAGACTCGCTTGCCATAAGGGGAGACCCAGGACTGATGGTAGGCACTTAACAGCATGTTCCAATTACAGCATTTAAATCTAATTGCCTACTCTGTTAATCTCTGTCAGTGCGGCATCATTTAATATCATCACGGCAGCCTCTAATATCGTGAGCAACGTGAGCCGAGCTGAGACTATTGAAAAAGTTCAGTCCCAGGTCTTCATATCCCCTTTAATTCTCTCTGTCAATTATGCTGCAGCCAAGAGTTCAAATAAAGGTCTTGAGATCCGGGGTTGGAGCTACCTTTTTGAAGCGAAGCCTCCTATAAATATACAGATTATATCAGGAGCCTCCAATTCCTTGCTGTGGTTATTTTTGACGGGTTAGTTGCAGTGACTAGTCTCTGGGGATATAACTTACTAAAGGCTTATTTTAAACAAATATTGCAAATGCAATCTGTTCCATAGTTTATAGTTCTGGAAATAAAGTGATGTGATACTTGCACATGTATTTTTCTCCCTCTGCAATCCCCTTGGCTCAAATAAGGTTGGTGGGGAAAAAACCAGACACATACTTAGCCCAGTTCTTTGCAAAAAGTAAGCTTTTTGTTTTTGTTTACTCTTATTATAAATGACAGTTGATAAGCATGAAAGATACAGTCAAATACTTAGATTTTAAAATGTAATTATTAAATCATTAAAAACAAATTTAGGGACATCATCAACTCTATTTAAATCCTATATAGGATTCCATGAATTACTGGCTCCTTTGCTGTTCCTGGCAGCCCTATAGTTAGATACCATTATTACCCTGATTTTATAGTTGAGGAGATTGAAGCACACAAAAATCAAGTGTTTTATCCATGGTCTTACAACTGATAAATACAGAGCAGAAATGTAAACCCAGGCGAAAGGAATCCAGAGGTGTGTTCTCTAAGACCAACTCCATGCCCTCAAGGACTTTTTCTCAAATCTTGCTGGGACCATGAGACTTACCAAATGGAGAAATTGGTTAGCCAGATCCAGCCATGTGTGATTAAATTCCCAAGAGATTGGTAACAATACACAGTGTTAGTTAGAGAAGCCCAGAAAAATCAAGGTTTACCAGGTGCTGGAATTGGAAAGATGAGATGGGATATAAACCAAGGATGGAGGGACAGGTAGAATTTAGATGAGTAAAACACACACAGAGAGAAGGGGCAAGTCATGGGGAGGGCATTTTATAAATAAATAGGCTGGGCGTGCTTTCTTGGAAGGCTGTGAGACAAGGTGTGTTAGAGAACAGGCTGAGCTGCTCTGATGAAGAGCCCTTAAATCCTATGATGTAAGTCAGATATAAATGTGTTTCTCAAGAAGTTGTTCAGCGATACCTGGTCCTAGGCTCCCTGGTTTCATCTGCCATCCTCAGATGAGGGTTGGGTTCCAGGCTTAAGTTCTTCCCACCTGCATAACATAATGGGCCAATGTAGCGGTCAAGCCTCTGACACTTTCTGCCTATGTGACCTTGGGCATGATAGCTACTCTCACTGCTAAAGTTTTCTCATCTGAAAAATAAGTATAATTAGGGGATCAGTGGTATAATTGAAAAATGTTGAGAATGGTGCTTGGCACAAAGTGATTGATATTATGTGTGTCATTATTATATGCATATAGGTGGCTCTCAGTTTTTGCCCATCAGTTGGCTCCTTGAGATGGGTGTTCCCCTTTTGGGAGATGTCTAAGGTGAAGTTACTTACCAGAAATAAATAAAGCTTGTAATTTCCTCTACCTGGAATTACTACAATGAATAGAGGTACCCAGATGAAGACTAGAGAAGATAGAGACAAGAGATTAGCCCACAATGTGAAGAGCTTAGGGCAGGCCTGAGTGTCTGCAGGGGGAGGGGATGGGACGCAGTATGGAATACATGATGGGACACCCTGCAACCTTTGGTAAAGGTGAAGGCCTATTGCATTTTCCGCTTCCTTTCTTCGCTCCTGAAGAGGAGATGAACTCAAAATTTGTTCAAGGACACACCATGGTCCACGGAGCTAAGCAGAGACGCTTTAGCATCCTAGGCAGCCTTTGTTTTGGAGGATCTACCCAAGATCATTTCAAATGTATTAAAATGCAACCACATGTCCTATTTCATGAAATTATGAATAACCATATAAGTTGAGTTGTAGTCTAATAGCTGACAAAATGTTAAATTTGTGTAGATATTTAATTCAACATTCATTCATTTTGATCTGCAGTTTTTGTTTCTTATTTTGGAGCCTATAAATATATCTTTATGCATGCAAGTCTTAGGCCCTGAGCTCATAGTGCCAAATGCATTAAGTGGCCTTGGCAATGGTGGTTTGGAGCAGATGATTTGGTCAAAACAAAAAAAATTTGTTGAAATGATGATTTTACTTTTGACTGAATTTTTTTTTTTTTTTTGAGATTTTACCCAGAACCTTTGTGGTTGGAATGTCTTATGAATGGGAGGAGAAAAAGAGGTTATAAGCTTTTGCGTTTCTACTTATTTTGGGATTGTTCTTCACTCTTTGATGATGAGATAAGATAGTCTCAGGCTTTCTCTTACTGAAGAGGTGGAATCTGACCTTCAAAGTCATTGTAGAGTCTGGATAGGACTCAGTCAAATAAATCTGGAAATAGATGATTAGGTCTGGATTGAGTGAGGCAAGAAAGATTCTGGATATAACTCATGTGGCTTATTCTGGATAGTTGGAAGAGAGGGAGCTGCTCTAATAATGTGACCTTTAGTAGGGGTTAGTGAGGGTCATGGATGGGTGCAGCGTTGGAAGCTGTGAGACCAGGAATCCCAGCTGGAAGTGCAACAAACGCCAGTCCCTCTCAATGATATGACCAGTAGAAGGTTTTGCAAAGATATTTCTCTTTGTTCAGTGGGGGCCCAGAACCTTCTGGGAGGTCAGTGTGAGGCACTTAAATGTATTGTGGAAGCCAAGGCCTTTCTTGGGGTCAGGGTTGGCAGGATCTTCATGAGCTGGTCACTTTTCTTAACTAGACTGTGGCAAGCCCTGCAGGAGATTGGTGAATTACTTAATTTTAATTTTAATTAATTTGTTTTTTTGAGATGGAGTCTTGCTCTATCACCAGGCTGGAGTGCAGTGGCACAATCTCAGCTCACTGCAACCTCCGCCTCCCGGGTTCAAGTGATTATCCTGCCTCAGCCTCCCGAGTAGCTGGGACTACAGGCATGCACCACCATACCCAGCTAATTTTTTTTTTTTTTGTATTTTTAGTGGAGGCAGGGTTTCACCATGTTGGCCCGGATGGTCTTGATCTCTTGGCCTCATGATCTGCCCGCCTTGGCCTCCCAAAGTGCTGGCTTTACAGGTGTGAGCCACTGTGCCCAGCCGAATTACTTAAAATTTTAAATTTTCTCCTGTTTGCTATTTTGATGACCCCCTTGTCTGGTTCTTGGTAGTGATGAGCAAAAAAAACACCTTATAATAAAAAGAGCTAATGAGCTTGTCTTCCAGGCAGCAACATATATTTAAAAGGATACTTAACAATGTAAGCTAAGTGAGAGGTACTTTTGGAGAGGCAGAGGTGGTTCCACAAATCAGGACAGATTTGGGAGTGCAGATTTGAGATGGTGGAAGAGAGCAGTGGTAAAGAACCTAGGTTTTTTATTTAAACAAACTTGTGTTTGAATTTTACTTTGGAACTTATTATTGGTGGGATGCTGAGCAAATGATGTAACCTTTGTGAAATTCAATGTCCCTATCTGTAATAAAGAGTCTAATTACTTTGTTGTGACATAATTCCTATAAAATACTTATCATAGTACTTGGTACACACAGAAATATAAGAAGTAAACTAGTGAAGAGATGGCTCACAGCTGGGAATAAAGATGCTATTGCTTCACCTTCTAAAGTCAAAGAAACAGCCTGGCCACACATAGGTTTTGCAGAGCATGATATGCTAAAAGAAACTATATGACAACCTCCCATCCCCATTTCTAAACAAATGAATCTGGGGGTGGCTGGGTGGGGAAGTTACTTTGGTGAAGAACTTCAATGGAAGATGTTAAAGTTAGCCTCCTTTCCCCTTGCTAATTAAATTGTTGGAGTTTCTGCAAGAAGGGGAAAAAAAATCTTGTGGCTCATTCTCCAGATGGATGTTTGCTAGGTTTCAGACATACCCCTAGGATCCTGGAGTTTGGAGACAGAAGAAGGGGCAAAGACCATCCCACTCAAGGAACAGTGGAAAATCCCATCTGCTTCCATCGGCCTTGTGTACAGGATGATGAAGGCGAGGAGATTGGAGGTCTACACATTTGCTAGAGACTACTGCAGATATTGAAGATTATGGGCTGGAGTCAGACTGAAGATGTTTCACAGTGTCTTGGGCGTCACTGCATAAGGCCATGTCCATGCTGGCTAAAACAATTAGTGCCTACCTGTCACAGGTGAATATAGAGACCATGAGTAGATGAGCAGTGAGAAAAAAATGATAAAGGTCACCAGAACTCATAAATATGCCCCGCACGTTCTCCTGGGAAACAGACTGCCCCCTTACCACCTCAGCCCCCATGTTAGCACACAACAGGGAGGAGAAAGAAAAAGTACAAGATGATCAAAATGAATGGTCTGGGGTGAACAAGTCACCCTTCTCTTCTGTCTCAATGGCCCTTGCAGCAGCTTAATGCAGGAGGCAGGGAAGGAGGATGCTAATCTCTACATGGGATTGAATGCTTATCTGAAATGAATTTGAGGCTATAACTGGATCAGTCCACAGACTGCTGGACCAGGTTGAATTATTGGAAGGACTAAGATATTGTCAAATGGTTATTTGGCAACTTAAAGGTACCACCAAACCATTCCCACAACTCCACCCTTCCACTAGTATATGATGGTGGGGGTTGTTGAAAAAGCAATTGCAGTTACTAGAAAAAAATAAAACAACCTTGCTCTGTATATCCTTGAGTCATACTATACTTCTTAGTTATGAGTATTTGGTAAGTAAGAGTGAATTAAATTTTAGCTGTATTTTTATGATTAGTGTTATGGCTATTATTATTTGTCCTTTCCATATTTACTGAAAATCTAGTGCCTGTTAGGAACTTTGTTGTATGCTAGGCATAGAGAAAGAGAGAAAGAGTTTCCGCCTTTAGTGGGCACCTAGCAAGTGTGGATAACCAGCATATAAATAAAAGGTTCAAAGACAATGAGACAATAGTGTGGTAGAGGTAAGTAGGGGGGACACTATTGGTATACAAGTCAAGAGTGAGGAACTAAGCCATGGGGTGTGTGGTATAAATATTTAATAATGGCTTTCTGGAAGGAAAAACCCTGAGTTGTAGTATTTGCCAATTTCTGTGGTGTAAATACTCCTACCATAGTTATCAACGGGATGTTTCAAATAAGGAGACAAAATATGCACAAGCAGCTCTAGCGAGCTACTTCCAGCCAGGTGTGTGTGTGTGTGTGTGTGTGTGTGTGTGTGTGTGTGTATGTGTGTGTGTCAGAGAAGGCTTTCTAAGAGAAGAAACCCCTGACCTGAGTCTGAAAGGACAAGCAGGAATTAATCAAGACAAGAAAGGCAGGAAGGACATCCAAGGCAGGAGGACAGTCTGAGCAAAGGAAAGAGGCCTATCACAGCAGGATTTGGTAAGGGCAGGAGGAGAGAACCATTCAGTACACTTGATGTTGGTTACTGACCGTCAACATATGTTCATTTTTTTGTTATAAATGACATGTATGTTAACTCAAAATTGTCATACTGAAATTTATTCATCATTCATTGGTCAAATACAACAATTTATGGGTGCCTACTTTGTGTTTATCAGGAACTAAAGATTTAAAGATGAGTGGAACATGGTCCCTGTCCTGAAAACAATTGCAGTATGATTGTGAGGAGAACATAGACATGTATGTATACACATACATAACATGGCATGGTGACTGTACTAGTTAAAATACACATACATTATTAGGGGTTGTGGTAGGTGGAGTAAGGGACCCCTCATGTCTTTGGAACATGTGAATATGTTACCTTACATGGCAAAAGGGTCTTCACAAAGATGATTAAGACCTTGAAATGGCTAGGTTATCCTTAATGATCCAGGTGGGCCTTAAATGTAGTCACGGGTCCTTATAAGAGACAGTGAAGATGGAAGTTTGGAACTAGAGAGGGAGAAGGTGCTACACTGCTGGCTTTGAAGATGGAGGAAGGAGGTCACGAGCCAAAGAATGTTGGCAGCTGTTAGAATTTGGAAAACACAAGAAAACAGATTCTCCCCTAGAGTCTCCAGAAGGAACATCTTGATTTTAGCTCAGTGAAACTAATTTTGGACTTCTGACCTCCATACTGTAAGATAACATAGTTGCGTTATTTTAAGGCATCACATTTGTGGTAATCCATTACAGCAGCCTTAGGAAACCAATATCGAGGTATTAAAGGAAGCAGTGTAACGTAGTGATTAAGGCTCTTGATTTGTGAATTAGATTGCCTCTCTTACAATAATGTCCCTGCCTCTTTGTAGCTCTGTAACTTTGGGCAAGTTACTGCCTCAGTTTCCTCATATGTAAAATGAGGTAATTACCTACTTCATAGCTTGAGGGTGTGGATTGTGATGTTGTATACATAATGTACTGAGTACACAGCAAGCAATCTATACATTTTCATATTAAAAAATATTGTTTCCTCCTCTCTGTTCTCTGATCTAGGTTCTCATCTCTCAGGTTGGTGAGTATAACTAAATACATGGATAATTAAGTAGGCTTTTGTGGTCTTGCCTGGAGAAATGGGTACCATTTCCATTGGTAATTTTATGGGCAAATATGATCTCAGTTGGAAAAATCTAATCCTTAAAATGTTGAACTACAAAACAATTTGAATTCTGTCTCTTCTCTTTTGAAAACAGTCACATTTGATCAAGCCAATAAAAGGGTTAAGAGTTTTGTACGTTTCCCATCTCCCTGACACCATCCCCCTGCCCCGCCCCCACCAATAAAATCCTTTTTTGTGCACCCTTTCTTTGGCCAGAGTGTTCTTTTCTTTTCTTTTCTTTTTTTTTTTGAGACGGCGACAGAGTGTTATTTTCTACTCCATGATTTGGAGTCGGCCTGTCTGTCCCCTTACTGAGCAGGAGCGGTTGAACAGCTGTGAAAACAATGGAGAAGCCGAGGATGGCTGTGATTAGTGGCGGGCGCTGGGGCAATCTGGGACCCACCAGGCCTGTTTCCCATGTCACACAGCCTGCGGAGTCTGGGTGTCACATGCCCGGGCTCGGCCTGGGGAGGCCTGCTCCAGGCTGGGGCCGCCTGATAGTCACCCTGGCAGCCCCTCTCCAGAAACAGATTTTTGTATTTTTGCTCTTCTTCTCTCCATGTTCTTGGACCATTGTATAAACATAGTGTTGCTAGGCAGCCCTAAAACCTCCTTTCATCCTGGATCCCAGGAAATTTGGTCCAGGAAAATTCACCGGAGTGTGCTTACAGCTGGTGTTGTCCACCGAGCCAGCTCTCCTCTCTGGCCCCAGGTTTCCCTGCCAGAAATTCCCAGCATCTGTGTTGTACATTTGATTTTCTAGATGTGGATAACACTGAGGTGGGTTTAGAGATCCCCCTACCCTCCATTAAATGTCCCTTACTCTGTGACCTGTGAATACAAAATGTTTAACTTAATCATAGCCTTTTGCAAGTCAGTCCTAGATTACTGAAGAACAAATAATTTTGCTTACCGCTCCACTGAAACACCCAGTGACCGCCTAATAGCAGTCTCAATTTCACCTCATTTTTTTCCTTTCAGCTGCAGAGCTTACCAGTCATGTGTGATTATTATTTTTAAAATCATCTCAAAATTTTAGTATATTTTCAGTTATGGAACCATAATTGTAGTCTAAATTTATTTATTTTAAAAAATGTAAATGCATCTTTAATAGACAAATAATAATTTTGTACATTTATGTATGAGGCACAGTGTGATGTTTTGATCTAAGTATGCATGGTGTAAAGATCCAGTCAAGCTAATGAACACATTTGTCACCTCACCAACTTATCACTTTTTGGTGGCCACTTTTTAAAACTTCTTCCTGCCACAGTTCTCTCCTGGTTTTCCTTTCAACTACGTGACAGTGACAGTTTTCTCAGGCCCTGTTTCCCTTCCTAGCCAGAGCCGTGTTGCATTTATCTCTATGCTTCCAGCAACCAGCACAGAACCTGGTCTGCATTTGCTTCAGTAAGCATTTGTAGGGTGACAAGATGATGAAATCATTTAAATGTACTCATTCTTTACTTGTGTGTTTTTTTTCCCTCTTTGAAACATAATTTTAAAAAAATCTTGGTACCATCCAGAATTAAGTTTAATATTCTCTCTTCTGGATTGTGTTATCACTCTAATTATTCATAGTTCCCATTTGATAAAAATACCATATACATTATAAATGTTGACAAATAATTATTAAACATAAAATTAGAATTTTATTGAAAAGGCCTCTCTCAAGGATATGTATGGACCTTTTTTTCCACATAGTTTATGTATCTATGAATGAAAACTACTTATTCTTAGAATGACAGAGGGTTCTACATTAATTCGGTCCTAACTTTCTGTTTTTTAACTATTTTATATTATAGCAATTTTATATATTTGCTAATAGAGAGATTAGTATAATACAATCATCATTTTTCCTCTTTTTATGGTTGCCTATAAATTGTACTGTCTAGATGTATGTAAACTATCTAGCCTATGTAAGTCTTGGATTAGTCAACTTTTATTGAGTGAATGATGTAGACAGCTGTCCTCACTTGACTTCTTTAATTGTTATACACAAAATTTCAGTCTTATTTTTATTAGACTGTTGGAATGTTGACTATATGATTGTATGTATGACCACAGTCTATACATATAGGCTGTATGACCTCACTCCTTCTTGGCGGCCATGGCAGATTTACTGATCTATCAGATAATTGTTTTCTGTGGAGCTCAGAATCCATTTTAACATGGTGTTCCAGACAACTGTCACAAACCAACCAGAGTGGTTATGGGAGCCAAAATCAATTTTATTTTTTTAAAATTGTATGAAAATCTTTTTAAAAAGAATGTCATCTTTGCTATTTTTTTCCCAAATATGGTACATGCTAAGAATAAAAATCAAGAAACCAGCACAGAATCTGGTTCTAGTGAAAAGTTCACAGAAAAAAAGTAAAATCTCATCTAAAATTCTTCCTCCCGGCTGGGTGCAGTGGCTCACATCTGTAATCCTAGCAGTTTGGGAGGCTGAGGCAGGTGGATCACCTGAGGTCAGGAGTTTGAGACCAGCCAGACCAACATGGAAAAACCCCATCTCTACTAAAGATACAAAATTAGCCAGGCATGGTGGCACATGCCTATAATCCCAACTACTAGGGAGGCTGAGGCAGGAGAATTGCTTGAACCCAGGAGGTGGAGGTTGCAGTGAGCTGAGATCGTGCCACTGCACTCTAGCCTGGGCAACAAGAGTGAAACTCTGTTTCAAAAAAAAAAAATTATTCCTCCAAGAGATTAGCATTGTGATTTTTATAGAGTATTGTTTTGTACACCTGTCTTTGAAAACACAAATTAAGCTGAGTACAAATAATTTTATAAAGATGGGATTTTTTATATGCAGATCATTTAAATTATAACATTTTTTCTTGAATTGAATGGAAGGAAGAAACAGAATGAATTGCTGAACCTCAGATTGTGTCTTTACAAGGGAATGTCATTCTTTAAAGGTACCTCAAAGGCTAAGAAAAACAGTAAAAACCTGCACGTTGGGCACATGTACGTTGTGCACATATACCTAAAGTGTAATAAAAATAAAATAAAATAAAATTATCATTAGTAAAAAAAAAGAAAAAAACTGAAAAAAAAAACACATGAAGGGGATGAGAAAAAAATTTTTTAAATGAATATTTCAAATTCGTTATTATCTATTAATGGTAGTGTTTTTCTGAAATATGAGAATACTAGTTTATGTCTCCCCATGCCCTCCTTGCATCACCTGGGTTTTTCTAGTAAAATTATTTTACATTGTTGGAATTTATAACATTTGTATTCTATCCTGTAACCATAATTCTCACAGTTGTTTAACCTTTGTTCAACACTTGAATTCATTTAGTGCTCACTACCAGCCATTTTACCATGGCTTTTCTATTGAGTTCTTTTATTTTGAAGCACCACTGGTCTCCTGTATTTTGTTATTAGGTACCTTCTTCAAGAAAGGCTCATAAATGTTGTGGTTTTAGTTTTGAATGTGCTTGAGGGCGTTCTCATCTTTATACCGAAGAAAGGGTAATTAAATTATCCTTACAATTCTGTGATCCAGGCAACAAAATGATGCTATTCTTTCTTTCTTTCTTTTTTTATATATTTTTATTATACTTTCAGTTCTAGGGTACATGTGCACAACGTGCAGGTTTGTTACATATGCATACATGTGCCATGTTGGTGTGCTGCACCCATTAACTCGTCATTTACATTAGGTATATCTGCCAATGCCATCCTTCCCCCCTCCCCCCCACCCCACAACAGGCCCCGGTGTGTGATGTTCCCCTTCCTGTGTCCCAGTGTTCTCATTGTTCAATTCCCACCTATGAGTGAGAACATGTCATGTTTGGTTTTTTGTCCTTGTGATAGTTTGCTGAGAATGATGGTTTCCAGCTTCATCCATGTCCCTACAAAGGACATGAACTCATCATTTTTTATGGCTGCCTAGTATTCCATGGTGTATATGTGCCACATTTTCTTAATCCAGTCTATCATTGTTGGACATTTGGGTTGGTTCCAAGGCGGTCATTAAAAAGTCAGGAAACAACAGGTGCTGGAGAGGATGTGGAGAAATAAGAACACTTTTACACTGTTGGTGGGACTGTAAACTAGTTCAACCATTGTGGAAGACAGTGTGGTGATTCCTCAGGGATCTAGAACTAGAAATACCATTTGATCCAGCCATCCCATTACTGGGTATATACCCAAAGGATTACAAATCATGCTGCTATAAAGACACATGCACATGTATGTTTATTGTGGCACTATTCACAATAGATGCTAGTATTTCTGTGTGGAGTAACTGAAGGATGGCCCACATCTCCAGTGTGTAGGTGTTCCTTGGAATGCCGTCTGAGGTCTGAAGGGGATATGCCTTTGTTTAAATGAGCACAGGTTACACCAGGAGGTTCCCTTGGTATCGCCCGTGTTACTCCGTCTCTCTTCAATCCCTTTCTGCTCTTGGCCCAGACACACACCTTTTCCTTCTTTACCATGTGGATTATAATTCTGGCCTTGGTCCATCCTCTGTGAGCTTTAATTTCTTTAGCACCTGCTTTGGAAAGATTTTGTTTCTCACAAAATTTCCTCTTCCTTACTCATAAGGAAAATGCATTCTGTGCTTGGCACCTCTGAAAATTGAAGTAAATGATTTCTCTAAGCCTTTCTGCAGGTTTTGCTATTTATTCCATTAAGATTTTCCTTGTCCTCTTTCTCTCATTTTTTTTGTGGCCAGTGTTTCCTCAGTTTCAAATATGGTTATTTGCTTTCAGTTATTCTTTATCGTATCTAAAAATGAGGTGTTTATCAGGAATCTGTTCACCTATAGCTCTGACAGTCTCCATAGTTCAAAGTCTCATAACTACTTAGTGAAATCTAACTTGGTTTCTATTTTGGTTTCTTGCCTATTACTAAACAGCAGAGGCCACTATAATAACCCTTTTTATTAGCAAGATATGAATTCAAAACATTTTCACCATAATCTAACTAATTTGGGGTGATGACTGCTTTGTGATTTTATGGGAAAGACAGAGAGAGCAACAAATATGAGTATTACTTTATTTGGGAGAGAAGAGGGAAGGTGGAAATGATCTAAACCTGCTTAGGGACTTCAGAGAAGACATTACAAAGTTTTGACATTTGAAGGGAGACTTGAAGATCAAGTCAGAGTTTGTCAGAAAGTCAAGCCCTTGGGAAAAGTAAAACAGAACACAAGATGCACCATGATGTGGTAGCAGGGAAAAGCATGCTGGGCCATGGAAGCTAAAGTCACTTAGTGTGGCCTGGAAGGAGGAGAGTTAGAATCTGTGGCTGATGAGGTAGGCAGAGTCAACCATACCATGTTTTGATTTTATCATGTAGGTAAAGGAAAGACGGGGGATAATGTTGAAAGGGGAATTTGATATAACCCACATGCCATGGGGGTCCCTCTGGCAGGAGTGGGGCCGTTGTCAAAGGGTGAGCCTGCAAGGCAGGGAGACAAAAGGCTACTGTAAGTATGCAGGTGAGAGATGACAGCCATGATGCGGGCTGATTGACTGCAAAGGCAACAGATGTGGGGTGATGAGGGGGCCACCATGAGAGAGATGTCTTAGATGATTTCGAAGACAGTGAGTCTTTAGAGGAGGGATCAACAGCTCTGAACATAATTGATCTGTGTGCAATACTAGCTCTGTCCCTTATTGTTTATACTATCATGAGAAATTCACTAACCAACCTTTTCAAATCAATTTCTTCATCAGTACACAGGGATGAAAATGCTCAACCCAAGATTGTTGTAAATAATATATGTAAAGCCCCTGGGAGAATGCCAGCCCAGTGACCCTTCAAAATGAGCTAGCTCTACCTGTCTCCACCCTCTTGGCCATCTAAGGTTCTTTGCCTCTAGAAACAGTTATATTGTTAACTCTCTGAAGAGTGGAATGAAAATTCTGAATTCTGGGGCTCCCTAGCACCCACCTTGTACAGTATTACTAAATAATTCAGACTGCAAGTCAGGAATATAAAATCAATCAAACCCTGGCTGAGTAAATTTGGCATAACACATCTTATTAGTCACAGGATGAACAGCGATTTCAAACAAGGTTTGCTTGCCATTTCTCAGAGCTGGAATCAACATGGAAGGAACAGTGTGGAGGAAGTATTGCTACTTATACTATCACTATTATTACCACTATTTGTTCACTACTTGAGTTTTATAAGGCATTATAATTTTACTATTTCTACTATCACTATTACCATTAGTTATTTGCTACTTGAATTGCATAGGTCACTATAATTTTAACAGACATTTTAAATGTCTTTTAAATATGTGCTACACACTGTGTGCCAAATATTTTAATAATGTATCACTTGGTTCTTACAATAAACTTATGAGGTAGGAATTTTTCGTCTATTTTACAGGTAAGGATATTGAAGCTAAAACACTATAAATAACTTGATCAAGGACACTTGGCTAGGACTTTGAAATATATAAACTCTGGAAAGAAAATGTATCAGTTAGCTTTTGCAGAATAATGAACCACCCTAAGGTGCAGTGGCTTCAAATAACTACGATTTATTATTACTCATGAGTTTAAGGGCCAGTTGGGTGTTTCTGATGATCTGGGTCAGGCTTGGTTGATATTAACTGGGCTTGCTCCTGCATCTGTGTTCAGATGGAGGCGTGCCTGAGACTGGCTGGTCTTGAGTGGCCTTTCTGGTTTTTTGCTGGCTCTTGACTGCAGCAGTGGGAGTGAGTGGGCCTCATCAACTAGCAGGCCAGCCTGAGCTCATTACATGGAAGACAGGGAGTGTTCCAAGACCAACAGCAAATGTGAGCAGACACTTGAGGCTCAGGTTCAGAATGTTGTTTCTGCTACAACCTTTTGCAAAAGCAGCACAAGTTCAACACAGATATAAAGGATGGAGAATTAAATTACACCTCTTGGTGGAAGAAATGTAAAGAATTGTGGCCATTTTGGTTACCTACCACACATGCCTATATGTGTTGGGCTCCAAAGCCAATGATCCTGCAGTGCTGCATTTTAATTTTATTCTTATTTTAAGGATAAAACAACTGAGGTTCAAAGATCTTAACTTGCTCAGTCTCTTGACTGCTAAGCAGCTGGACCCTGATGTGAAGCCAGGCATGCATGACTCCAACCAGTGAATTTCTACTGGGCCTGGTTGCTGGCACTCAGTTTTCAGAGTCTGTGAGATGTAGAGTCATTCACTCTTGTGGGTAGAAGGAACCTCAGAGGTTATCTGGCCCATTAGCTGATACACTTTTGAATCTCATAGGTCACTATAATTTTAAAAGACATTTTGGCAACCAACACAGAGTAGTTAAACTATTTTTTTTCCTCCAAGTCAAGGCATTTGCTTGTCATTCTCATTTCATTATGAAAAAGAAATGTGATGCCAAAAAGCATAATTTTTAAATAAAGGACAGTTGTTTAAATTGAATTAATTCAGTATTGTGAAAAACTTGCTACTTTTGTTTATATTTTGTTGTGGTAGCTTTACATCAGTCCAAAGAGTGGAATTTAGGAGCCCCTAACCTAGACTACTATTCTGTTTAAGAATCCACTCTAAAACTTTCCTAACATGTGATCTTCCATTCATTGCCTGTGTAATTCTAATGACAGACAGCTCACTATTACCTGAAGCAGCTTATTCCATCTTTGGAGATATGTACAAAAGAATGTTTTTTTTTTTATTTTATTGAAACAAAATCCTTGCTGGTGACATCTATACATTAGCTGAAGTTCATCTGTTGGTGCTCAGCTAGAGAAGTTGAATGCACTAAGGTGTTTGAAAATAGCCATCATGACTCCCTAAGTTGTCATTACCCCTAGTCCCTTTGGTCTCCAGTTATACAGCATTGGCATTGAGCACCATCTACTTTCATACTGCTCTCAGGCTCTACCCAGTTTGCCTACATTTGCCTTCATGTGGATGTAGACCTCAGTTTAAGTCTCTGGGCCTGGCCTGATTAGCTGTAGTAGATTAGGTCATCCATTTTCTCTCCTTTTTTATATATTATTATTTATTTATTTATTTTTATTATTATACTTTAAGTTCTAGGGCACATGGGCACAATGTGCAGGTTTGTTACCTATGTATACATGTGCCATGTTGGTGTTCTGCACCCATCAACTCGTCATTTACATTAGGTATATCTCCCAATGCCATCCTTCCCCCCTCCCCCCCACCCCACAACAGGCCCTGGTGTGTGATGTTCCCCTTCCTGTGTCCAAGTGTTCTCATTGTTCAATTCCCACCTATGAGTGAGAACATGTCATGTTTGGTTTTTTGTCCTTGCGATAGTTTGCTGAGAATGATGGTTTCCAGCTTCATCCATATCCCTACAAAGGACATGAACTCATCCTTTCTTATGGCTGCATAGTATTCCATGGTGTACATGTGCCACATTTTCTTAATGCAGTCTATTATTGTTGGACATTTGGGCTGGTTCCAGGTCTTTGCTATTGTGAATAGTGCTGCAATAAACATACGTGTGCATGTGTCTTTATAGCAGCATGATTTATAATCCTTTGGGTATATACCCAGTAATGGGATGGCTGGGTCAAATGGTATTTCTAGTTCTAGATCCCTGAGGAATCGTCACACTGTCTTCCACAAAGATTGAACCAGTTTACAGTCCCACCAACAGTGTAAAAGTGTTCCTGTTTCTCCACATCCTCTCCAGCACCTGTTGTTTCCTGACTTTTTAATGATCGCCATTCTAACTGGTGTGAGATGGTATCTCATTGTGGTTTTGATTTGCATTTCTCTGGGAGAAAATTTTTGCAATCTACTCATCTGACAAAGGGCTAATATCCAGAATCTACAAAGAACTCGAAAAAATTTACAAGAAAAAAACAAACAACCCCATCAACAAGTGGGCAAAGGATATGAACAGACACTTCTCAAAAGAAGACATTTATGCAGCCAAGAGACACATGAAAAAATGCTCATCATTATTTTCTCTTTCTACTTATTTTCTCTTTCTCTTTCTACATATGATTTTTCTATTAATGAGGTGTAATTTTTCTATTAATGATTTTGTGCCTTTGCACAAAATCTTATCAAGCTGTTGACTTAAGGCTCAAGTTAAGTCTCAATTTCTGTATGAATGAAATGAGAGCGCTGTAAAGCTCTTTTAAAGGCTCAATAAATACTTATTAAAATCCAATATGACTTCAATAGCATTTATAGAATATATTTTATGAACTAGTCCCTATGATAGTCACTAGGAATCTAGAGAAGAAAAGGTAATTTCTATTCTCAAAGAAATCAAAGTGCAGAAAGTAAAACAAACATGCAAAAATAATAAAGCAACAAGATTATCATTTTTTTTTTGGTGGTATGTGCAAAGTGAGATGGGAGAATAAGAAAAGCAGCATCAATACCTTCCTGGGGTTCAAGGAAGACTTTGTAGAGGCTGTAGCATCTGAACTAAGAGCTAGAGATTGTGTAAGATTGGCCTGTTGGCCCTGGTTTCTCTACCTCTTGGGGAGGTAATACACCATACAGATGAAAGAGCACAAGCTTTGGAACCAGAAAATCTGGATTCTAGTCTTGGCTCTGCCACTTCTCACAGGTCAAACTCACTATATGTTGACTTCCTTTCCAAGGACATTATTGCCCCATCTCAGTATTGCGAGGATTAAATGAGATAATATGCATAAAGTTCTTGGTATAATTCTGGTGCATGATGTGGTAGGTATCATTGTTCCAAGCAACTTAAGATGACCCAAGTACCAAGCACTGCTAGCCTGATTGAGGACACAATTTATCTTCCTTTACCTTACCCTCTGTGCACTGCAATGAAGTATGCACCCAGAATGCGTCCCTTACATGTCAGAATCTTAAGATAATGGCTTTAGGAAGAACACATGAATGGGCCAAGAGCTGCTGCAGTGAAAAATGCTGACATGTACCAGAGGATAGTCTGAGGCAATAAGGTTCACATTGCTCTTTTGAAATGTAATCACCAGAAACTCAAAATTAAGAAAAAAAAGCTTTTAAAAAATTTTTAAGAGAAAAATACAGTCATTTATTTAATAATGAAAGATTCTATAAAGTTATTGAATGTTTTATCATTTAAAATAACTTTTAAAAATTATACTTCTGAAGCATTTAAACCATTATGTAGTTCTCAAAATTGTATTGGTCATTTTCTCTCTGTGACATTTGTAAATATGTTTGACCAAATAATTCCAATTTAACTATACTTGCAGGTAACAATTAAGCATGTGTTTTCCATGTTCTTCCTTTTGACTATTTAAATTTTAAGTTTGATTTTTATTTTATTAATGTGATTTTTGGCTTCAGCCAATTGAGTTTTTAATCACTGTAGTGTTTGAAATCACTGGAAGCTTCTCAAAGGAGAACAATATAATGGGAAAATTAACTCCTAAATAATTTCTATGCAAGTCTATGGGAATTTTCTTCTATTAAAGAATTACTTCTACTTTTTACGGCAGCTGAAAAAAAAATCCACATTTTTTTCCTTTTGTTAAATCTTCAGAGTGCCAGAACTCAAAAATATTTTTTAAAAAATGAAAATAAATTTGAAGAAAAATCACAGACTAAAAACAGTGCAAAAGACAGCCATATGTCCTTTATCCATATTTTACTGTTGTTAACATTTTGCCCCATTTACTTTACCATTTCTTCTCTTTTTTCCACGCACACATGAGCGTGCATATGCACACACACACACACACACACACACACACACACACACACATGCATCTTTGGAGAGCCATTTGAGAGTAAGTTGCATATATTATAGCTTTTCTCCTAAATATTACAGTGTTTACTTGCTAGAAATAATGGTGTTTTCTTACATAACCGCAAGGTGGTTATTAATTTCAGTAGATGCTGATGTAATACCTTGATGTAATCTGCTGTCCCTATTCCAGTTTTGTCAATTGACTCAATAATATCCTTTATAGCATTTTTTACCTCCATTATGGGATCAGTCAAAGGCTAAGTATTGCCTTTAGTTGTCATGTATCTTTAGTCTCCTTCAATCTGAAACATTTCTATAGGCTTTCTTTTTCTTTTATGATACTGACATTTAAAAAAATACAGCCTCCTCCCTGCTTAAAATAGAGTGTATCTAATTTGCCGGATGGCAATCTCATATTTCCTCATAATTCGCTTCAGTTTATGCATTCTAGGCCACTTAAGTGATGTCCTTCTCAGGGCATGGCATTTGGAAGTACATGGTGTCCATCTGCCCCTCATTGGTGATGTTAACTTTGATCACTCAGTCAAGGTCATTTTTCATTTCTCTACTGTTTAATTACTATTTCTCTCTTTCTCTTACCAATTAGCAAAATGTAGAGAGACATTTTAAGGTCATGCAAATACATATCATTCTCCTTATCAAAATTTCCCCATAGAGTTAACATCCATGGATGATTCTTTTGTCTGAACCAGTTTTATACTATGATGGTTACGAAATGATGATTTTTTTTTCCAACTTCAGAACTTCTATATTTACCAGTCAGGACTCAGCAAGACAGCCTTCTTTTCTTTGTCTGTCTTTCTGTCTATCTATCTATCTATCTATCTATCTATCTATCTATCTATCTATCTATCTATCTATCTATCATCTATCTATCTCTATCATCTATCTATCTATCTATCTATCTATCTATCTATCTATCTATCTATCTATCTATCTATCATCTATCTAGATTTATCATAAAAATGGACCATGGATTCCTATTTTTAATGTTCTATAATTAATCACCACCTTTAATTAATTGGTGGTCAAATCATGTCATATTCGGTCAGTGGTAGCCCCTTCAAGCTGGCTCCTATGTACTTGTAATGTGCTCTCGACCACTTTTTGAGTATTTCCTTACTTTCTGGCACAACTCGTTTTTCCAGACTCATGTTATACACAACTTGCCCCAGCTTTGAAATCAGCTATCTCTCTGTGGTGCCCTGGTTCCTTTTGGTGGGGAATGGCATTAGAGACAAAAATGTGGGAGCTAAGTCTGCTCATTGCTACTGGAGTGTCTTTGCTTCTAGACCCTTTCAGCAGACAGAGCTAGGAAAGAACCAGGAAAGGTACACACAAACACATATATATTAGAAAAACTGAATCCCTAACAATAGCCTCCAATTTCAATCCACCCTCATAGGATTCTTTATTTCCTTCTTCTACTCCATATTTACACATCCCTTCTTCCACATTGAAAACTCTGGATCCCATCAACATCAAAACATTTCTTTATTTGCTCACTTCCATAATACATATAAAATAGTTTTCGAATTGCTTCACTTAAACCACTACAAAAAACAAACTCATTAAAAAGAGTTCAGAATGTATGGTTTCCCACCCTCTACCCTGCATAAATGAATGCAGTGTTCATATGACTTTTGTTAAACTTCTCTACCTGTTTCTCTGGTCAGTGAGGTTATGCAATTCATTTGAAACACACTTGGGTTCAATTTTATGGTTTGCTTTCAGAATTTTTTTTGCCCTTCCCATATTTATTGGATACATTTTATTTTCTTTAATATGTAAAACATTGACAGCTTTTCAAGCCAAAGCCCTATAAGCAGCTCTATTATTAGAGGAGTGTCACTGTTGCCCATATCTCTTTCTCCCTGTTTCCTCATCTCTGTAGGTAACCAACTTAATTGTTTTCTGTTTTTCCTTTCCTTGTTTCTTTTCTTTCTTTTGTAGGGGGTAAGATTAAGCAGAGACTTTTATGTTTTCTTATTTTCTCTCATATTTTACAGAAAAGATAGCATACTATATATGCTACTTTGCATTTTGCTTTTGCACTTAACAGTATCTCCTGGAAATTGCTACAAATTAGTGTGTAGAGATCATCACATTTTTAACAGCAGCATAGTACTCTATTGTGTATATATACTATGGTTTATTCAACCAGTCTTTTATTCTTGGATATATTTAGGTACTTTCCAATATTTTACATATAAAAATGGTGTTGCACTGGGTAACACTATGTATATGTAATAATACACATATATTAAAGGTGTATATTCAGGGTTAAATCTCAGAAGTAATATTGCTAGGGTTAAGGGTAAACACATATGTAGTTTTTAAATATGTTGTCAAATTATCCTCAATAGGTGTTATGGCAGTTTGCATTTCCACTAGTAGAAGAGTGCCTGGGAAACTCAAAATTTTGATCTTTATGCTCACATAATGATAACTCAGAAGGGATTCAGGAGCCAGGACAGAATGAAAATCAAACATTAGGTGTAAAATTTAGTGGGAAAAAGGATGCCCATACAAAATCAATTCACAAAATGCTTTTTGAGACCCTTGGACACTATCTGCTTGAGGGTAGGGTGGTCTTATTTAATTTTTCTCTTTGCAGTTAGGTATCTATTACTAGGCATCTTAGCAAGATACCTAACTCATGGTAGATGTTCTGTAGACATTGACTGTTCAAATGAGTTAAAGAATAAACTGGCAAAAATTTGGCATTGCCCATGGGAATAAACAAACCTGGCTAGGAGATTATTTTGAAGTGACAAATCTCACCTCCTCTCTCCTCATCCCTCCTAGACAGACATTTCCTTGTTCCTGGGGACTGAGCAGTTTGAAGTTTCCAAAGATGAAAACATGTAAGTTGTCCTTGCATAAGAAGATGGGGCCGCACAGAGGCCTATTGTCTGCAGGGACATTGAGAGCTCTATGGTGAAAGAGGATTGTCCTCAACTGCAGCCTGGTCTTTTTCAGCCTGAATATTGCCTTTTCTCTCTGGAATGTAATATTCTACCCATGCCCTCTGAGTGGCAGGGTCAGGAATGGGAGGGTGCAGGTGGGGAAATGATCTTTGTATAGGCAATCCAATAAGTCAGAGGCAGTATCAGAGGGCATGGCTAGGCCTGGATCTCTGAATAAGTGCTTTGTGCAGGTCTTGGTGGCAGTGGCTGGAGAAGCACCTTCCTCTTGCAGCTTACCTGGTGGCTGAACAAAGCAACCTTTCAGGCCTCGGGACCCACAGCAAACATTGCGCAGGTGATTGACCTGCTCTCTTGCCCTGCAGTGGCCCAAGGATCGCATTTCTCCCTGGCATTTCTTGTGGGTCACCACTAGGGCCTGTTCTTCTTCTAGGATTGTAGGGGAAATGGTGACAACAACCCACAAGGAGATGGGGCACTGGTTCCAAGGTCAGACAGGTTACTAGAACTCTGAGGACATTTTTTCAGAATCACAGGGAGCAGGCACAGCTAATTAGATGTGTCTTGGCTCTTGGCATGGTCCACACTACACTAGCAAGCACTCTTTCCCTGGCTTCCAGCATTTATAAAATTTCTTTTCTCATTTGATCTCCATGATAGTCTTGGGAGGTCTCTAGGACAAAATTTACATGGAGATGATAGTCTTGGGAGGTCTCTAGGACAAAATTTACATGGAGATAGTGGGACCATACTGTGCTGAAGTGCATCCAGGATGGTAGAGTCTTCTGACTCTTAATTCAATTTTTTTGGACGCAGTTATGCACAGTATCATGGGGATTAGTGTGATGATGGGGCAAAATTATATGCTGTAACTTTATTTTGGGTTTTGTTCTAGCTACTCTGAAGAGACCTGAATGGACAAGAGATGTTTTCCTCTTCCTTACCATAATAAAAGAGGTAATCTTTGTGTTCTGAGTTTGAGTTTCTTTCTAAGGGATTGTTAATAGTTTCTATGCATCAGGGTTAAAAACAGAAATTGCAAAGCACCTGGAAAAAAACACACATACTTCTATTCGGGCTATGGTTTATAAGGTGCTGTGGGCCCAGGAAATAGAACGGGGTTCACTCAAAGGTGAAAGGAGATGTTTTCCTTTTCTCTGGTGGAGACAGGGCTAGGTAGTATCTTTAGTGTTTCCATGAGTGGTGGAGATCCGTGACCTCTGTGTCTGATGCATCAAAGATGGGGAGGTGTCTGTGAGAGGATTGTGGAGGCTGACACTGAGGCTTTACGAGCAGGCATTGGTTTTGCAGTCAGGCCTCTGTTGAGTGAAAAGGACTGCTGTGAAAGTACATCTGAGCCCACCTGAAGCATCCTCACCTGCTAGATGGGGGAGGACAAGTTCGCCCAGTAGCCTCATGCACAAAACAGACAATTGGAAGATGATGACATGATGGAGTAATCTCTCACTTTTTGGACACCACGTCAACCTCCTTGATTGTCTTTAAAACCCTAGGAAGAGAAGGAATTCCCCTTCAAAAGTGACTGAAATGGAATCCTTCTTGTTTGTAGCAAGCTGGGACTCAGAGCCAAATTTAATTCACTTAAAAAAAGTGAAATGATTTGTTCATTTATTCATTCAACAAAATTTATTGAGTGGTTACTGTAAGTCAATATGATCTCAAAGAATGTCAGTATGTCCTTCTCTGGACACCTTAACAAAGTTTGATTAAAATGAAGTCATTAGATATTTGGCCTCTGTCATGATTCTGTTTTCTCTGTCATGTTCCCTCTTCATGAATCGTTGCCCCACAGTGTTTGCATAAATCTGACTCTTTCTTCAAAATGTGGTTCAAATACTTCCTTTTTTTGGCAGATACTCATGTTCTCCCATCCAACCCATAAATCAAGGTGTAGCTGGGTTTCAGTTTGAGCATGGGCCATGTCTGCTTACAGGTCCAGGCATGCTTGAGGCTATTGGGAAAACTTCAGGTTTGTATCTGATGGAACTATTTTGGAGGATATTGAGGATCCTCCTGTGAAAGAAGTCATAATGCTTCCACTTGTGGGATCCAGATAGACACATTTGGGCATGTATGGAGAGCCAGTTGAGAGGCCTTAGGTTTTAAGAAGTGGGTAGCTGACTCCCAAGAAAAAACCTATGCTCTGGCTGCCATTTGGGTTTGTTTCCTAACCTGCCTTAGGCTTTTTTAAAGGGTGGATCTTAAGCGGCACAGAGTTGCCATATATAGAAATGAAAATAACTGCTTTGTTTAAATATCTGCAAACTTTGGGATAAGAGGCATACAGTTTGGTACTGCTTTCTCTGTTCTTGGAGGTTTATACAAAAGGGATAGAAATGTTTTTCTCCAATTGTCAGAATATTACCAAAATTTTTGGTGCTTACGCACATCAAAACTTTTGGGTCATTGAACATGAGGCTTGGCAGAGCAGAGGTAAAACTGCTGTGGAATCTTGGTCTAGGGGATAAACCAAAAAATATCTGAGAGAAGTCTCAATCAGTTTAGAAGTTTACAGCTTGATTTTATGCATTTTAGAGGGACAGAAGTTACAGGCAGATGTCAGTCAATACATGTAAGGTAGGCATTGGTTCAGTCTCGAAAGGCAGGACAACTTGAAGTGGAGGGTGAAGTGGGGGTGTCCTTCCAGGCCAAAGATTTTCTGGTTGGCAATTGGTTTAAATATTTAAGCTATTATCTAAAGTCCCGGAATCAATAAAAAGGAATATACGCGTTAAGATAAGGAGTTGTGGAGACCAAGGTTCTTATTATGTAGATGAAGCCTCTGGATAGTAGGCTTCAGAGAAAGTAGATGGTAAATGTTTCTTGTCAGAGTTAAAAACATGCCAGACTCTAAGTTAATCTTTCTTGGATCAGGAAGAGACCTGGAAAGGTAAGGGGAATCTCTCCAGAATGTAGATTTCCTTGACAAGAGACAGACTTGCAGGGCCATTTCAAAATATGTCACCTAAGTATATTTTGGGGTAAAATACTTCGATTTCTTTGAAGACCTGCTATCTGTCATGTAATGTTATACTGGAGTCATGTTGAAATTTGATATTTCATTGTTACAAAGAGTCTTTTGTCAGTCTTAAGATTTCTATTTTAATGTTAATGATGGTCAGTTATGCCTGAATTCCAAAGGGAGAAGGATATAATGAGGCAAGTCTGACTCCCCCTTTGCCATCATGGCTTGAACTAGTTTTCCAGATTTACTTTGGAATGCCATTGGCTGAGAGAAAGGTCCATTCAATTGGTTGGGGGGCTTAGAATTTTATTTTTGGTTTACAAGGGCTTGGTTGAGTACTGTAGAGGAACAGTGGGCACCTTGACACCTAGTGTCCAGGTGCAGAGGCCTGCATGAGTAGACTTGTTCAGGAATAAGGAGTAAGATTCTGCCTGTGGAAGTCCAGAAATTATTTGGTGGAGAGATCTTGAAGATGATGGAGGGTGCTGTTTTAGTCCAGTGGGAACAGAATGCTACAAGATTTGTGGTGTTTTGGGTTAATGTAATCCAGAAGTGGAGAGAGTGGGGGAAGGAATGATGGACACTAGGGAAATCTCATGGACAACACTGTGGCAAGTCCAAGGCAGCTTGAACTGATCACTAGGAGAGAGTTGTGTTTTAAAAAGATAATTCTGGAGGCAGGCAGATTGGAGATGGGTAAAACTGAAGAAGGAAAAACTGATAACATGTCACATTTTTTAATATTTCCAGGACTGCTCCTGACCACAGGATATGCCTGGTCCAGGAAATGGCCACATTTCCCCCCTCAGGACCTCTACTTGGATGGGCTGCCTTGGAAATAAGGTGAACAATTAGTCTTTATCCTGAATTCTCTTTTGATGACTCTGTTTTCTAGTTATTAAAGAGTACTTTAACTTAGAGGTATTTGTTTATAATCCTTCATTTTGTGAGTTTTTTTTTTTTTTTTTTATAATCAAAGCTTTGCCTCAAGAACTAATTTTTGCCTACATTATAGGTTTCTAGAAACCATTCTGGGACAGTATTGAAATATGAATAAATGAAATATAATCCCTCCAGTTGGATTCTCAACCCTCCCATGTTTTTTCATTTTATCCTGAAGTTATAAGGATACTCCCATCCTTAAAATTTCTGTTTGCTTTTTAAGGCACCCAGTAATGTTGATTGACCTTCACCTCTCCCTTGACTCAAACATACACACTCACACACACCCATGCACACTCACACACCACACATCTCTCACCCCATCCCTGAGGTGCTTGACCTCCTCTCACCAGAAACAGTGGCTCTCTAAAGCAGAAGATCAGGGACTTACTTTGAAGAGATGATGAACCATGCAGCTTGAAAAATTACAGCTAGGGCTGGGCAAGGTGGCTCAGTGGCTCATGCCTGCAATTGTAGCACTTTGGGAGGCCGAGATGGATGAATTGCTCGAGCCCAGGAGTTCAAGACCAGCCTTGGCAACATGGAAACCCTGTCTTTACAAAAAAAATACAAAAGTTAGCTGGGTGTGATGGCATGCACCTGTAGCCCCAGCTACTTGGAAGGCTGAGGTGGGAGAGTTGTTTGAGCCTGGGAGGCAGAGGTTGCAGTGAGCTGAGATTGCACCACTGCACTTTAGCCTGGGTGATAGAGCCAGACCCTGTCTCAAAAAAAAAAAAAAAAAAAAAAAAAAGAGAGAGAAACAGAGAAATTCCAACTGGAAATGTTGCTGTTTCCAGAAGGTTAGGGAATCCACAGCTTTTCAGGATGTAAGCCTATTGACCCTTATGCCACTTGCAACTACTTTCAGGCTTACACTAGCCTTTTAAAAAAGTCAAGTATTATTTGATTACATTTTCTGTACTGGGAATGTAGGAATTTTGCATATGTGGCAATGGAAAACAATTTACTTTGGAGTCCAAATACAGGAATGAACCAAAATAATTATTGTGAACAAATTTATAATTGTTGTTATATTGCCATCCATGCCATTGGGATAATAAGAGGATCTTCTCTTATGGTGTGTGTGCATGGTGAAGATCCACAGGGCTATGAAGACGGGCTGAGGAGTCACATGGACAGGGCAGGAGGGCAGATTTTCATGGGTACTTGTAATGACATTGTGCACATCTTTCTGGAAACTGATTAATATAGTTCTTAGCCATTTGCGTATTTTTGAGGGACAATGATTTTAAGATATTAAATTGAAATTGGTCCATTATATTATTATATTTTAAAACAATAATTAAGCTCTTTAACAGTTTGGATAACTAAACTTTAAGAGTATCATTAATCTGGAAATGATCAGAGCTGGAACATTGCAGTTAAAGGAATGCATTTGTTCTTTTTTAATATGTCTTATCTAGAAAGCACATAAAATGGAACTTAAAGTTAACTTACTGTCTTTGTTTGTGTTGCCATAAAGGTACACTTGAGGCTGGGTAGTTTATAAAATTAAAAAAAATTTATTTGGCTGTTGGCTCTTTGGGCTGTACAAGATACATGGCAACGGCATCTGCTCAGCTCCTGGTGAGAAGCTCAGGCTGCTTCCACTTATGGCAGAAGGCAAGGGGTGCTGGGTGTGCAGTGATCTCATGGTGAGAGAGGAAGCAAAGGTGAGAAAGGGGAGGTGCCAGGCTCTTTTTAACAACCAGCTCTTATGGGAACTAACAGAGCAAGAACTAACTCACTACTGTGAGAATGGCACCAAGCCATCCATGAGGAATTTGCCCTCAGGACCCAAATACCTCCATTAGGCCCTACCTTCTAACATCACTACTCTGGGGATTAAATTTCAATGTGAGGTTGGAGGGGACAAACATCCAAACTACAGCACTTACTTTATCAATTTTCTCAACAAAACTATAAAATATGCAACCCTATTTTCAATGTTAGAATTTGCCAAGATGGCTAGCCTTCTTTTCCCTTTAAAACTACTTTAAAGAGTAAAATATTAAATAAATAGAAGGAAGAAACCTAAAAATCAAGTCAGCTGATTTATGGTCATGTGATTTTCAAAAATCTTTTCTCTAACCAGGCCTGCATACGTAAAGGAAGGCTCAAACCTTCCACAGAACTTCAAATCCTCTTCTACCCAAACATCATATTTCCTCAGAACTGGCTTAATGTTTCTTGGTCAAGCCATATAACCTGTTCTAGAAAGGAACCCCCTCTGTCTCATTTTTATGCGTACAAAAAATGGTTAAAATGAGACAATGTCACTTTTTTTTTTATCCTGAATGGTGGCTGCCAGCTATTAAAATGCTAGTTACCCCAAAAATACAAAAACACCAAATACAGGAGCCAAAGACAGCCAGAAAACAAGAGGAATGAAGTCTACTGAGTGATTAATCATTTGATTAACCAGGTAGGTCTCTGGCACATTACTAATTAGCTCACTTACAAAGCCCTGCACTGAGCAGCCCTGGTTTGATTAAAGAGGTGCCGAGCCATTCAAACTCTGATGCTTGAGCTGCTTTTATAAAACAAAATGTGACTTTCATGCTAAACTCATCTCTGTAATCCAGAGATGACTTTTCAGGCCTCTGACACTCAGACCTAAGCAAATAAATCAAAGAGCCAGAAAATAGTCCTGTGAAAACAGCTCCGAGAATATAATCTGTCTTCTAGGACTCTATTCTAATTTGTAAAGGGGATTGTCTAAGTTCTGAGGTTGCAGTAACTACTTGTTGGTGGCCCACTGGGTTATCTGCAAGTATTGGTAGAAGACTCTGCCTTTGTAGAAAGGCATAAATCTGCTCTCACTCCACTCTATTCCTGTGGTAGGATTTATGAGATTTAAAAGAAGATATTTGACATCGTTATTACAGATCTTCTCAACTTTACTATGGAGTTTGCCTTTAAAATATACTCACAGTTTATTTCTTCTTGGCTAAGTATTTCTATTCATAGTCATTTTAATGGATTCTTTTCTTCCCCAGATGGAAACATCCATCTTCTCTGTGGTACTAATTTAGAGTGATCTTGACTGCCTACAACATTAAGGAGGTATAATAGACTCTTTCTGCTCCATGATTCTACTTTGGATTCTCATACAGAATATTTACTTCTTTATTTTTTCAGCTTGCTTAAAATAACTGAATACTTTTTCAGGCTGTACACTGTGCCAATGAGTTTAGCAACAATTCTATTGTAGTTTCCTTTTTAACTATTGCAGGAATTAAAAAAAAAAAACTAATAGAAATGTTGGTTGGGTTAGTGGAAGTACAGTGTTAAGGTCAAAGCCAAATTCTTATCTTACGACATTTCAGGTTGATCACATCGTGGCTGGATATCATCTCCACTCTGGGTGCCATATTCCAAAGGGTTATTTACAAAACAGAGCTTGTCTAACAATGGCCAGGAAAGAGAGGGTCATGTTGGGACATCTTGTCATGGGGGAATAGCTAAGGAACTGAAGAAGAGACCAGAGTGGATATGGACATGGCACCTGTCTTTAAATATCTGAAAGATGGAATGAAATGTACTCTTGTTCACTGTTTTAACTCCAACATGTAGCATAGTGCCTGGAAAGAGCAAGCATAAGCAACAGTGATCATGACTTTTTGAACACATAGTATGTGCCGGTCATTGTAATGGTGTTTTGCTTACCCTATCTTACTTAGAAATTATTATTATCTCCAATATATAGTTGAGGAAGCTCTGGCTCAGAAAGATTAAGAAACTTGTTCTAAATTGCATGGTACATATCTAATCTAGGAGTCAATACAGGTCTGTGTCCGGGGCCTGAGTATATCTCTCCATGGTAGCCTGACTCTCATGACACCTGTCTTGCTGCCACAATGAGCTTGATGTTCACTGGGGGTCCAAGTTGGAACTTTGGTGATCAAATCTTAGGACTTTTATTTTTTTGCTTATGGATGAGGAATTGAGCGTTGGGGAACTGAGGTTACATAACTGGTATATTCCAGAATCAGGACTAAAACCCAAGACTTTCTACAAAACTCAGTCTCTTGATCACTATGTTCCATCTCCTCTCTGCTATGAACAACTCAATACATGCTTGATTTTAACTTGATCTGGACAAAATACTGCTGCTTTAAGTGAGAATCTCCATTATATCTACCTTCTTCTGCTTAACTTTTGAAAACTGGGAACTCCCTTGTCTTCTGTACCTGAATTCTTGGATTGCCCTTAACTGGTATTCAGTTTTTCTCTGGATTCTTTATCTGCCCTGTCCAGCTGACCTTCCTGTTGTAAATGTGGATAATTATTATCTAAGTTTACTAAGTGTTTTGTGTAGTGTCACCGTATCAGATCTAGTACAGCACTAAGTGCTTATCCTCCCAACATTTAAATATTACTTTTAACAATCTCATGAATAGAATTATTGTTGTCTATATTTCACAGATTTAGCAATCAGAGTCTCAGAGAGGTTGAGCATATTTTCAAGGTCACATAGCTAGTTAATTTAGCCACGGAAATCAGGCAAGAGAAAGAAATAAAGGACACCCAAGTAGGAAGAGAGGAAGTCAAACTATCTCTGTTTGCAGATGACATGATCTTATATCTAAAAAATCCTGTAGTCTCAGCCCAAAAGCTCCTTCAGCTGATGAACAACTTCAGGAAAGTCTCAGGATAGAAAATCAATGTGCAAAAATTACTAACATTCCAATACACTAACAACAGTCAAGTCAAGAACCAAATCAGGAACACAATTCCATTCACAATTGCCATAAAAAGAATAAAATACCTAGGGATACAGGTAACCAGGAAGGAGAATGATCTCCACAAGGAGAACTACAAAACATTGCTCAAAGAAAACAGAGATGACACAAACAAATGGAAAAACATTCCATGCTCATGAATAGGAATAATCAATATCATTAAAATGGCCATACTGCCCAAAGCAATGTATAGATTAAATGGTATTCCTATTAAACTACCATTGACATTCTTCACAGAACTAGAAAAATCTATTTTAAAATTCATATGGAACAACAACAAAAAGAACTCAAGTAGCCAAGGCAATCCTAAGCAAAAAGAACAAAGCTGGAGGCATCATACTACCTGACTTCAAACTATACTACAGGGCTACAGTAACCAAAATGGCATGGTACTGGTACAAAAATAGACACATATGCCAATTAAACACAATAAAGAACTCAGAAATAATGGTGCCCACCTACAACTATCTGATCTTTGACAAACTTGACAAAAACAATCAATGACAAAAACAAACTTGACAAAAACCAAAGGATTGCCTATTCAATAAATGGTGATAGGATAACTGACTAGCCATATGCAGAAGATTGAAACTGGACCCCTTCCTTATACCATATACAAAAATCAACTCAAGATGGATTAAAAACTTAAATGTAAAACTCAAAACTATAAAAAACTCTGAAGGACAACCTAGGCAATAACATTTTGGACATATGAACAGGAAAAGATTTCATGATGAAGACAGCAAAAGCAATTGCAACAAAAGCAAAAATTGACAAATGGTATCTAAGTAAACTAAAGAGCTTCTGCACAGTAAAGGAAAATATCAACAGAGTAAACAGATAACCTATAGAATGGGAGAAAATTTTTGCAAACTATGCATCGGACAAAGGTCTAATATCCAGCATCTATAAGGAACTTAAACAAATTTACAAGAAAAAAAAATTAAAAAGTGGGCAAAAAAATAACAAACACTTCTCAAAAGAAGACAAGCATATGGCTAACAATCACATGAAAAAAAGCTCAACATCACTGATCATTAGAGAAATGCAAATCAAAACTGCAGTGAGATACCATCTCACACCAGTCAGAAGAGCTATTACTAAAATGTCAAAAAATAACAGATGCTGAAGTGATTGTAGAGAAAAAGGAATGCTTACACACTCTTTGTGGCAGCGTAAATTAGTTTAACCATTGTGGAAGACAGGGTGGTGATTCCTCAAAGACCTAAAGACAGAACTACCATTTAATCCAGCAATCTTATTACTGAGTACAGATCCAAAGGAATATAAATTCTATTATAAAGACACATGCATGTATATGTTTATTGCAGCACTATTCACAGCAACAAAGATGTGGAATCAGCCTAAGTGTCCATTGATGATAGACTGGATAAAGAAAATGTGGTACATATACATCATGAAATAGTATGCAGCCATAAAAAGAATGAGATCATGTCCTTTGCAGGAACATGGATGGAGCTGGAGGCCATTATCCTTAGCAAACTAATGCAGGAACAGAAAACCAGATACTTCATGTTCTCACTTATAAGTGGGAGCTAAATGATGAGAACACATGGACATATAGAGGGGAACAACACATACTGGGGCCTACTGGAGGATGGAGGGTGAGAGGAGAGAGAAGATCAGGAAAAATAATGGGTACTAGACTTAATACCTGGGTGATGAAATTGTCTGTATAACAAACCCCCACGAGACAAGTTTACCTGTAAAACAAACTTGCGCATGTACCCCTGAACTTAAAAGTTGAATAAAATATTTATTGATGAGCTTTAGGAAAGTTTTTAATATTTTACTATTACTCAATATATACTTTTACAAATATTGTTACTTGATGGAAACAAGCACAATGTCTTATAAAATATTGGTATCTGTTAAAAAATGAATGGACAATTCAGGTTAATAGTAATAATAACAACAATAATACATATATTATTTCTACTATGTGCATGCTACTGTGTTCCCTTCATGCTTCCCTTCACTTGCCAATGTTTCCTTCTTTCCTTGCAAAGAACGTAAAAAGCCTCTTATTAATCAGTTATCACTAGGTAAGTATCATTGTATCAGTTTGTTCTCACATTGCTCTAAAAAACTGCCTGAGACTGGGTAATTTATAAAGAAAAGAGGTTTAATTAACTCATAGTTCTGCAGGCTGTACAGAAGGCATGGTTAGGGAGGCTTCAGGAAACTTACAATCATTGTGGAAGGTGAAGGGGAAGGAAGGAAGTCTCCACTTGGCCAACAGGGGAGAAAGACAGAGAAGTAAAAGACACACTTTTAAACAAACAGATATTGGGAGAACTCTATCACAAGAACAACAAGGGGGAAGTCTACCCCCATGATTCAATCGCCTCCCACCAGGCCCCTCCTCCAACACTGGGAATTACAATTTGACATGAGATTTGGTTGGGGACACAGAGCCAAACCATAGTATTCCACCCCTGGCACCTCCCAAATCTCATGTTCTCACATTTCAAAAGACAATCATGCCTTCCCAAGAGTCCCCCGAAGTTTTAACTCATTCCAGTATTAACTGAAAAGACCAAGTCCAAAGTCTCATCTGAGACAAGGCAAGTCCCTTCTGCCTATGAGCCTGTAAAACCAAAAACAAGTTAGTTACTTCAAAGATACAATGGGTGTATTGGCATTGGGTAAATGGTCCTGTTACAAAAGGGAGAAATCAGCCAAAACAAAGGGGCTATAGGCCCTATGCAAGTTTAAAACCTAGCAGGGCAGTCATTAAATCTTAAAGCTCCAAACAATCTCCTTTGACTCCATGTCTCACATCTAGGCCACACTGATGCAAAGGGTGAACTCCTAAGGCCTTGGGCAGCTCCATCCCTGTGACTTGGCAGGGTACAGCACCCTAAGCTGGTTTCACAGGCTGGCATTGAGTGCCTGTGGCTTTTCCAAGTGCATGGTGCAAACTGTTGGTGGAGCTACCATTTGGGGTCCTGGAGGATGATGGCCCTCTTCTCACAGCTCCCCTAGGCAGTGCCCCAGTTGGGACCCTTTGTGGGGCCTCCAACCCCAGATTTCCTTTCCATGCTGCCCTAGAAGAGGCTCTCTTTGAGGGCTCCACTCCTGCAGCTCAGGTCAACTTCTGCCTGGACATCCAGACGTTTCCATACATCCTCTGAAATCTAGCAGAGGCTCCCAAGCCTCAACTCTTGCCCTCTGTGCACCCATAGGCTTAACACCAAGTGGAAACCTTGGCAGCTTCTGGCTTGCACCCTCTGGAGCAGTGGCCTGAGATGTATCTGGGGCTTTTTTAGCCATGGCTGGAGCTGGACCAGCTGGGATGCAGGGAACAATGTTCTGAGGTTGTGCAGGGCAGTGGGGACCTGGGCCCAGCCCACAAAACCATTTTTCCCCTCCCAGGCCTTTGGGCCTGTGATGGGAGTTGCTGCTGTGAAGGTATCTGAAATGCCTTGGAGGCATTTTCCCCATTGTCTTGATTATTAACATTTGGTTTCTCTGTACTTATCCACATTTATGCAGCAGGCTTGAATTCCACTCCAGAAAAATGATTTTTCTTTTCTACTACATGGTCAGGCTGCAAATTTTCCAAAATTTATGCTCTGCTTCCCTTTTAAATATAAGTTACAGTTTCAGGTCATTTCTTTGTTAATGCAAATGAACATAGGCTTTTAGAAGCAGTCGTGCCACAAGTTGAACACTTAGCTGCTTAGAAATTTCTTCTGCCAGACACCCTAAATTGTCTCTCTCAAGTTCAAATTCCACAGATCTCTACAGCAGGGGCACAATGCCACCAGTCTCTTTGCTAAAGCATAACAAGAGTGCCCTTTCAGTTTCCACTAAGTTCTTCATCTCCCTCTGAGACATCCTCAGCCTGGACTTCACTGTCCATATTACTATCAGCATTTTGGTTACAACCATTCAACAACAGTCTCTAGGAAGTTCCAAACTTTCTCCCTTCTTCCTGTTTTCTTCTGAGCCCTTCAGAGTGTTTCAACCTCTGCCCAGTTCTGAAGTCACTTCCACATTTTCAGGTGTCTTTATAGTAATGCTCCACTTCGTTGGTCCCAATTTTCTGTATTAGTTCATTCTCACACTGCTATAAAGATCTACCTGAGACTGGGTAATTTATGAAGAAAAGAGGTTTAACTGACTCATAGTTTCTGCAGGCTGTACAGGAGGCATGGCTGGGGAGACCTCAGGAAACTTACAATTATGGTGGAAGGTGAAGAGGAAGCAAGCACATCTTCACATGGATGACAGCAGAGAGAGAGAGAGAGAGAGTAGGGGGGTTAATACACACTTAAACAAACAGATCTTGGAGGAACTCTATCACAAGAACAGCAAGGGGGAAGTCTGCCCCCATGATTCAGTCACCTCCCGCCAAGCCCCTCCTCCAACACTGGGAATTACAATTCGACATGAGATTTTGGTGGAGACACAGAAGCATTATCATCAATTTGGTAAAAATCTATAGAAACATATAAACAAAAATATAAGTCACTCACATCTTAAAGACAATAATGAAGTATCAAATAAGGAGACTTAGGCTTACAGAAATGAAGTGACTTTCTCATAGTCATTCAGTTGATAAACAAGCCTTGTGCCTTGATTTCAGTTCCATAAAGGTTGGATGGCATATATATTTTAAAGAGGAGCAAATGGATAATTTAGATGTTAGTTAAGGAGAAATAGACAATGATGGAAAAATGTTCAAAAGACTTACAAAAGTTGGTGAAAACTTATAGAAATGTCATGAAAGCCTTAGTAAGGCATAAATAAAAACTTTAAGTGACATTAACCTGTCTGTAAAGCTATGTTTCAGTGGACAAAGGAGCCCTTTTTAGTTCAGAGGAGATTTAGTTAAGTGGGCCCTCCTGGTTAAGGAAATAAAAAAACCAAGTAAATATGCATCTATGATTCTAGAAGAAGAGTGTAGCTGGATTTGTGTACATTGGGCGCATGTGTGTGATTTTTCAAAGGCTGTGCTCCTTAGTCTTTGATACATGGAGTGGTGGTGATAGAGGAGTTTGCCTTCTGAGATAGAGAAATAGATATCCAAACATCTACTTCCTATGATGTGAAGTTAGGGAACCTCGCTGAGTGGATTGGATTGGAGCAAGATGTGCTGGCAAGAAAGGGCCCCCCAAAAACCCAATGACCCCAAAGAGTAATTCATTTGGAGGGAAGAGAAATCTGATGACTTCTAGGTTTATATCTCCAGCCGGTATCTCTTTCCTAACGCCCAGACTTGTATATCCCACCTAGTATCTCCATTAACTAGGTCCAAAAAAAATCTCTTGATTCTCCCTGCTGAAATATTCCACTGGTTTCCCATCTTGCCCAGAGTAAATATCTAAGTCTTTATGTGGCTTCCAAGGCCCTTTGTGATCTTAGCCTCTGCTTACCTCTCACTCCTTATCTCTCCTGTTCTCTACTTGGTTCTCTCTACTTCACCCACACTGGCATCCTAGCTGTTTCTCAGCCATGGCAGGCATACTCTGACCTCAGGGCTTTTACATCTGCTGTCTTCTCTGCCTCAACTGCTCTATCTCCAGATATTTACAATGCTTGTCTCCTTGCTACATTTAGATGTCAGATGATACCTCATCAGCAAGGCCTTCCATAAACCGCCCACCTAGAATAGCCGGGACTCCCTTATTCTCCCACTCATTCCCCTGCTTAATACTTTACCTCTGTATTTTATTTTATTTTTTTCTTGTGCCTATAACGATCTGACATATTTTATATATGTAATTTATTGGGCTGGTGGTGGACCAGTATCTGTCAGATCTTACAGGCCCAGCCTTCAATAGTGGCATGAGAGGCAACATTAGCAGAGAGCTGACTTTAGACCCTCTAATTTCCTCTGGGGCTGGCATTTGTAGTCAGGACTGAGTAAGCCCCAGAGGTCTCGGACAATTCTAGGTGGTGTGTTTTTTTATTCATTGCATGTTTTGCAATAAGGTAATATATTCACACGGTCTAAAATGCAAAAGTAGCAAAAGATATCTGGTAAGGAGTCTCCCACTCACCCCTGCTCCTAGTCACCCAGAATCCCTCCTGTGATGTGATCAGTTTCTTGTGTAGCCTTCTAGAGGTATTCTATGCACGTATAAGCAAATACATATACAGACATATATTTTTTCTCTTTTTTGCACAAAGTATAGAATATTATATGTATAGTACAGTGTCTTGCTTGTGGATTTGTTTTATAAATAAAAGGCCGTGTAAAGTGCAGAATTTGTGTATGGTGTGATGACGTTTTACTCAAGTATATACCCATGTGATCACCACCTGGATTAAGATATATATTTCCTGCACCCCCATGTCTCCCTTGTGCCTCTTCCTATTCTCTCCAGAGATAATTGCTATTCTCACTTTTATCACTATCTTTTAGTTTCTCCTGGTCTTGAATGCCATGTAAGAGGAGTCCTATATTATGTGCTATTGTGTTTCTGTTTCAATCAAAGCTATGTACTTTTTAATAGAAAATTATATCTTGATGATTGTACCTCATAAGGATAAAGGACATACAGAACTTTGTCCTCCTCTTTTATGACAAAGAATACACCATGCTTTATTTAACCACTCCCTCCTGATGTAGATGGGACTTGCGAGAAATCATGCACAAGCACACGTGCAAGTATATCTGTTGACGGAATACAAGAAAGTGGAATTGGTAGGTCATAGGCTATGTACCTGTATAATTTTGATAGGTGTTTCATTTAGCACTTGTAGCAAAGTACTATCAACAATATACAAGAATGCCTTTTTCCCACACCTTTGCCATCTGAGTATGTTTTCAAACTTTGGATCATTGCCAGTTTTTTGTTTTTGTTTTTGATTTTTTTTTTTTTTTGAGATGGAGTCTGGTTCTGTCGCTCAGGCTGGAGTGCAGTGGCGCGCCATCTCTGCTCACTGCAAGCTCCGAGTAGCTGGGACTACAGGGGCCCGCCACCGTGCCTGGCTAGATTTTTGTATTTTTAGTAGAGACGGGGTTTCACTGTGTTAGCCAGGATGGTCTCGATCTCCTGACCTCGTGATCCGCCCGCCTCGGCCTCCCAAAGTACTGGGATTACAGGCGTGATGAGCTACCGCGCCCGGCCCCATTGCCAGTTTTTAAAAGCAAAGTGGCATCTCAGTATATTTTCTCATTATGAGTGAGACCTAACATCATTTCTTATTTTAAAGACCCATTTGTATTTTTCTGTAGACTATGTACATATAACTTAACTTTTTTCAAATTGGTTAGTGATATTTTCTCTCACTGGTTTCTAAGCACAATTTATGTATTAGGAAAATTATCCCTCTGATGTGATATGAATTACAAACATATCTTTCAAATATTTTGTCTTTGGACTATTTTTAGGCCATTTATGAATGGCTAAAATGTTTTATTTTTTAAATGTTTTATTTTTATGTGGTCACGCATCAACTTATTTAAAGTTTTAGGATTTTGTGTTATTCTTTGAAAGCCCTTCCCTACTCATAGATTGTTTAAATAAATCACATTGTTTTCTTCTAGCCTTTTTATAGTTTCCTTTTAAATTATTAATAGTTTCGATAATTCTATAATTCATTTTGGTGTAAGGTATGAAGTAGTGATCCCTATTTTTTTCCCAAATTGAATCTATCAACACTAACTCTGTTTATCCATGAATCCATTTTTTTCCCAACTGAAATGCCACTTATCATAGTAAATTCCTCATGCTTTTGGGTTTATTTCATAATTTGGCATTGTTCTATTTATATGTGTACCAGTTTAAATTACTATAGATTTAACATATTTTAATATTGGCTTTTAAGTAGAAATGTGTTAATATGGAACTACTGTTTTTCCTTGTAATAATGGTAGCAGACTTCATAGCAATTAATTATAATAATAAAAGAGATGTGACTATATTTGGAGCTCAAATGTAGGCAGCAGAATACAGTGGCTAGAGAAGAATAAAATGTAGCAACAAGAGGGATTTTAAACTAAGATCCCAAAGTACATTCTTATCATCCGCCTCCTCTCTTCTCCCTCCCCGCCAACCCCCCCGTCTCCACTCAGCAGATTTACTGCTTGGAGCAGACTGAACAGTTTGCCCAGTGGCATGGTGAATGGTGACATGAAAGTGATAGGTTAGAGCTTGAATATGGAAGGTCTCCATTTACCTCCAGTCTTTAAGAAGTGACAATGCAAATAATAGATTTTATAATTGTACATTCTTAATGATTTCAATTTTTATTTCATTTTAATTTATGATTAAAAATTAATTTATTGAATAAATATTTGTCGATTACACCCCATTTAGAATGATGAAAATCCAAAACACTGACAAACCGAATGCTATCAAGGATGTGGAGCAACAGGAACTCTTATTCAATGCAAAATGATAGAGCCACTTTGGAAGACAGCTTGGCAATTTCTTAAAAAACTAAACAGACTCTCATCATATGTTCCAGCAATTGTATTCCTTGGTATTTATCCAAAGGAGATGAAAACTTATGTCCACACAAAAACCTGCATGTGGATGTTTATGGCAGTTTTATTCATATTGCCAAGACTTGGAAGGAACAAAGTTGTCCTTCAGTGGGTGAATGAATAAATAAACTGTGGTACATCTTGACAATGGGATATTATTCAGCACTAAAAGGAAATGAGCTATCAAGCCATGAAAAGACATGAAGGAACCTTAAATGCATACTACTAAATGAAAGTAGCCCAGTCTGAAAAAACTACTTACTGTATGATTCCAAATATATGGCAGTCTGGAAAAGCCAAAACTATGAAGACAGTAAAAGGATCAGTGGTTGCTAGGGGTTGTGGGGAGGGAGGGATGAATCTGCAGAGCAGAGAGGATTTTAAGGGCAGTGAAAATACTCTGATACTATAAAGGTGGTGACATGTCATTATACATTTGTCCAAACCCATAGAATGTACAACACCAAGAGTGAACCCTAATGTAAGCTATGGTCTTTGGATGATGATGTGTTAGTGTAAGTTCATTGATTGGAACAAATGTGCCTTTCTGATATGGTATATTGATAGTGGGAGAGGCTATGCACTTGTTGGGGAAGGGGATACATAAGAACTCTCTGCACTTTCCACTCAATTTTGTTGGATGAACCTAAAATGATTCTAGAAAATAAAGTATATTAAAAGTTCAAAAAAATAATTGAGCATCCAATATAAGTCCTGTCAATGGTAGCTGGTATTAAATGATTAACAAGACTGGTGTAGTCCCTGCCCTCATGGAGCTTGTGAATGCCAACCTAAAGGTTATGTGATGTCTGATGAGAGTCCTAAAAATACTCAGAGGGTTAGCAAGTGAGAGTGGAAAGGACTTCAGTGGCAGTCAGGTGTGGATTCAAATTCTGACTACATGCTTACAAGCCTGACTCTGGGCATATTTCTGAGACTCATTTGCTCAATTGTAGAAAGAGATAAAAGTCTTTCCCTCCTAATGTTACTGCGAGGCTTAAAGCACCTGGGGTAGCACCAGGCTCCTATTGTGCTTACTAGAGAGTGTGTTCTTTCTGGGGATTTTGAGTACCCTGCTTGGGCAAACCAAAGGGCAGCCACACTCAAGAGAGTGCTGGCCGATGCTTTCTAAATTTATAACATGTATACCTCCATTGAGAGCTTGTTTATGTTGGCAATTTCCCCTAGAATCTCTTCAGATTGCACGTGTTCTTTGCAGACAACCAGACACAGACTAAACATTCATCCTCCGCCTCTGTGCACCTTTGCTTGGGCTTCTGGTGTTTACTCTTGCCTCTTTCCTTCAGCTGAAACCTTGGCTTTGTGAGAAATTTCCCCAATGAAATGCTCTTCTTTTTAACTAAGAAAGTATATGCTTTCTTAGTTAAGAAAGTTTGACAACTGCACTTCATTATATTTATATTACATATAGTATTCCTGACATCTTCTTTTTTGTCAGCTTCCCTAAACCTGACTGGCTAATAATATTGCAGGCTGACACAAAATGGACTGTATTGCTTTGATGCACAGCTTCAAACTTTGATGTTTTTTGGGGAGGCACTGAAGGTCAGATCTGAGTATTTACTTTTGTATTAGCATGAACGGAGACTGAAATATGTAACCCAGACAGGAAATGTGTGCAATTCTCTGACACTCGGGATGGATCCTATTCCCTCCTATTTTGTTCGCATAGTGCCTGGTGTTTGCTCCCGGAGAGGAAGTGATTACATTCTGTGGGCTCTAGAATCTCAATTCTTATTTCAGAGCCAAGGACCACCATAAAGGTGCTCTGGGTCTGTTAAGTTGCTTATCTGCCCTGTGCCCCTGTATTCTCATCTGTAAAATGGGTTTAATAATAGAACTTATAGTACTTCATATGGCTGACGTGAGGATTGAATGAATTAATGCATAAGATACTAAGGTTGTTTCTATACTTTGACTATTGTAAATAATGCTGCAATGAACATGGGAGTGCAGATCTTTCTTCAAGGTACTGATTTTGATTCATTTGGATAAATATCCAGAAGTGGAAATACTGGATCATACGGTAATTTGATTTTTAATTTATTGAGGAACCTCCATATTGTTTTTCATAATGGCTGTACTAATTTACATTTTTATCCACAGTGTACAAATGTTCCCTTTTCTTCACACCCTTGACAACTCTTATTGATAAGAGACATCCTAACAGATGTGAGGTAATATCTCAACATGGCTTTGATTTGCATTTCCCTGATGATTAGCGATGTTGAGTACCTTTTCTTATATCTATTGGCCATTTGCATTGATATATATTGGCCATCATCTATTGGTCAATATGCGTTATATGTATTTCTTCTTTGGAAAAATGTCTCTTGAAGTCCTTTCCCTATTTTGAAATTGGGTGATTTGTGTTTTTGTTATGATTTGTATGAGTTCCTTATATATTTTGGGTATTAACCTTTTATCAGATATATGGTTTGCAAATGTTTTCTCCCATTCTGTAGGTTGCCCCTTCATTTTTTTTAAAACTATTTTTAGTTACTATGGGTACTTAATAGGTATATATATTTATGGTGTACATGTGTTTTGATATAGGCATGCAATTTATAATAATCACATCAGGGTAATTGGGGTATCCATCACCTCAAGCATGTATCATTCATTTCTTTGTGTTAGAAACATTACAATTCCATGCTTCTAGTTATTTTGAAATAGACAAGAAATTATTATTGACTGTAGTTACCCTTTGTGTTATCAAATATTAACTTATTCATACCATCTAACTATATTTTTGTACCCATTGACTATCCCCACTTTTCTACCCTTCCCTGGTACCGTTCTCTGCCTCTGGTAACCATCATTATATTCTCTATCACCATGAATCCAATTATTTTATTTTTTAGCTTCCATATATAAGTGAGGACATGCGAAATTTGTCTTTCTCTGCCTGGCTTATTTCACTTAATATCTTCCAGTTCCATCCATGTTGTTGCAAATGACAGGATTTCATTCTTTTTATTGCTAAATAATATTCCATTGTGTATATGTACCACATTGTTTTAATCCATTTATCTGTTGCTGGACACTTACATTAATTCCAAGTCTTGGCTATTGTGAGTAATGCAGCAATAAAGAAGAAAGTGCAGATAATTTTTCAACACAATGATTTCCATTCTTTTGGATAGATACCTAGCAGTGGGATTGCTGGATCATGTGGTAGTTCTATCGTTAGTTTTTGAGGAACCTCCATACTGTTCTTCATAGTGGTTGCCCTAATTTGCATTCCCACCAACCGTGTACAAGGGTTGCCCTCATATGCTCTCCAGCATTCATTATTGCCTGACTTTTGGGTAAAAGCCATTTTAACTGGGGTGAGATGATATTTCATTGTGGTTTTGATTTGCATTTTTCTGGTTATTAATGATGTTGAGCCTTTTTCGTATACCTGTTAACCATTTGAAACTCTTCTTTTGTAAAATGTCTATTCAGATTTTTTGCCTATTTTAAAATCAGATTATTTGATTTTTTTCCTATTGAGTTATTTGAGCTCCTTGTATATTCTGGTTATTAATCCCTTGTCAGATGAGTAGTTTGCAAATATTTTCTCACATACCATGGGTTTTCTCTTCATTTTGTTGGTTGTTTCCTTTGCTGTGCAGAAGCTTTTTAACTTGATGTGACCCCATTTGTCCATTTTTTTTGGTTGCCTGTGCCTGTGGGGTATTACTCAAGATGATTTTGCCCACTCCAAGTCCTAGAGAGTTTCCCTGATATTTTATTTCAGTAGTTTTCGATTTAAGTCTTTAATCCATTTTGATTTTATTTTTGTATGTGCGAGAGATAGGGGTCAAGTTTCATTCTTCTGCGTATGGATATCCAGCTTTCTCAGCACCATTTATTGAAGAGACTACTTTTCCCAATGTATTATAGTTTCTTGGTACCTTTGTTGAAAATGAGTTCATTGTAGATGTGTGGATTTAGTTCTGGGTTCTCTATTCTGTTCCATTGATCTATGTGTCTGCTTTTATGCCAGTACCATACTATTTTGGTTGCCATGGCTTTGTAATATAATTTGAAGTCAGGTAATGTAATTCCTCCAGTTTTGTTCTTTTTGCTAAGGTTAGCTTTGGCTGTTCTAGGTCTTTTGTGGTTCCACATAAATCTTAGGATTTTTTTTTTCTATTTCTGTGAGGAATGTCATTGGTATTTTGACAGGAATTGCATCTAACCCATAGATTGCTTTGAATAGTATGAACATTTTAACAATATTGATTCTTCTAATCCATGTAAATGGAATATCTTTTCATGTTTTTGTGTCCTCTTAAATTTCTTGCATCAATGTTTTATAGTTTTCATTATCAATATCTTTCACTTCTTTGGTCAAGTTAGTTCCTAGATATTTTATTTTATTTGTAGCTATTTAGCTATTGTAAATGGGATTATTTCATGATTTCTTTTTCAAATTGTTTGCTGCTGGCATATAGTAATGCTACTGATTTTTGTATGCTGATTTTGTATCCTGCAACTTTAATGAATTTATTTACCAGTTCTAATAGATTTTTGATATAATCTTTAGGTTTCTATAAATATAAGATTATATTGTCTGCAAACAAGGATAATTTGACTTCTTCCATTCCAATTTGTATGCCCTTTTTAAATTTTTCTTGTCTAATAGCTCTAGCTAGGACTTCCAGTACTATGTTGAATAACAGTGGTCAAAATGGGCATCCTTGTCTTGTTTCGGGTCTTAGAGGAAAGGCTTTCAGTTTTTCCCCATTCAGTAGGATACTAGCTGTGAGTCTGTTGTATACAGTTGTTTTCATGTTGAGGTATGTTCCTTCTATATCCAGTTTTTGTTTTATTCCTCATAGAGGAATGTTGAATTTTGTTGAATGCTTTTTCATCATCAACTAAAATGATCATATGATTTTTGCTCTTCATTCTGTTCCTATGAAATATCAAGGTATCACATTGGTTAATTTGCATATGTTAAACCATCCTTACACCCTGAAATAATTTCACTTCATCATGCTGAATAATCATTTCAATGTGTTTTTGAATTGAGTTTGCTAGTACTTTCTTAAGGATTTTTGCATCTAAGTTAATCAGAGATATTGGCTTGGAGTTTTTTGGTTGTTGTTGTGTCTGTCTGATTTTGCTATCAGGGTAATACTTGCCTCTTCAAATGAATTTGGGAGTATTCTCTCCTCCTCAATTTTTTGATATAGTTTGAATAGAATTGGATTAGTTCTTTAAATGTTTGGTAGATTTCAGTAGTGAAGTCATTGGGTCCTGAGCTTTGATGGGAGATTTTTTATTATAGCGTCTATCTTGTTACCTGTTACTGGGCATTTATGTTTTGGATTTCTTCATGGTTAAATCTTGGTAGGTGATATGTGTCTAGGAATTTATGTGTTTCTTCTAGGCTTTCCAATTTATTGGCATATAGTTGTTCATAGTAGTCTCTAATGATCCTCTGAATTTCTGTGATATCAGTTGTCTCCTTTTTCACCCCTGATTTTATTTATTTAAATCTTCTCTTTTTCTCTTAGTCTGGCTAAAGGTTTGTCAATTTTGTTTATCTTTTTTAAAAAACAACTTTTCATTTCATTGATCTTTTGTATTTTTGGGGAGGTTAATCACATTTATCTCTCTCTGATTTTATTATGTCTTTTCTTCTACGAATTTTGGGTTTGGTTTGCTCTTGCTTTTCTAGTTCTCTAAGATGTATCCTTAGGTTATTTATTTGAAGCTTTTCTTCTTTTTTGGCATAGGCACTTATAGCTATAAATTTCCCTCTTAGTGCTGCTTTCATTATATCCTGTTGGTTTTGGTATGTTGTGTTTCCATTATCATTTGTTTTAATACATTTTCTGTTTCCTTCTTAATTTCTTCATTGGCCCACTGGTCATTCAGGAGCATGTTGTTTAATTTCCATGTGTTTGTATAGTTTCCAAAATTCCTCTTGTTATTGATTTCCAGTTTTGTTCCATTGTAGTCACAGAAGACACTTGATATTATTTCTTTTATTTTTTTTAATTTAAGACTTGTTTTGTGGCCTAACATATGGTCTGTGCTTGAAAGTGATCAATGTGCTGAGCAGAAGAATATGTGTTCTGCAGATGTTGGATATTCTGAAAATATCTATTACGTCCATTGGGTCTATAGCACAGATTAAGTCTGATGTTTCTTTGTTGATTTTCTATTTGGATGATATTTGTCCAATGCTGAAAGGAGGATATTGAGGTCCCCAACTATTATTGTATTGGGGCCTATCTCTTTCCTTAACTCTCATAATATTTGCTTTATATATCTGGGTGCTCCAGTGTTGGGTACACATATACTAACAATTGTTATATCCTCTTTCTGAATTGACCCTTTTATTATTATGTAATAATGTTTTCTGTCTCTTTTCATACTTTTTGTCTTGAAGTCCATTTTATTTGATATAAGTGTAGTTACTTCTGCTCTTTTTTGGTTTCCATTCACATGGAATATCTTTTCCCATTACTTTATTTTCAGTCTGTGTATGTTTTTATAGGTAAAATGAATTTCTTGTAGGTAGCATATAGTTGGGTCTTATTTTTTTAATCCATTTAGCCACTCTTTGTCTTTTGATTAAAGAGTTTAGCCCATTTACATTCAATTTTATTATTGATAGGCAAGAATTTGTTACTACCATTTTGTTTTTTTTTCTGATTGTCCTCCCCTCCCCTCCCCTCCCCTTCCCTTTCCTTCCCTTCCCTTCCTTCTTTCCTTTCTTCCTTCCTTTCTCTTTCCTTTCATCTTTCTTTGGGTAAAAGTGTCTTTCTCTGTTAGTATGTTTTAATTTCTTGCTTTTTATTTTTTGTTTATCTGCTGTAGGCTTTTTGCTTTGAGATTACCATGAGACTTGCAAATAATATGTTATAACAAATTATTTTAAACTGAGGAAAACTTAACTCTGATCATAAAAACAAGGAAAGAGGAAACTATTTAAAAACTTCTACACTTTGACCCCATCCCCTCACTTTAAATTTTTGTTGTTTCTATTTGTATCTTTTTATACTATCTATCTCTTAAAAGTTGTAGTTATTGTTTTTGATAGGGTTGTCTTTTAGTCTTCTTAATCAGGATATGAGTGGTTAGCATACCACAATTACAGTGTTAGCATATTCTGAATTTGTCTGTGTACTTCCTGTTACCAGTGAGTTTTTTAACTTAAGATGATTTATTTTTTTTGAGACGGAGTCTCACTCTGCCTCGCCCAGGCTGGAGTGCAGTGGCGCGATCTCTGCTCACTGCAAGCTCCACCTCCCGGATTCACGCCGTTCTCCTGCCTCAGCCTCCCGAGTAGCTGGAACTGCTGGGACTACAGGTGCCACCACCACGCCCGGCTAATTTTTTTTTTTTTGTATTTTTAGTAGAGACCAGGTTTCACCATGTTAGCTAGAATGGTCTCAATCTCCTGACCTTGTGATCCACCCGCCTCGGCCTCCCAAAGTGCTGGGATTACAGGCGTGAGCCACTGCGCCCGGCCACCTTCAGATGATTTTTTATTGCCCATTAATGTCCTTTTCTTTCAGACTGAAGAACTTCCTTTAACATTTCCTGAAAGACAGTTCTAGAGTTGATGAAATCCCTTAGCTTTTGTTTGTCTGGGAAAGTCTTTCTTTCTCCTTCATGTTTGAAGAATATTTTTTGTGGACATAATATTCTAGGATAAAAGTTTTTCATTCAGCAATTTGAATATGTCATGCAACTCTCTCCTAGCCTGTAAAGTTGCCACTGAGAAGTCTGCTGCCAGATGTGTTGGAGCTTCTTTATATATTACATGTTTCTTTCCTCTTTTAGAATGCTTTTAGAATCCTTTCTTTATCTTTGATCTTTGGGAGTTCAGTTAAGTACCTTGAGGCAGTCTTATTTCGCTTAAATCTACTTGATGTTCTATGACTGACCTTCTTATAGCTGAATGTTGATTATCTTTCTCTAGGTTTGGAAAGTTCTCTGTTATTACTTCCTTGAATAAACTTTCTACCCTGATCTCTTGCTCTACCTCTTCTTTAAGGCCAATAACTCTTAGATCTGCCCTTTTGAAGCTGTTTTCTAGATCTCGTAGGTAGGTGCTTTGTGCTTACGATGCAAGCACAAAGGTGTGCTTCATCCTTTTTTATTCTTTTTTCTTCTTTGACTGTGTGTTTTCACAGAGACTGTCTTCAAGCTCACTAATTATTTCTTCCACTTGATCAATTCTGCTGTTGAGAGACTCTGATGCAGTTTTTCAGTTTGTCAGTTGTTTTCAGTTCCAGAATTTCTTTTTGATTTAAAACAATTTTAATCTCTTTGTTAAATTTCTCTGATAGGTTTCTGAACTCTTTTTCTACATTATCTCGAAGTTCATTGAGCTACCTCAAAACAGCTGTTTTAAATTCTCTGTCTGAAAGTTCATATATTTTTGTCACTTGGGATTGGTCACTGGTTCCTTATTTAGTTTGTTTGATGAGATCATGTTTTCCTGGATGTTCTTGGTGCTTGTGGATGTTCTTCAATGTCTGGACATTGAAGAGTTAGGCATTCATTCTAATCTTCACATTCTGTGCTTGTTTGTACCCATCCTTCTTGAGAAGGCGTTTCAGGTATTCAAAGGGAATTCAGTGTTATAATCTATTATAACTCCTTGGTCACTACAGTCATGTCTACACACAGAAGTGCCACAATCCTAGCAAAGCCACAACTCTCACAGACTTGCAGAAGTACTGCTGTGGTTGGCTTGGGTAAGATCTGGGAGAATTCCCTGGATTACCAGGCAGAGTGTCTCATTTTTTTCCCTCACTTTCCCCCAAGCAGAAGGAGTCTCTCTTTGCAGAAGACTGCTTGGAAATGGGGGAGGAGTGGTGAAAGCACTCTTGTGGCCACCACAGCTGGGACTGGACTGGTTCACATCTGAAGCCAGCACATTATTGGGCCTTGCCCAAGGCTTGTGGTGGCTACTGCCTGGCTACCATGAATGATTATTCAAGGATGAAGAGATCTTTAGTCAGCAGATGGGGTATCAGGAATCAGGACCAAGACTGGGTCCTTCCCTTCAGGACAGTGGGTTCCCTTCTGACCCAGGATGAGTATACAAATGCCATCCAGGAGCTAGGGCCTGGATGCAGAGGCTTCATGAATCTGCTTGACATTTTATTTACTGTGGCTGAGCTGGTACTCAACTTTCATGACCAAGTCCTCTGTACTCTTCCCTTCCCTTTCCCCAAGTGGAAAGAGTCTCTCCCCGAGAAGCACTGCTTGGAGTTGGGGGAGGGGTGATACAAGCACTCCCTTGGCCACCACAGCTGGTGTCTCACGTGCACCCCAAGTCCACTGGCTCCAAGCCCAGCATAGCACCAGGACTTGTCCAAGGCCGTTTTGCCGTTCAAATTCATTCAGGACCCCAGGGCACTTTAGTCGGAGGAGCCCTGGGGTCTTGAACAAAGTAGTGGAGCTAGCTGGAACTGAGATTCCTACTGCTGCAATGGAGGATTTCCCTCTGGCTAGGGCTAGTCTGGCTGTTCCCTCCAAGGGCACTGGTCAAGTACTGCCCTGTGTTGTGTTCCGCTGTGACAGGGCAGCATTGAATTCCTACGCAAAGTCCCACAGTCACTTCACTTTCCCTCCCCCATGCATACAGATTCTCTCTCCAAACACTGCTGGGGGGCTGGCGAAGGTGGTGATTGCAATGCAAGAATGTCTTTCTTACCCTCTTCAGTGCCTCTTTCCCTAATATGATGTTAAAACTAGGTACTGTGATTGCTCATTTGATCTTTGGTTCTTATGAAGGTGCTTTCTTGCGTGGATAGTTATTCAATTTGGTGCTCCTGTGGGAGAGGGGCGATCACTGGAGGATTCTATTAAGCCATGTTGCTCTCCCCACTCCCTGCCTTTTAATTTTTTTGACTGTTTCACTTGCCGTGCAGAACCTTTTTAGTTTGGCGTAGTCCTACTTATTTAGTACAGAAATAGAGAAAGCAATGCTAAAATTTATGTGGAATCACAAAACACTCTGAATAGCCAAAGCCAACTTGAGAAAGAAAAACAAAGCTAGAGGCATCACATTTCCTGATTTCCAACTATATTATCAAGGTATGTTAATCAAAACAGTAGAATACTTGCTAAAAACAGACACATAGGCCAATGGAACAGAAATAAGCCTATGCATATACCATTAATTAATCTTTGACAAGGGCACCAAGAATAAATAATGGGAAAAGGATGGTCTCTTCCATAAATGGTAATCAGAAAACTGAATATCCACATGCAAAAAAAAAAAATTGGGCCCTTATCTTACATTATACACAAAAATCAACTCAAAACGGATTAAAGACTTACACGTAAGACCTGAAATTATGAAACTCCCAAAAGAAAATACAGAGAATAAGCTTATTAACATTGGTCTTGGCAATGATTTTTTTTTTGGCTTGACACCAAAAGCATAGGCAAACTATGAAGTTTTGATGGCAGAAAATGTGTCTTGTTTGTTGTTGCATTCCCAGAACCTAGCATTGGGCTTGCACATAGTATGTGTTCAATATTTGTTTTAAAATAAATTAATGGATAATATATTACTCTGTGGTTCACTGACTCAAAGATTGTGCAGGGATTGAGGTACTATGGTATGACTAGGGAGATAAATGTGACTATAGAGGTTATGCAGGTTATTACAGGGGTACCATTTACATAAACTGTACAAAGTTGTTCTGAGAGAGACATTCTTGGAAACTATGAATAAATAGTTTTTTCACATGAATAATTATTTATTCTTAAGAGTTGATTTCAATGACTAAAACCATTGAAATACTTATAAATTCATTTTTTTAAGTTATATTTTAGATAGGACTCAGAGATGTGACCTGTATGATGTATCCTTTCTTCTTCTTTTTAAAAATAATCTAAGATTTTGAAATAGGACTTAGGGGAAATGCTGGAATGGAAGGATGTGTCTAAGTGGTCTAACCGAACTGTAATCATGACACTCCTCTCTGCCTGACCTTTTCACTCCCTACACTCAGTGGTGAGATAAGATTTGTCCTAGTGACTTCAGAAAGATGAGGTTATTAGGGAGGCTGGCTGGGTAATTTACTAGATATCTGATTTTGGGAAAGTCACTTAACCTCTTTGTGTCTTGGTTTTGTCCTCAAGGGCTGTTGTGAAGTTCAAGTGAAATAATAAATATTACAATGCTTAGGGAACTGCAGAAGCTATTTGAATGTACGGTTTTACACTTATTGTTTGTGTGTGTGTGGTGGGGGAGGTGAAGTCAGGGGTTCCTTGCCTCTTCTCCCGTGTTTCTGATCTTGCCTTCAGGTGAAGTTGTGCCTCAGACTGCCTTCCCCCACTTCCAGGATTCCTCTATGTTGATAAGGGAGAAAGATTTTCTGCTCAGATGTGTCCACAATTCTGGTGGGCAGGATTACAGTTCCTTCAAGGCAAAGGACTCAGCTCTTCTTGCTGTTCCATCATGTCCTCGCAGCACCTGATCTAAACAGGTGGGCTCGTGGTCTTTTCTCTCAGTATCTTGATGGACATGTCACGTTGATTCTGCTTTGCAATTTGACCATCTTAGATAGAGTCAGAAGAAGTGGGAAGCCCATCTTACATCTATCAGCCTCAGGCATATGTGTCATCCCAGCATATTAAAGAAACTCTGAATTGGACAATCACTTCCTTGGTTTCTTTTCTCTAATTTTTCTTTATGTGAACAGCTTCCTTAGGATGCTAGAGGGGAGAAGGGCCAAGTGTTAAGTTTAAGAAACACAATCCTGTATCATCCTTAAAGTGTTACGAGAGGGTAAATTCTATGAAAGCTGAAGTTGTGGATTCTAGAATAGAGAAAGACCTGCATTGAATCCTGGCTTAACTACTCTGACTTGGAAATATGTCTTAATGTTTCTGGCCCGAGTTTCTTCATTGTGGAAAGGGAAGCACATTTGTACCTACCACATAGGGTTCTTGTGTAGATCCTCTGTGAAAATGTATTCAAAGTGCTTACTACTAGGCGTGCCTGTAGAAGTGGGTAATAAATGCTAAATAAAGTCATTTTAGTTAATTCCAAGCTTTGAAAATCATCAAAGGTTTGTGTGCAGCCACGCAGCATATTTTGATGATAGTTAAGTTGAATTAAAGACAGTTTTCTCTTAAAGCAGAACATTGAGTTGGACGTGGATTTTTAATGTTATCTTTTCCTTTTCAAAATGCGGACCATCTCTACATGTCTAACTTTATTTCCTACTGCTTTTCACCACACATATTTCTGACCTTTCCCATGAATACGTATACATACTCATGGCTCTAGTGCCTTAATAAAGCATTTTTAATGTTTGGTTTCCTCTTCTTTTTCCCTCCATTTTACTTTCTTAAAATTTTTCAGGAAGCTTTCTGAACTCCATTTCTTCTTGATTCTTTCAGTATCTATTCCTAGTATTGCAAAATTCATTATACATAGTATCTGACATAATCTGACAATTGCAAGCATGTTCAGTTGTTAACTTAGTGAGTATAGGAATCACAATTATTTCTTTTTCATTATCTGAAGGAAGACAGTGCAATGTATTGGAAACAGCCTGGGATTTGGAAATAGAAAGTAGGGATTCTTTTGATGACTTATCATTGATAATAATTAGTGTATAGCCACATTTTCTTTAGATTATATTAGGGCTTCATCTCTCTGTGTGCTGCTATGTGGTGCCTTAGAGATAAACTATCTTTTCTCTGTTAGTTTACAGATTTATAGAAATCTGTTACCCAGCATGTGTTCATTGAAGTCTCTTGTTTATAAAACTTGTTAAAGCTTAACTCTGAAACTGAAGATTTTTCCTTGTTAAAAAGATGTCTTCTTAATGTATAACCAGGTTTTATTTAGTAGAATTACTTCTCATGACATAAGGAAGCTTAGCTAGGAGTTAACAGTGAAAACTAAAGAAAGCAAAGGACAATGAATGACTTTTTTGTAGTATGTGTGCCAAAACATTCAGTACTGTGCTTTGTGGCTGAAGAGTTGTGTTACCAGAGAGAAAGATTGACATTTATGATTTGGTCTAGTGGCAAAACTTATGCACTTAAGTAGATCCATCAGTGAACTAGCCTGAAGGACTTTCCTAAGATGAGAAACTGCTGTAGAACACTCAGAAAAAACAAATGCAAGAAGCAGATCACAATCAACTTTGCACTTACATAGGCCTCTTTGAAAGTATGTGCCATTTCATTTCACATTGATTGACCCTCTACTGCTATGTGAACATGAACAGGGTTCCAGAGGTTCTTTGTGAATTGATGTATCAAAAATGGTGAGTTGTATCTTAAGCATAACTGGCTCAAGATCAAGACCATGCTTGATCCCCCTAAATTTTAACTCTAGTTAGGAGACAATTCTAGAGTTACTACTGTGAGCTTTTGGGAAATTGGAGATCAGACAGGGATGATCTTGCACTGCTGAATCTTCCCTCATTCAAAAGTACCCAGTGCTAGGCACCAATGTTTAAAGATATAATCAAAGATCAGTATGATTTCTGCCTTCATTGAATTAACACTTTAAGGCTATGTTGGTATACCTAGGAGGGCTTTCAGGGTCAGGAAAAGTTACTGGAGGAAATGGCATTTAAAATGAGGTGCAAAGGGCAAAGTGAGAATTAGCTAAGTTTGTGGGTGGAGGATCTTGGCTAGCATATACACCACTCAGAGAAGAGAGAAAGTTAAAGTGTTGGGGGATTTTCAAGTCATTTGTTATCACTGGGGTTGAGTGAGATAAAGGGGTGTGCCTAGATGAGTATCTAGTATTAGCAGGGGTTAGGTCATAGAGGATCTTGCTAGCAATTATGAGACTGGGCTTTCTAATAAGGGTAATGGAGAGTCACTGGGGAGTTTTAAATAAGGGTAGTGGTAGGAGAAAATGTTTTCTTTAGAACCACCTTTCCGATTACGATGTGAAGAATGGGTAAAGAATACAAGATAAGAGGGACTGAGACCATTTAGGAAGTTATTGCTATAAAGCTGGCAAGAAATGGAGATGGCTCCATAAACACAGTGGTATTAGGGATAGAGAAAAGTAGATGGATTCTAGATATGTTTTAGAGATTTAATGCATACAAAGCCCTATGACCTATTGAATGTAAGGAATGAGAAAGAGGTAAGACATCGAAGGTTATGCAATTGAATGATGAGGGTGTCATTAATTAAAGTAAGAGGAAATGAGCATGTTTTGCAGGAAATAAAATAAATTCAGTTTTAACATGGTCTATCCAAGCAACCTGAAACCTAGGAGATAACCACACAGAAGCCAAGGGAAGAAAGCCTTTTTAAAGGGAGGGAATAAGCAATAGTATAAATGCTACTGAGAAGTTAAGTAAAAAAGAAATAGAAGTCTACCAGAGAGATCAAGTTTTCAGTTAGAAAAAAAGGTGGAATTATCAAACAGGTTAAAGATGTGAGAAGGTGAGATCTCCATGGAAAAGGATTTCCGGTGTGGAGGTTTGTGGGGTGGGGGTAAGCAGTAAAAAGTGGGTCTGTGAGAAGTCAAGCAGCAACATTCTTATTTACAGAGTGCTTATTATGCACATTGGAAAGTGCTTGAAAGGTATTACAGCTTTGATATTTACATTATCCTATGAAATTGGTGCTCTTATAGGCTCCCCTTTTCAGGTGAGAAAACAGGTTCTGAGAGATTAAGTCAATTTACCTAAAATCATATGTGGCAGATTTGAACACAGATCTATATGGCTCAGACTCCTGCTTGTAACCACTGGTGATGCTGATATGAAGAGCACAATGAAAAGCACAATACAGAAAGTGTAAACCCATCAGGCATGGTGGCTCATGCCTGTAATCCTAGTACTTTGGGAGGCCGAGGAGGATGGATCACGAGGTCAGGAGATTGAGACCATCCTGGCTAACATGGTGAAACCCCGTCTCTACTAAAATACAAAAATTAGCTGGGCGTGGTGGTGGGCACCTGTAGTCACAGCTACTCAGGAGGCTGAGGCAGGAGAATGGCATAAACCGGGGAGGCAGAGCTTGCGGTGAGCTGAGATCGCACCACTGCACTCCAGCCTGGGCGACAGAGTGAAACTGTCTCAAAAAAAAAAAGAAAGTGTAAACCAAAAATAAAATGCTAAGACCCCCAACCATCTGAATGGACCCCTCCTCTCGACCAAGGGCATTCCAAAGTTAACCTAAAAAAGTAGTTTAGGCTGCGATGGGAAGGGGGAGCCTGAAATGCCTCATTATACCCTCAGTCCTTTTGGAATTACTGATAGAACAGATTCTTTAAGTCAGATAAGAAACATTTACAGGCTATTCTCTCTGAAGTCTGTTACCTGGAGCTTCATCTGCATTATAAAACCTTGGTCTCCACAATCCATTATTGTAACCCAGACATTCTTTGATAATGACTCTTTCAATCAATTTCCAATCAGAAAATCTTTAAATCTAGAAATCACCATTAAAGAACTTATCCATGTAACCAAACACCACCTGTTCTCCAGAAAGTATTGAAATAATAATAATAATAAAGAAAATCTTTAAATCTACCTATGACCTGCATGCCCCCACTTCAAGTTGTCCCGTCTTTCTGGACCAAACCAATGCACATCTTACATGTGTTGATTGACATCTCATGTCGCCCTAAAATGTATAAAATCAAACTGTACCCTAATCCCTTTGGGCACATGTCATCAGGACCTCTTGAGGTTGTGTCACAGGCACATCCTTAACCTTGGCAAAATAAGCCTTCTAAATTGATTGAGACTTGGCTTAGATGTTTTTTTGTTTACAATTGGCAATGATGAAGGGATTCTGAATTGAGGTGCCTCTGACCTTGACAAATCTCCTCTTGGTGCTTGGAACCAGCTTGAGCAATCTTTATTGCTCAAACCAATAGGACAATTTGCTGAGGCCTGGGAGCTCCCCCATCCAGAGAATCCCTGATGTCCCCCAATTTGGTTGTGATCTAAGGTTTATTTTGCTGTACAACTCCTTTTCTGGAGTTTTACTCTAACAAAGGACCCTAAAAGTTTGTGTCTTTGAGAATTGGATCTTGTGAATTATATCATTGGAATCCCTTGTGAGTTGCCTTCTGATTGGGTTCAACCAATGGGAGATTGGTGGGCAGGAGAGAGATGTCTCCTGTGTAGCAGTGTCCCACATCTGGTAATAGCTGCATCCCTCCGGGTAGCCTGTTCTCCTTCAGGTTGCTTGTCTTCACAGAGCTCTGGTAGAAGCTTTTCCTTCATTTGTCCCTTTAGCCATAGGGGGTAGTAATCCTTCCAGCTGTTGCTGGTCTTTTGGTTTTTCACTTGCACCTCTCTAAGTAGAGGCTTCATTCAAGTCTCCCCATTTGAACCATCTGGGAATGAATTGTGTCTCCTGCTGTGCTCCTGAGTAATAGAGACAGTAGCCAAGGGGTAATAGGGACATGAGGACTGAAAGATTTAACTGACAGCAAAGCCTATACACTACATCACCATAAATAATCATGATGAGAGTTATAACACTCACAATTGTTGGCACTTCAGATTTATAAAGTGCTTTCACATAAGTTATATCATTTGGGTCAAGAAATAACCCCAAATAGTAGATTCCATTATTTACATTTTAGACAAGCAGACTGAGTCTCAGAAAAGCTAATATGTCCAAGGTCTCCCAGGTGACAGGGCTGAGCTTCCAAATTCAGGCCTCCTGAGATCAAAACCAGAATTCTTTCTACCACTCATCTGCTTCCCATTAGTTACTGAGATGACAGAATGCCTTTTCTGTAAAGCCTCCTGCAGTGGGCAGGCAAAGAACGTCTAAATCATGTCAGGAATCCCCAAGGACTCAATGCGTTTCATATCATAGCTAGATTCACATGAAACAAAACTTCCCCCAACCTCTTGGGATTTGTCTCCCTGTGTGTAGATTGAAGAAGACCAGTAAAGCATGCCAACTTCGTGAACAATATCAGCATAAAATGGGACCTGATAGTAGGTCTCCAGTGGCTGAAAATAACTGAACAAAGTACAAAGAAACTCTTACAATCCTCGGAGATTATGTTGATGATTTCATTGAGCTTATTCTTGGATCTGCAGCCTTTTTCCAATGTATTGGGCATTTCCTGTATGGACTTTGTTGATTTCTTAAGATCAATACTAGCTGACTATAGATTGAGATTCAATAGCATCTTTTGAAGGCCTACTCCGTGCCAGATATTTTCACAGGCATCATCTCATTTTAGTCTTTGTTCAAGGCCATGGGGCTGGTGAGTGAGAGGGTAGAATAAAATCCAGGTGTCCTGGTTCCTTTTGCAAATCAAGTCTCTTGATTTTGCTATGCCAGGTTAGGAAGCAGTTGCCACACTTTCTTCCCCTTTCTTTTAATTTCCTTAGATATGCCTGGTGAAAACCTAAAGAGGAATCAAGTTCATGGAGTTGAATCTGCTGATTCAGTTCAGGGGTTTGTGGAAAGGGCTGTGCTTAATGATTAGGGACAAGGGCTGATGGCATGGACATTTATGTTATCCAAAACCCAAGTCTTCCTCTTGTCTCTCCTTACATGCTTAGAGGGAAAGGAGAAGACCTTTCTCCTTTGTTGGATTATGAGGCAATAGGCCTTCTAACCTCCCCAATAAAAGTAGCCCTGCAGAGGTTGCAGTGCTCCAGCCTGAGCCAAATGTCTCTCTAGGAGTGACCCTGACAATGGTGATCAACATAGATTGACCATTGTTCTTTTCATTATTGTTGCCTAAATGATCAGAATAGCACACCAGCCTCAGGGTTTATATCCCCCTTGATAAATAATGGTTCATCCAGACCATTGTTTTTGCTGGGAGCCTTCAGTCTCCCAGTGTGACAATAATTGCCTGAATGGAGATGCAGAGAAGGGAACTATTGAATAAACTCCTAGACATTTAGCATGGGTTTGAAGCCTTCCCAGTTTGATGCAAACTTACTCTTTTGCCATAAAACATGCTGCTGATTCTCTTTCTTTTACCCTGAGCTACAGTTGTACCAAATTGCTCAAGCTCTTTAAACACACCATGCCTCCATGCCTCTGTGGGTTATTCCTATAGTGAACTTCCATGCTTCTTCATGTGAGGAATGTCTGCGATTATTTTAGGACCCAATTCAAAAACCATCTTCTCTCTGAAGCCTTCCCTGATCCCCTCCCTTCATCACTACTTCTCTAAAACTGATGACTGTTTTTTCCTGTGCTCTGTAAGAAATGACTTTTTACCTTTAGTGCAGGGGTTATCACTTTGTAGAACAACCCATGTGCATTCCTGAAATCCTGATTAATTCTCCTCAAGGGCAGTGGCTGTTCCACAATGGACACTCAATGGAAGTTACTATCTGAGTAAGAAATTGAATTCTCCTATGAGTTGAGGGTTCTGTGATTTGATCATTCTCTGATCCTCACAAAGCATTCCAGTCTGTGGTTACACAACGGCAATTTATATCTTTGCTCTCAGACAGAACCAAGCTTTGGCTGGATGCCTAACAATATAGTGGACATAAATTAACAGGGAGCAATTTACAGTCTGTCATGTCCTATTGCTTAATGAATTTGTCAAAAATCATATTACTCTGAAAATTATGGCAACCAGGGTCCATGGGGCTTATGTCTTTAAGAGGGCGATTGTTTCAGCATCACCCAAGCAAAGCTGCTGCACTGCTTTCCTCTTTTTAATGCAGACACTAGAATCTCTGAGCACTTCTGTTTATTTATCAAATCTCTGTTGACCTTCACTTCGCATTAGGACTACCAGGGATGATTTTGGCCAGTTTGCAAATCCCCAACAACAGTCCACCTGCTGTCAGAGCCAAATAGGATTTAGGAGTCTATCTTAAACTCCTGATTCTATGCTAATATGATGTCATACATTTCTGGCTTATGCTCACCCCAGACTTTATTACTCGCTTTTCAAACAAAGCCAAAGCCTTGTCCTCTGCTATAAAGGCACCAAGGAGAACCCCCTTTTTAGCTCTGTCCCAATTTTTACTGCACCTTTTTTTCTCTCATTCTCTTCTTCTTCTGCATCCATTTGCTCCCTAAACTTCTCCCAACCTTGTTCTCCTCTGTTTCTCAGGATATGAGTCTTCTTTGAGTGATGCTATTTTACAGGATAAAGAGTCAAGACTTGACTTTCTCTAGGCATTATTTTTTTCATTTGTAAATGGGATCAATAACAGCTAACTCACTGACCTAGTGTGAAGATTAGCAAGCTTGGCATTTATTCATTTCTTCATTTATTCATTCAGCCATCCACCCATCCATTCATTGATCCATCCATCCATTCATGCAAAACTCATTCATTCATTTTGTAAATATTGTTGGAGTGCCTAAAATGGGTCAGGCTCAATGCTTGGCATTTAGGATATGCAGGTGAACTCTACATCCTGCTGTCAACGACCTTGGAGTACATTAGGAGGATGAACAGATGAAAAGGTAACTAAGATTGAATGTGGGAAGTTTAGTGATTGAGACATGCTCAGGCCAGAAGATGGGTTCACAGCCATCTTCACAGGGCTCCTAGGAGTGTGTGGAGGGATGCCAGGTATCTGTTCTGCCAGGGCTGCATTCTCTGTTCATACTCTTTGGGTTTGAGGCCACAGCTGACACTCAAAAATGATGATGAAACTGTTGGTTGGAGTGGCAGCACTGGCAATAGTAGTTCTGGTTATTATTATCTCTGTCAATTTCTCTCTCTTCTTTCTCTCTGCTTCTCCTTTATTTTCTTTCTGCACATCTCTGTCTGTTTTTCACTTTAGATCCCTTTATTTCTTCTTTTATACCATATCTTATCATTCTTTTGGGGACATGTAACTATGGATTAACTGATGGCTGATTAAAACACAACTGCATCTTTTTATTGCATGCTTTTCCTAATGAAAAACTGCCCTGATGACACCTAAACATATGGAAGAGCCATGGCTGGGTTGCAAACCAGTGGGAGCTGCCCCATGGAGGTAGCAGATGCCCCTGGGCAGCTCCCTGGCCCATCCTGTGATCTGTCTGGTTGGCCAAATGGAAGCAGGCCAGCCACCTAACAGTTAACTGTGATTCTTTTTTTCTCCCATTTCATTTCAATCTCTTTGTTCCATGCAACCAAAGAGCTAATGGCTGGCGAATTTATTATGACCCATTGTTTGGCTTGTGGAATAAACTGATTCTTCCCCTTTCTATGTTCTGACTCCCCCCTTTGTCTGCAATTTTATTTTACGGCTCTTTTTGTACACATCCAACACATGCTGAGGTTATTGAAAAGCACAAATTACACAGAATTCAATTTGCATATCTATTGAGGGTCCAATCCCAGAGTCCTCAGTCAGGCAAAATGCCCACTGACTCTTACCTCCTTTACTCTGCTCCTCCTTGGCACCAAAACCGGCAGGCTGCCCCTCCGCCACTCCTAGTGGACCTGGCAAATGGCCTTTGCGAGAGGTTTAAGCAGAGTCACACCATGGAGGACAGCTCGCCAGGAGTTAGCAAAGTTCCCACAAAGTCACTCAGAGTGTCTGAGTAGGCAAGGTTCAGAAAAAGGCCAGATAGCAGCAACACAATGCCAATTTAGCACTGGTGTGACTGAGAATGTACAGGCATTGGAATCAGACAGGGTTATGTGTGAATCCTTGCTCTGCCAATTGCTTCCTCTAAAAAAAAAAAATTAAACCTTTTATTTTGAGATGGTTGTTGGTTCACAAGCAGTTGTAAGAAATAATACAGAGGGATCTCAAGAAACCTTCACTCAGTTTCTCTCATCATTTACTTGTTGACCATGGGCTAGTTACTTAATCTAGCCAAATCTCAGTTTCTTCATCTGTAAAATGAGAGTACTAAGAGTTCATAACATATAAGACTGTTTTGAAGATCGTCTGAAATAACATCTATGTACCAACCTATGAGCACAGTAGTTGTGCCCACTCTGCCCTCAGTAAGCAGATATACTCCTCAGAACTGGTTAAAAGATGATGGTTGATACGGTTTGGTTGTGTTCCTACCCAAATCTCATCTTGAATTATAGTTTCTAGTAGACCTCACAAATGGCCCTCATGAGTGGTTAAAGCAGAGTCACACCATAATCCCCATGTGTAGTGGGAGGGGTCAAGTGGGAAGTAATTTAATCATGCAGGCGGTTACCCTCATGGTGTTCTCCTGATAGTGAGTGAGTCCTCATGAGACCTGATAGTTTTATAAGGGGATTTCCTGCCTTTGCTGTGCACTTCTCTCTCGTGCCACCATGTGAGAGAGGTTGTGTTTGTTTCCCCTTCCGCCATGATTGTAAGTTTCCTGAGGCCTCCCCAGCCATGCTGAATTGAGTCAATTAAACCTCTTTCTTTTGTAAATTACCCAGTCTTGGGTATGTCTTTATTGGCAGCGTGAGAACAGAGGAATACAATGGTCAAATAATTCTGATGAAGAAATATTAACCTGAAGAGAGTCTAATAGTATATTCAGTTTTGATCGAAATCTTATCATGAAAAATAGAATATTTTTAAGATTTTGATATAAAAGTCATGCTTTCTGTAGAAAATTTTAAAAATAGAGAAATTACTGGCACACTTTAGAGATATTGTGGGCTTGATTCCAGACCACCACAATAAAGCAATTATCTCAATAAAATGAGTCACATGAATTTTTTAGTGCTCAGTGGACACGAAAGTTATGTTAACACTACACTGTAGTCTATTAAGCATGCAATGGCATTATGGCTAAAAAATACATACCTTAATTTAAAAATATTTTACTGGTAACAAATTCTAACAATCACCTGAGCCTTCAATGAGTCATCTGAGCCTTCAGTGAGTCATGCTGGTGGAGGGTCTTGCCTTGATGTTGATGGCTGCTGACTGATCAGGGTTTGAGGTGGCTGTGGCAATTTCTTAAAATAAGACAATAATGAAGTTTGCTGCATTGATTGACTCTTCCTTTCACAAAAGATGTTTCAATGCTTTTTGATAGCATCTTTCCCACAGTAGAACAGCTTTCAGAATTGGAGTCAGTCCTCTCAAACCCTGACACTGCTTTATCAACTAAGTTCATATAATGTTCTAAAATTCAGGGGTGTCCAATCTTTTGGCTTCCTTGGGCCACATTGGAACAAGAGGAATTGTCTTGGATCACACATAAAGTACACTAACACTAACAATAGCTGATGAGCTAAAAAAAATTTAGGAAAAGAACCTCATAATGTTTTAACAAAGTTTATGAATTTGTGTTGGGCCACATTCAAAACCATCCTTGGCTGCATGAGGATCATGTGCTGAAGGTTGGACAAGCTTGTTCTAAATCCTCCATTGTCACTTTAACAATGTTTACAGCATCTTCATTAGGAGTAGATTCCATCCCAAGAAACCACTTCCTTCGCTCATTCATGAGAAACAACTCCTCATCCATTGAAGTTTTATCATGAGATTGCAGCAATTCAGTGCCATCTTTAGGCTCCACTTCTAATTCCAGTTCTGTTGCTATTTACACCACATCCGCAGTTACTTCCTTCACTGATGTCTTGAACCCCTCAAAGTCATCCATGAAAGTTGGAATCAACTTCTTCTAAACACCTATTAGTGTTGATATTTTGAACTCCTCTCATGAATCATGAATGTTCTTAATGACATCTAAAATGGTAAATCCTTTCCAGAAGGTTTTAAATTTACTTTGCCCAGATCCATCAAAGGTATCACTATCTGTGACAGTAATAGCCTTACAAAATGTATTTCTTAAATAGTAAGACTTGAAAGTTAAAATTACTCCTTGACCCATGGGCTGCAGAATGGATATTGTGTCAGCAAGCATGAAAACAACATTCGTCTCCTTGTACATATCTCCCGGAGCTCTTGGGTGACTAGGTGCATTGTCAATGAACAATAATATTTTGAAAGTAATCTTTTTTTCTGAGCAGTAGATCTCAACAGCGGGCTTAAAATATTCAGTAAACCATGCTGTAAACAGATGTGCTCTCATCTAGGCTTTGCTGTTTTATTTCCAGAGCATAGGCAGAACAGATTTAACATAATTCTTAAAGGCCCTAGGATCTTTGAAATGGTAAATGAGCATTGGCTACTTAAAGTCACCTGCTACATTAGTCCCTAACAAGAGAGATAGCCTGCCCTTTGAAGCTGTGAAGCCAGGCATTGACTTCTCTTCTCTAGCTAGTAAAGTCTTAGATGGCATCATTTTCCAGTATTAGGCTGTTTTGTCTACATTGAAAATCTGCAGGCACCTTCATCAATGATCTTAGCTAGATCTTCTGGATAACATACTGCAGCTTCCCCATCAGCAGTTGCCATTCACCTTGCATTTTTATGTTATAGAAATGCCTTCTATCCTTAAACCTTATGAACCAACTGCTAACTTTAAACTTCTCTTCAGCAGTTTCCTCATCTCTCTCAGATTTCACAAATTGAAGAAAAAGCCTTGCTCTAGATTAATTAGCCTTTGCTTTAAGGGAATGTTGTGGCTGATTTGATCTATCCAAACCATTAACACTTTCTCCAGGCCAATCATGTTAGCTTGTGCAAAACCCAGCCCTTTGGAAGGCCAAGGCAGGAGGGTCACTTGAGCCCAGGAAGTTGAGACAAGCCAGGGCAACATAGTGAGACCCCATTTCTACAAAAAGATTAAAAAATTAGTTGATTAGCTTGGTGTGGTGGTACCCACCTAGAATCCTAGCTACTCAGGAGGCTGAGGCAGGAAGATCACATGAGCCCAGGAGTTTGAGGCTGCAGTGAGCTTTGATTGCACCACTGCACTCCAGCATGGATAACAGAGTGAGACTCTGTCTTAAAATAAAACAAAGAAAAACACAAAACAAAACGAAACAAAAACAAACTTTCTCCTTCTCAGCAATAAGCTGTTTCATTTTCTTACTACTTATGTATTCACTGGAGCAGCCCTTTTAATTTCCTTGAAGACTATTTTCTTTTCATTCATAACTGGAGTAACTGTTTGGTACAAGATGCCTAGCTTTAGGCTTGATTTAGCTTTTGACATGCCTTCCTCACTAAGTTTAATCACTTCTAGCTTTTGATTAAATGTGAGAGATGGGTGACTCTTGCTTTCACTTGAACACTTAGAGGCCATTGTGTGGTTATTAATTGACCTAATTTCAACATTCTTGTGTCTCAAGGAATAGGGAGGCCAGAGGAAGAGGGAGAGAGATGGGGGATGGCCAGTTGGTAGAGCAGTCAGAACACACACAACATTGATTGATAAAGTTTCCCATCTTTGATCATGGTTTGTGGTGCCCCAAAACAATTATGATAGTAAGATCAAATATCCCTGATTGCAGATCAGCATAACAGATATAATAATCATGAAGAAGTTTAAAATATTGCAGGAATTACCAAAATGTGACACAAAGACCCAAAGTGATCACATGTTGTTGGAAAAATGGTGCCCACGGACTTGCTTGTTTCAGGGTTGCCACAGACCTTCAGTTTGTCAAAAACGTGTATCTACAAGGCATACTAAAGCGAAGCACAGTAAAATGAGGTGTGACTATGAATTAAAATAACTTGTAACTCCAACACCCAGTTAATTGCTAATAATTTGTTGTATGTCTCTCATAATTATATTTTTAAACAACAAAAATGTGATTATGCCTTTTATCCTCTTCTGTAACTATTAAAAAATGTAGCAGTTTATTTTAGGGCTGCACGATGGTGTGCAGTAAGGAGTACCACATTTTGTTTTTTATATTTTGTAGTTTCCAATACTTTGCTGCTGGGCAATCAGTTTCTTTCCTTTCTTCACCTTCTCCTCACTGTCCTCCAACTCCTCCTCCAACTTATTTTCCTTCTCTTCCTGTTTTTACTTATAAAGAGATATGTACTAAATAAACAGTCTTGTAAACAAATCTTTGCACTCATCCATGATTATTTGCCCAGAACCAATTACTAGGAGTGAATATGTATGGCTTAAAGGGTCTGTGAATTTTCTGGTTTTTGATACATAGTAAACCACATTATTACCAATTACTTAGACTGGTGAGTCTTTAATCAGAGTGCATATCAGAATCATCTGGGGAGCTTTTTAAGCCTATGCTTCTCCACTCTTGATCTCTGAAGACTTTTATTTCAAGGATCTGGCAAAAGCCCTCAGTACCTGTGCTTTTAAGATGTTCCTCAGAGGAATCCCATATACTGATATGGTTGAGAACCACTGGCTGAGAAGACAGAGGTAAAATGCCAACAAAATTTTCAAATGACATGAGGCTGGAAAGAAGAATTAATTAATTGGGTGATAGTATCAAGTTCCCCCAAAATGTCCTTATGCTGGGATAATGGAGGTATGAGCCAGGGGGACTTAATATATATTGAGCATCTTCTATAAGACAGACAATGTGTTGCCTCAGAATATACATGGTCTTAATGGTAACTACAACCCAGGCAGGAATGTGGTCTATTTTACAGGTGATGAAATAAAAATTCAGGGAGCTAACTTATTTGCCTAAGGCCAGGTTTTGAACACAAGTCTTCCTATCTCCAAAGTCCATTTTGTTTTTTCACCACATACTACTAATTTTTACTGGTGCATTTAAGAGGGATCAATACAATGTTATGAATTTGAACCCTCAAATCCGAGTACACAAAGAACACCACTAGGCTATGTACTTTATCTAAAGCATCTGGGAGAAAGATTCAAATCAGTGTTCACAAAGTGCACTACAAACATCACCAACAGTAAAATTACTTGCAAGGGGGAGAGAATGTTATGAAATGCAGATCCTTGAGTCTCACCATAGATCTACTGAATTAGGATCCAGATTTTTTTTTCTTTGTCTAGTTCACCATTGATGGTCACCTGGGTTGATTCTATGTTTGTGCTATTGTAAATAGTGCTTCAGTGAACGTATGCATGCATGTGTCCTTTGGTAGAACAATTCATTTATTTATTTTTTTTGATATATACCTAGTAATGGGATTGTTGGGTCAAATGGTAGTTCAATTCTTAGGTTTTTTTTTTCTTCAACTTTTATTTTAAGTTCCATGATACATGTGCAGGATGTGCAGGTTTGTTACATAGGTAAACATGCGCCATGGTAGTTTGCTGCACAGATCAACCTGTCACCTAGGTATTAAGCCCAGCATCCATTAGCTATTCCTTCTGATGCTCTCCATCCCCTTGCACCCCTCCAACAGGCCCCAGTATGTGTTGCTCCCCCTTGTGTCTATATATTCTCATGATTCAGCTGCCACTTATAAGTGAGAATGTGGGGTGTTTGTTTTTCTATTCCTGCCTTAGTTTGCTGAAGATAACAGCTTCCAGCTCCATCCATGTCCCTGCAAAGGACATAATCTCATTCCTTTTTATGGCTGAATAGTATTCCATGGTGTATATATACTACATTTTCTTTATCCAGTTTATCACTGATGGGCATTTGGGTTGATTCCATGTCTTTGCTATTGTGAATAGTGCTGCAATGAACATATGCATGCATGTATCTTTATAATAGAATGATATATATTCCTTTGGGTATATACCCAGTAATGGGATTGCTGGGTCAAATTGTATTTCTGCCTCTAAGTTTTTGAAGAATTGCCACACTGTTTTCCACAGTGATTGAACTAATTTACACTCCCACCAACAGTGTAAAAGTGTTCCCAGTTCTCTGCAACCTTGCCAGCATCTTGACTGTTTCTTGACTTTTCAGTAATTGCCATTCTGACTGGCATGAGATGGTATTTCATTGTGGTTTTGAATTGCATTTCTCTAATGGTCAGTGATGTTGAGCTTTTTTTTTTTTTTTCATGTTTGTTAGCTGCATGAAGGCCTTCTTTTGAGAAGTGTCTGTTCATGTCCTTTGCCCACTTTTTAGTGGGATTTGTTTCTTTTTCTTGTAAATTTGTTTAAGTTCCTTGTAGACTCTGGGTATTAGACCTTTGTGAGGTGGGTAGATTACAAACGTTTTCTCCCACTCTGTAGGTTGTCTGTTCACTCTGTTGGTAGTTTCTTTTGGTGCACAGATGCTCTTTAGTTTAATTAGATCCCATTTGTTAATTTTTGCTTTTGTTGCTATTGCTTTCAGCGTTTTTGTCATGAAATCTTTGCCCTTGCCTGTGTCCTGAATGGTATTGCCTAGATTTTCTTCTAGGGCTTTTATAGTTTTGGGTTTTACATTTAAGTCTGTAATTCATCTTGAGTTAATTTTTGTATATCGTGTAAGAAAGGGGTCCTGTTTCAATTTTCTGCATATGAATAACCATTTCTCCCAGCACTATTTATTAAATAGGGAATCATTTCCCCATTGCTTGTTTTCATCAGGTTTGTTGAAGATCAGATGGTTGCAGGTGTGTGGTCTTATTTCTGAGTTCTCTATTCTGTTCAATTGGTGTATGTGTCTGTTTTTGTGACAGTACCATACTGTTTTAGTTACTGTAGTCTTGTAGTATAGTTTGAAGTCAGGTAGTGTGATGCTTCCAGCTTTGTTCTTTTTGCTTAGGATTATCTTGGCTATGTGAGCTCTTTTTTGATTCCATATGAATTTTAAAATAGGTTCTTCTAATTCTGTGAAGAATGTCAATGGTAGTTTAATGGGAATAGCATTGAACCTATAAATTACTTTGGGTGGTATGGCCATTTTCATGATATTGATTCTTCCTATCCATGAGCATAGAATGTTTTTCCATTTGTATGTGTCCACTCTGATTTCTTGGAACAGTGGTTTGTAGTTCTCCTTGAAGAGGTCCTTCACTTCCCTTGTTAGCTGTATTCCTACGTATTTTATTCTCTTTGTAACAATTGTGGATGGGAGTTCATTCATGATTTGGCTCTCTGTTGTTAGTGTACAGAAATGCTAGCAATTTTTGCACATTGATTTTGTATCCTGAGAATTTCCTGAAGTTGCTTATCAGCTTAAGAAGCTTTTGGCCTGAGACGATGGGGTTTTCTAGATACAGGGTCATGTCATCTGCAAACAAAGATTATTTAACTTCCTCTCTTCCTATTTGAATATGCTTTATTTCTTTCTCTTGCCTGATTGACCTGGTCAGAACTGCTATTCTGTTCCTATTCAACTGTGCTGAATAGGAGTGGGAGAGAGGGCATCCTTGTCTTGTGCTGGTTTTTAAGGGGAATGCTTCCAGCTTTTGTCCATTCAGTATGATATTGGACGTGTGGTTGTCATACATAGCTCTTATTATTTTGAGGTATGTTCCTTCACTACCTGTTTACTGCGATTTTTAACATGAACGGATGTTCAATTATATTGAAGGTCTTTTCTGTGTATATTGAGATAATCACGTGGTTTTTGTTTTTAGTTCTGTTTACATGATGAATTATATTTATTGATTTGTGAATGTTGAACCAACCTTGCATCTCAGGGATGAAGCCAACTTGATCGTGATGGATAAGCTTTTTGGTGTGCTGCTGGATTTGTTTTTCCAGTAAGAAATCCAGATTTCTAACAAACACCAGGCACTTCTCATGCACACCACAGTTTGAGAATTAGTGGTTAAGGGTTTTAATTAAACGTGAGTTTAATGTAAATCAACAGAGTAAAAAGTCTGAAAAGACAAAAAAATGTGAACTGGAGTTACACTGATAAAGGGGCAAACACACCCACACTGTGGAAGTCACATTTGAGCACTCATATTTAAGGATATTTGAAATTTGCAGTGCACAGACAGAAGAGTAACCAACATGGTGGGCATACTTGATGCAGTTGAAGGAACTAAGGCTACTCAGCCTGGAATAGAGAAGACTTTAAGGAGATAAAACAGGTGCTGAGATTGGGGTGTCAGGGCTTCCTTCTTATTTTCCCTTGCAGACCCTGGCAATACAGCTGGAAACTCTAGGACTGGGGAGCTCATATTCTATTTAGCAGAGTAGTAGAGAATTTCATCTTTGAGACATCTATGGAAGTCTTTCTCTAGCAGGAGGATGGGCTGTCCCTAGAATATGGGACCCATGGCAATTCCCCTCTGTTGTCCACTGGAAACTGAAGATTTGAACCACCAGGCTGTCCTCATTCTGTGCTTTTCTTAATTAAATAATTTTTTGATACCAGAGAGTGGCTCCTTATATGGACATTTTCTGGGGGCTACTGCCATATTTACCAGCTTCTTTCTCATTTGTGGCAATAAGGGGTAAGAGACAAGACCTGGGCTTCAGTGATAGGGGAGCTAGCTTTTGTCCCAGGTTTGCAATTAATGAGACAGTTAAGGCAAGATCCCCAATCTCTATAAAGTGTTTGTTCATCTGAAAGGCAATGATCATTTTGGCTGTTCTTCTTTATCATGGTATTGCTGAGAGGGCCAAATGAACAAAAGGCAATGAAAATGATACAGCCAGAGCTGTATGATCCAGCAATCCCACTGCTGGGTATATACCCCGCCAAAAAGGAAATCAGTATATTGAAGAGTGTATTAGTCTGTTCTCATGCTGCTAATAAAGACATACCTGAGATTGGGTAACTTAGAAAGGAAAGAGGTTTAATTGACTCACAATTCCACATGGCTGGGGAGGCCTCATAATCATGACGGAAGGCAAATGAGGAGCAAAGTCATGTTTTACATGGTGGCAGGCAAGAGAGCTTGTGTAGGAGAACTTCCCTTCATAAAACCATCAGATCTTGTGAAACTTATTCACTATCACAAGAACAGCATGGGAAAGACCTGCCCCATGATTTAATTACCCTCCACCAGGTCCCATCCATGACACATAGGAATTGTGGGAGCTACAATTCAAGAAGAGATTTGGGTAGGGACACAGTCAAAGCATATCATTCTGTCCCTGGCCCCTTCCAAATCTCATGTCCTCACATTTCAAACCCAAACATGCCTTCCCAATAGTTCCCCAAAGTCTTAACTCATTTCAGCATTAACTCAAAAGTCCACAGTCCAAAGTCTCATCTGAGACAAGGCAAGTCCCTTCCACCTATGAGCCTGTAAAATAAAAAACAAGTTAGTTACTTCCTAGATACAATGGGGGCATGGGCATTTGATAAATGCACCCCTTCCAAATGAGATAAATTGGCCAAAAGGAAGGGGCTCAAGGCTCCATGCAAGTCCAAAATCCAACAGGGCAGTCAAATCTTAAAGTTCCAAAATTATCTTCTTTGACTCCATGTCTCACATCCAGGTCACACTGATGTAAGAGGTGGGTTCCCATGGTCTTGAGCAGCTCTGCCTTTGTGGCTTTGCAGGGTACAGCCCCCCTCCCAGCTTCCTTCATGGGCTGGTGTTGAGTGTCTGTGGCTTTTCCAGGGGCACAGTGCAACCTGTCGGTGGATCTACCATTCTGGGATCTGGAGGACAGTGGCCCTCTTCTCACAGCTCCACCAGGCAGTGCCCCAATGGGGACTCTGTGCAGGGGCTACCCCACATTCCCCTTCCACAGTGCCCTAGCAGAGGTTCTCCATGAGGGCTCCTCCTCTGCAGCACACCTCTTCCTGAATATCCAGGCATTTCCATACATCCTCTGAAATCTAGGTGGAGGTTTCCAAACCTTAATTCTTGACTTCTGCGCACCTGCAGGCACAACACCATGTGGAAGCTGCCAAGGCTTGGGGCTTGCACTCTCTGAAACCACAGCCTGAGCTTGGCCCCTTTTAGCCATGGCTAGAGTGGCTGGGATGCAGGGCACCAGGTCCCTAGGCTGCACACAGCAGGGGGGCCTGGACCCGGCCCAGGAAACCATTTTTCCCTTCTAGTTCTCCTGACCTGTGATGGCAGGGGCTTCCATGAAGGTCTCTGACATGCCCTGGAGACATTTTCCCCATTGTCTGGCTCCTCATTACTTATGCAAATTTATGCAGCAAGCTTGAATGTCTCCTCAGAAAAATGGGGTTTTTATTTCTATTGCATCATCAGGCTGCAAATTTCCAAACTTTTATGCTCTGCTTCCTCTTGAACATTTTGCAGGTTAGAAATTTCTTCAGCCAGGTACCCTAAATCATATCTCTCAAGTTCAAAGTTCCATAGACCTTTAGGGCAGAGGCACAATGATGCCAATCTCTTTGCATAGCAAGAGTGACCTTTACTCCAGTTCTCAACAAGTTCCTCATCTCCATCTGAGACCACCTCAGCCTGGACTTCATTGTTCATATCACTATCAGCATTTTGGTCAAAGCTATTCAGCGAGTCTCTGGGAAGTTCCAAACTTTCCCACATCTTCCTGTCTTTTGAGCCCTCCAAACTGTTCCAATCTCTGCCTGTTACCCAGCTCCAAAGTAGCTTCCACATTTTCAGGTATCTTTACAGCAATGCCCCACTATCCAGTACCAATTTACTGTATTAGTCTGTCCTAAGGTTGCTAATAAAGACATACCCAAAACTGTGTAATTTATAAAGGAAAGAGGTTTAATTGACTTACAGTTCCACATGTCTGGGAGGCCTCACAATTATGGCTGAAGGCAGATGAGGAGCCAAGTCACATCTTACATGGCAGCAGGCAGGAGAGCTTGTGTAGTAGAACTCTCCTTTATAAAACTATCAGATCTTGCTCTCACTATCATGAGAACAGCATGGGAAAGACCCATCCCCATGTTTCAATTACCTCCCTCCAGATCCATCCCATGATACCTGGGAATTATGGGAACTGCAATTCAAGATGAGATTTGGGTGGGAACACAGCCAAATCATATCAAAGAGATAACTGCACTCCCATATTTGTTGCAGCACTGTTCACAATGGCTAAGATATGGAAACAACCAAATGCCCATCCATGGATGAATGGCTAAAGAAAATGTGGTACGTATACAAAACAGAGTACTCTTCAGCCACAAAAAAGAATGAGATTCTGCAAGCACGTGGATGGAATTGGAGATAATTATGTTAAGTGAAATAAGCCCAGCACAGAAAGACTAACATTACATGTTCTCACTTATTTGTGGGGCCTAAAAATCAAAACAATGAAACTCATGGACATACAGAGTAGAAGGATGGTTACCAGAGGCTGGGAAAGGGTATTGGGAAGTGAGGTGGGGGGAGATGGTGATGTTTAATGGGTACAAAAATAAATAGTTAAAAAGACTGGATAAGACCTACTATTTGATACCACAACAGGGAGACTATAGTCAATCACTTAATTGTACATTTGAAAATAACTAAAAGTATAATTGGATTGTTTGTAACACAAAGGATGAATACTTGAGGAGATCGATACCCCATTCTCCGTGATACGATTATTACACATTGCATGCCTGTATCAAAACATCTCATGTATTCCATAAAGATATACACTGACTAGGTACCCACAAAAATTAAAGATAAAAATTTAAATTAAAAAAACCCAAAATAGTAGAGCCATAAAACACTGCAAAGTCAGATATTAATACAATTCATACATCAAATTAGAAAAAATATATTTAAACACCTATAGTGTTTAAAAATTGAGAAAAAATATTGTGCATTATTAACCTAAACTCAACTACAACAGAAAAAATTATAATAAAGTAGAAAGAATTGGAACAAATTAACCACAGTAAAACAGTATGAGCTTGTCACTTTACACAGAAGCTTACTCCTACATTACAGGAAAGAAGAAGAATGAGTGTGAAGTGTGCAGAATGAGGGACTGCATGTATAAGGGAGGTCCTTGAATCTGCTGAACATGGCTTACATGGGACAGTTGTCATATTCCTGCCACACTCCTTGAGGAGCTGCTATGGGAAGCCCTGTATTTTACAGTTGAGGAAACTGAAGACAGAAGACTTTGAGTATTCTGCTTACAGCAGTCACTGGCAGATCCACATGAAGGGGGTTGTTGACATCAGGCAGTGGTGATGGAGGAGGGAATTGAGTTCTTCTGTGACATCAACTTCTTCATTGTGGAAAAAAGGTGCCATAATTTAGGTCAGATGGAGAGTCAAGTAAAGTCTTTGATAAATAGCACAGGTCTAGGATGACTTTGCGGCAATATTTGTCTCATCGCATGTCTCACATGCAATTCTGGAGTTCTGCTCTGAATACATATTCCTCTAATCACAGGAGATACAGTGGTTCCTGCTATTGCAATGCCGTCAGTGCTCGCATAAATAGCTTACATATATGCCTTCCTGCTGTAGCTTCTACTTCCTTCCTCCTTCCTCCCCCTTTTCTTCACTCAATTCTTAGCCAGTGAAAACACTGCCAAGGTAGAGATTGGATGGCCCTTCCTCTTCTCCTTCATTCTCTCTTGCCCTTTGCCTTCCTCTTAGCAATACTTTCTAACATATTTACTATGTGCCAGAATTTGTGCTATGCACTTTAAATAGACCATTCAATTTAGTCCTCATGACAGTATCATGGGCTAAATTTTATTATCCCATTAAAAAATAGATATGAGATGTTAAGTAATTTCTTCAAAATAGCCTGTCATGGCCAGTAAATGTCTGAACTGCCTTTTAAGCCTGGGTTTTTGGACTCCAAGTATATACCACTTACCATGATGTAATGATAGCCACTATTCCACATGCATGTATATTTGCTGTTGACATTGATCATCACTTTAGTAGAAGTTAAGAATAAAAGGTTATCAGCTTCTGGGAACCATATTTTACAAGAGTCAATGTGCTATATACATGAGCATTATAAGTAAATGCTATATGACTTGGAATTATTTATCTTGTAGGCAGAAATGGGAATGGCTACTTATGTGCTGTCATCACTAAGAGCTTATAGAGGTAGAAAAATTGAATGTGAATTTTGACTGTGCTGTTTAGTTCATGTGAGAGCTTGGAAATGTTATTTAATTTTGGTTATTCTCATCTGTATAATGGGAGTACTAATAGTGTCAAATATGGTAGTTATAAGGAATCAAAACAGTCTAATTCCTAGTGTATAGTAAGTGCTCAATATATTTTTGTTACAATTACAATTATGATTATAATGATTGAGCCTTTAATATTTTTCAGGTACTCTCAGAAGTTTTGTAGAGGATACTGTTATTCTTCATTCATATACACTCAATAAACATAGAATAGAATGAAAAATTGGTGAACTACCCAGCGCTTTGTTCTAGAAGGGCCCACTTTTCCCCTTTACCTTACCCTATGAACATTCTTAGTCTCCTTTCATATGGAATTGCTGTGTCCCAGGAGAGGTGGCAAGACTTGATGAAAACATGAGGCAAGAATAACTGGGGATGATCTGTTTTTTTTTTTTTCCTCTTGGGAAGGAGCAGGACCACTTTCCTGCAGCTAATTTCCACTCTGCTAAGTCATGCTGTGTGTGCTATCTGACCAGGCCCCTCACCCCCACCCTGGCTATAACTGAGCCTAAATTGCTGGGTTCTTGATTTTGGTGTTTGCATTTTGGTTCTCATGCTGGTGTCCTCCTCCAATCTATCAGTACAGTCATTAAAGTTGATTTTTTGACCTTCATCTGCTTCTCTTTTTCTTATTTCCCAATTTGTTCAGGACTCAAGACAACAAGATGGGTGCTGTGTATGGCGGGCTCCATCAGAGACTCTCAGCAATCTCTTTTCAGTTAATTTGGCAAAATTTATTAAATAACTTGAGTGAGACCTACATTTCAGGGGGTTTTAAGAGTAGATTGAAAAAGGCTTACAATGTTGCGAAGAAAGCAGCACTTAACCATAGGAAGTCCATAGCCCCAAATACCAGTGTGTGTGGTGCAGCCAAGCCAGGAAAGGGCAAAAAATGATGTCAGTCTGGGCTGGAGTCGGTGGGGAGGTGAGACCTGAGATGTTGTCAAGAAGGATGGATAAAATTGAGCAGTGGAAGAATACTTGGCAGGCCTTCCAGAGAGCAAGGGAAATAATATTGGCATTGAGGAAATGGCTGGGCTCTGGAGTTCCAGATACTTTGATTACTGCCCAAACTGAGTGTGGACTTGGTACAGTTGGTGGGGTTCTCAGTTTTGTCATTTATTCACTGAATGAGTTTAGGCAGGTGAATTCCCCTCCCTGAAATGTGGCTTTCTCATTCTTAAAATGAAGGCAATAATTTTGCCCTTGCCTGGCAGTTGTGAGATTTTAATGAGTCAATGGATAGAACACATACAGCCCAATGCCTAGCACATAATAAAAACTTAACAAGTTTATTGGTTTTGACCAAAGAGTAACTGAGCTGCATGTGAATGAGGTGGCTTGCCTGCAGCCAGTGAGCCTTATCTTTGCTTTCCATGAAATCCTGTCAGATGTTTTTGAGCTCCAAAAATAAAACAAAACACCATAGTTTTTAAATGAGTGTAGTCATTATTCAGTAGACCAGTTTCCAATCTTTAACTCATAGTTGCAAAAGTTTTTAAGCTCCTCTCTTTCTTCAGTTATTCATTTTGACTAAATTTTTAATGAAAGAAATGTAAATACAGAACCAGCGTGACCAAATTACAGTTCCAATGTTTTGTACCAATTATTACCTTTAGGTTCTAAAATATTAAAAAGTAGGATTACTAAGCAGGACTTCATGAAATCAAAGCTTGATAGAGGTTGTATCTGCCTTAGTTCCTTTCTATAGTTTCTCTATCAAAGTCTTATTTCCTGTCAGCAGCTCAATTGCTTATTATTTTTGTATATTTCAAAGTATTTCTATAATCCTTCAAACATGGTGACTGAATGAAAATAGCCATATTCTTTGACAAGAGCTAGTTCACAACTAACACAATGACACACATACCCTAGGAGCAGCTCCTGACATGCAGTCAGGACCAGGGGTGAAACATGAAGAATACCATCCTGCCATTTCACATGGACTACACCAGTGACAGCGGTGGGCAGTCTAGGCACCCCCTTGGTGACAGTTGCTATCTGTACACTGATGACTTCCAAATCTAGATCTCCAGCCCAAAACTATTTCCTCTGCTCCATACTCAATTGACCAATTCCTGCTGGGCTTTTCCACCATGATGTCACAGGTGCCTTGATTTACAGCTCCCAGAGAAACTTGACTCTTTCCTTTCAAGAAGTAAATGACATGTCCATCCATACAACAGGCAACTCTGCAAGAAATTTGGGACTCACTCTTGGCTGCATAGTGTTAGTGGTTAATAGCATAGACCCGAGGTGGAGACTACGTGTTCACTGGCTATGGCACTTAACCTCTCTGTGTGTCATTTATCTCATCCACCGTATGGGGATTATAGAAGTTCCAGCTTCATAGGTGTAGTGTAGTGATTAAATGAGTTAATATTTCTAAGTGCTTAGAACAGTGCCTGGCACATAGTAAAAAACCATGTAAATGATTGCTGAATAAATGAATCACACATAGCAGTCCCTGAAAAGCTACTAAATTTACACATTCCTCTTCCTCTTCATCTCCAGGCAACTAAGGATGCTGCCTTAGTTCAGACTCTATCTCCCCTAGTATAATGGGGTGATTTTCATTTCCTCAGTGAGGTCCTGTCCCCTGTTTTTCCCTGCTCCAGTCTATACTCCCTATGGCAACCAGAGTGACATTTACTGAATGTAGAGCTGATCATGTGGCTCCCTTGTTTACAACATTGAGTGATTCTTCATCATGTTAGCCGGGCTGACTTGGCTCTTCATGGTCGGGCTCCTGCTTGCATCTCTTGCTACCTCTACCCTTTCTCATCACTCTGGCTTCTAAGCATTACAAATTCATTCTTTTTCCCTAAGCCTATCTTCATTTGCTCTCCTTCCTGTTGATGGAATGCCTCCCTCTGTCTTATTCACCTTTAGATCCAGCTTAAGCATCACTCAGTCTCTAAAGATTCCCTGATTCTTTCACCAGGAAGCATTCTTTCCTTTGTGCTTTCTTTGTATCGGTGATTATCATTGCACAAAAGGATTTTTTACTGCCTTTATTTCTTCGCACTATCTATCTTGCCAACCAAAATGTGAGCTCTGAGGACATGGAGTGGTCTCTCTCTCATGTGTGCTCATGCACACATACATGTGCATATGCACCCCCCCCACACACACACAGTTAATTTTAATTAACATTTTTTTGGTTCTGTATCAGTGCCTTTCACAATGTCTGACACAAGGTAGTTTATTAGTTAATGTGCATTGAATAAATGAAGAAATAATAAATGGAAAGCTATTTCATTGGTTGTTTAATCGAGTCCCTAATTTTATAGATAAGAAAACAGACCCAGAGAAGTTAGTTAACTTGTTCTAGATCTCTCTGTTGGTCAGATCTACACTAATAGTAACTTTCCAGCATCTCCCATGACGATATAGTCTCACTTATTAAGTCCCATTCGGATTAATTATACAATTTTAAACCCTAGATTGAGGAAGCTAAGTGCTCCCTGATCCCATTCTCCTCATCTATCCCTATTAGAAATCCCTTTCTTAATACCCAGGATTTAGACTCTGTAATAAGGAATGTTACTGAATTCCCAAACCACTCAGGGCTTCCACGGTTAGGAGTTTGACTTGCCTACCCTCCAGGCACTAGAAGTGACCTTGACTGTTTTAACATTTTAATTAGGGTTGGGGTAGGGGAGGGGCAGCAGGACACTTTTTGAAATTTAAATATAAGAACTCTTTTAAAAACAAATTATTTTGTCCTTAAGAAACTCTGTGTGTGTGTATGTATGTGTGTGTGTCTGTGTGTGTTGTGTGTGTGTGTATGTGTGTGTGTGTCTGTGTGTGTGTGTTGTGTGTGTGTGTCTGTGTGTACTGAGCAAAGGGGGTGCTAGGTTACTTGAGGGGTTGGTTCAGAGGCAAAAACATGGGGATGCCCTGAGTTTTGCATTTGTGTTGAAAAGTCATCAGAAAAGAGTAAGGTCAACTCTGAATTCCGCCAAGTTTTGCCTTCAGTGCTGCAGAATGAAATGAGGTAATGTACTTTATGATCTGTGAAGAGCTACAGAAATGTGAGGCATTTTTAGAATGGTTGATTTATGGAACAGGAAGGCCTTTAGAAACGAGATAGCTCCCCCAATCTTTCTCATTTCAGAGAGTGGTAAAGTGACTTGCCCAAGGTCATAGCTCCGGGGCAGTGGCAGAGTTGGCTCTGCTTCCACTCCAGCCCATGGCTTACCTCTTCCTGCAGGCCCTCCACACTCTCACCTAAAACTGTGGTGTCTGAATAAGCTGGAGTCTTTCCCCTCCTCTGGGCTTCTGCAAATGCTGTTCCTTATTTCCAGATACCTTCTTTTTTCATGGTGTCCATGGGAGGACCTCCTCCTCCTGTGAGATTCTGCCTCATCTGACACTCCTCTAGTCTCTCAGCAATTTACTCTCAATGTCTGGTCATAAAACAAAACACATGGAAGACACAGTTCTTCCCTTAGAGAAATTTACAATGAGCTATGTCTGTTTCTAAGGGGCCTCCCTAAGTGCAAGTCTGCACCCCTAGCTGTGATTAAAACTGAAGTCTTCATAGGTGGTGGGAGATGGGATTGAGGGACAGAGAAGGTCCTCTCAGACACACAATCCTCCTGGTCCTCTCCAAATCACACCTCTTAGGCCATGGCTTACTCTACCAATATTTAAAGTCAGGAAGTTTGTTCAAAGCAGTTATCTTGGGGCCCTGCAGTATCAGTCAAGAGAATGTTTGCTTCTTAGAGACAGAAGTTACAGGGAGGCAGATTTTGAGTTAGCTCGAGGGAGCCCATCCCATCAGTAAGGGCTGAACAACCATAGAGGGCTCTGCAGCCCAAGGAAGAGGATCTCCTGCCCTTGACAGTGTCCAGAAGAGCAGCCAGCAGCTTGCAGGGCTGAGCCATGCGCAAGGCCTCCAAGCTTCCATCTGGCACTGAGGCCCTTGATTTAATAACAGGGTTTCCATCGCATCTCCAGTATGGGGTAGTTTTGGGTCCTGATCCCACAAGGTGAAGAAGAATTTCTTCCTGTAGACTGCCAGAGGTATGTTATTTTAAACAAGATTGGAATGACCAAGTAAATGAATTTTGGAATGTTTTATAAAACGTCATAATTATGGCGTTAGTGTGTATGCATGTGTGTGAGTGTGGAGAGGGCAGCAAATACAGATGTGCCATTACATTTATATTTCCCTCATCTTTTCCAGTATACTGGATTGGAAACCCATTCAATCTGATGTCTGCTGAGGAATGGAGAAAGACCACTGGTGATTCCTCCATCCTCACTCCTGTGTCCCTCCTTGCATTGCAAGTGCTTTACAAGTCTTCCCGATAGACCATGAGCATCCTGAGGGCTGGTATCAAATTTAACTCATCTCCTATCCTCAGTGCCTCGTACAAGATGCTGGATGTAGGAGGAGTTCAGTAAGTATATGCTATATAAATGACAAATGAATGAGTGAATGAATAAGTAAGGGAATGACTTGATTCTTCCTCTACCACCAATTCAGAAGACTTGGCTGAAAGGGTGGGAGAGGGAGTTAGGATTCTGTAAAGAAGACCATGATTGAGTTTTGAGGAAAAAAGAAAAACTTCAAACAAAGAAACTTTTGTTCTTCTCCTGGTGCTATCCCCTTTCTGACGGACAGCCTCTTGTTTTTTTTGTGATTGACACCCCTCACTGTACTATACACATCCTATCTGGTTCCATGTTATATTTGCAAATGCTTTGCACAATGCTTGGCACATAGCTGTAGCTCAATGAGTGGAAACCCAGTCAACACACACATATTGAACATAGATTCTGTATCCCAGTTTTTGAGCTAGATGTTGAGGGTACAGATTGAAAGATTAATAAAATTTGGGCACTGTTCTCAATTTGCTCAGCTTAATGGGAAGAGGACATAGGAAGGAGAGCCTCCTCCTCAGCTGGTTTAGCTTCTGGGTATGCTCCTAACAATGTAAATGCTAGCCTAGAGGAAATACATTCACCCCTTTATTAATTCCAGTGTCCACAGATTTATTTGGAATCTCTTTGCAGGGCTTACAGAATATGTGTCTGTTAAAATTCCAGAAGGAATGCAGACTCAAACTGGGTGATTAAAGAAAAATTGAAGGATTCATTATAAAGGTATAGGGATGTTGTATGGAAACCTCAAGGATAGTGCAATGCCCTTGGGCCAACAACAGCTCCCTATTTTTAACCTTGTGTGTGAGACACAATGGGAGGGAACAGTTAACAGAATCTAGAGACAGAACATGTTATGGAGAAGACCATCTGGCAGGAGATGCGCCCTTATGCCAAGGATGCAGCAGCCTGAGATGAATGCAAAGGAGCAAGATTGACCTCACTTTCCTTCTCTCTGGTCTCCTGCAGTGCCCTCCATTGCTTGACTCAACTGGAAATCAGAGAGGGAGCCCTTTGGTAAAGTCCAAACAGGTCAGGCTCCAAGGGCACAGAGCTGGTGATGAGGGGTTGGGAATGGATCTCGGAGAACAAATGGGAGATAGACACTTCATTATATTAGATAAGTTAAGTCCTACAAAGATATGCCCAAGGCACTCCTCTCCGATCCACACACTTCACCTACCCTTATGCATCCTCCCCTTACCCCCAACATCATTTACGAGAACAGACTGATGCCGGAGACTGTAGGGAGCACATCATCCACTTTATTTTCTCATTTCAACTTTACAATCATGCCTGAGTAGGTGAAGACACAGACCAAAAAAGGAGAGTAAAATCTCTCTGACTCACAAGTCCATGTGGCATGTTGAATTCCTGAACATTATTAGCACATCTAATTTGGATAGTTCACTGGGGCAGTAGCTTCAGGAGGAAAAACTGCCCAAACTCCCATCTGCCTGGACACCTTTCCAACCTCCATTTACTTGACTAGCCATGAATCTTTACTCCTGACTCAGATAAGCTTTCTTTCCTAGCAAGCTTTTATAGAACCTCCCATCTGGTGGTATGGTCCTCTCTTGGAATTCTCATTATCACTACTTTTGCTTCTAATATAGCACTAATCACATTGAACTTAATCATCTTTGTTGTTTTTCTCATGAGACTGTTAGGTCTTTGAGATCAGGGACCATTTCTTTTTTCATTTATATGTCTGTAAAATACACAGTGGCTGGAATGCACTAGGGCTCAGTAAATATTTCTTACCTGAAAGATTAAAAAATAAGGATGACTTTGTCTATAACTAAAAAAAGATCAGGTGAAGGACAGTAAAGGAAGATAAAGTACAGAATATCCTTTATTCTTCAATGCTTCAGGAAGATTCGATACTCAGGAAACCTAGAAGTTTGTATAACCAGATAGGCTAAAATGATGTCGTGAAAATCCTACTGTTATCACCCACGTGAACACCATCTCATTGCAGTTAATGGAAATAAATGTACCATTCAGTACTTTAAATCATGAAACAACATAACTGCCTTCTATTTGCAGTGACCTTCTGGTGCCCTTATTATTTCCTCAGTGCAGATGTCTGTGCCTAATCTTGTTGATTCAGCAAAAGGGAGTGCATCCAAAAGGCGTAGGTGAGGTGCAGAGAGGTAGGGGAGGGGTAAAGGAATCTGACGTCCCCTAAGGAATGGAGAAGGACCACTGGTGATTCCTCCACCCTCACTCCTGTGTCCCTCCTTGCATTGCAAGTGTTTTACAAGTCTTCACAATAGATCATGAGCATCCTGAGGGCTGGTATCAAATTTAACCCATCTCCAATCCTCAGCGCCTGGTACAGGATGCTGTATATAGGAGGAATTCACTAAATATATGCTATATAAATGACAAATGAATACGTAATGAATAATTAAGGGAACTGATTCAGAAGACTTGGCTGAAAGGGTGGGAGAGGGAGTTAGGATTCTGTAAAGGAGACCATGATTGAATGTTTTTTGGGAAAAGAAAAAAAACTTCAAACAAAGAACCTTTTGTTCTTCTCCTGGTGCTATCCCCTTTCTGACTGACAGCCTCTGGTTCTTGTGATTGACACCCCTCACTGTCAGATCTGGTACTGTATACATGCTCTCTGTTTGGTTCCATGTTTTATTCTCAAATGCTTTGTAGAATACTTGGCACGTAGCTGTAGCTCAATGAGTACTTTCAATAAAGTTAAAACCTCTTTATCTGGGGTTTTACTCTTCCTCTCATAGTTAGTCACCTCCCACCTCCCCTGCCTCCACCTCCAATGCCAAATACATACCCTAAGCTGCCTTGCCCTGTGGATGTAAGCTCTCCTGTTGTTTAACTTTCCATTTTATAGAAAGGAAACTGAAGCTTTAAAGAGAAATACTTGCTTAAAGTCATATGAGTTAGTATCAGACTTGGAATTAGAAAATGAATTTCTTGTCTCCTTTGCCATCACATTGTGACCTCGAAGTTCAGTTTTCTGGTTCATTGGCTTTCAAAAAAATCTTTTTAATTAGGAAACTTTTTGTTCAAAGGAAATCTTATCCAGGAGTTCAATATGTAAAGTAGATAAAGTCAGTGCTGCTCTAGTTAAACTAGTGGTGAAACTCAAAACTCAAACACAGGCTGGGTGTGTTGGCTCACACCTGTAATCCCAGCACTTTGGGAGGCCAAGACGGGTAGATCATCTGAGCTCAGGAGTTCAATACTAGCCTGGGCAACATGGTGAAACCCTGTCTCTACCAAAAATACAAAAAAATTATCTGGGCGTGGTGGCACGTGCTGTGCCTGTGGTTTCACCTACTTGGGAAGCTGAGGTGGGAAGATGACTTGAGCTTGGGAGGGGGAGGTTGCAGTGAGCCAAGATCACACCACTGCACTCCAGCCTGGGTGACACAGTGAAACCCCCATCTCAAAAACAAACAAAAACAAACCAAAAAACAGAAATCCAAATCAATCAAACAAACAAACAAACAAACAACTCAAACACAAATGGCCCCTAGGGAGTTGAGAGGAACACAGTGTGAAATTATTGATATAACAGGGTACATGAATCTCCACTCAAAGCCCTCTGGTGAAGGTAGAGAGAAGGATCAACTGAGAATGAGCCCATAACCATAGCTTTATGTGAATCTATGTAGTGGCTGTGGCAGCTATGAGTACCCTGGCTGAGAAGAACTACAGAGAATGGGGAGGCATGCTAACTTGGAGTCAGAAATTGCAGGTTTAAGGCTATCTGCCAATTACTAAGGGCAAAGTTGTAAAATTTCCCCTAATTCAGCCTTGATTTCTTCAAGATGTTAATGAAGCTTGATAATATCAGTGGTGAGCAAGCTATTTTTCATCTAATGCTAATGCAGGATATAAAAAATGTTTAAGTGCCATTTATTTAAAAAAATTAAAGTGAAAATAACTTTATTGAGTTCTATGGGAAAAACTACATTTTTATAACCTACATTGCTTCATTTATTAAATAGGAGACTTTCAATGAGATACTTGAAAGCTTTCTAAGTCACTAAAATTATATCTTGACATACTTGAGAAATGGGAAGGCAGAGACAAGTTTCTAATATTCTACCCTGAAACTGTGAAGTATTATAATTTAGCATTCACATTCATTCACGTGCATTATCTCTATTCATTAGTGAAAAATCCTGCAATGTAGGTACAGTTAATGGGGAGACTCAGAGAAGTAAAGTAATTTTCTCCAAGTCATTCAGCAAGTTTGTCATAGAGCTGGAACTCAAAGTAGTTAATTCCAGTTAATGCAATGTTTACTAACTATATTAATGAAGGCAGACCTAGCAGCTGTAGTAAGTAAGCCTTGAAATCTTAATGCTTAACACTATAAAATTCTTTTTCTTGCTAGTATAAGAGCCTGGTGCGCATGCTTGTGGTTCGTGAGTCTCTTCTGTCTTCTGTGCAGTGATTCAGAGAGTCAGGCTCCTTCCATCTGTGGTTCTGCAATCTTAAACACATGGCTCTTCTATGTTACCTGGGTGTTGTCTCCATTCCATTCAGCTGGAAAGGGAGAAGCACATGGAAGAGAAGCACATTAAAATGGAACAGGTCTGGAAATGATTCACACATGCCATTGGTCACACATCAGTCACATGACCATTCCTAACCACATGTGGGCTGGGAAATATACTCTACTGTTTGTCCAGTTAGGAAAGGGGCATGAAGATTTGCCACATTGCTATTGTGAGCACCTTGAGGACTAGGACCATGTCTTATTCATCTCTCAGTGTTGCACATTGTTTTTGCATGGGATTAATACATGTTGTGAACCTTCCCTCCTTCCTCCATTCATATAGATATAGTTGGAGTTGCCATGTTGTTAAACATAGCCTTGCTCCTCTAGGTGCTAATGATTGGTGCAAGGTAGGCACCACCCCAAGCTAAACCAAACAGAATCCTTCATAGATGCCTTCTCTGGGATTTTTCAAGCTGTAATAGAAGAAATAAACTTCGTCCTCTGGAGGTCGAATCTGCAATATGAAGCTCAGGAGTTGTTGGTGGCCACGTATCCCACCTTGCAGCAGAAGGTAGTCTGCAGTGATGGCCAAGGAAACCATCAGAGAAGTGTAGAAAAGTGATAGGACTAGTCTTTATGATTCATGACCCAGATTTCAATTGCTCTGAGGCCCAACTACAACCATCCTTTCCTGAAATTTGGTTGTTCAATATTATCTTAATCTGTTCAGTCAACTAACGAAATATCTTAGACTGGGAGGCTCACAGACCACAGAAATTTATTTCTCACAGTTCTAGAGGCTGAGAAGTCCAAGATCAAGGTACTGGCGGATTTAGCGTCTGATGAGGGCTCTCTTCTTGGTTCATAGATGGCAACTTTTCGCTGTGTCTTCACATGGTGGAAGGGGCAAGGCCTTTTATTAAGGGTGCTCACCCCATTCGTAAGGGCCCTCATGATCTAATCATCTCCCAAAAGCTTCACCTCCCTGATAGTATCCCCTTGGAGGTTATAATTTCAACTATGAATTTGAAGGGAATGGGGAACAACATTCAAACCACAGCAAACACTCCTACCTGTGTGAGATAACACAGTAACCTTCCAATAAATTTCCGCTCTGCTTGACCTTGTCTGAGTTGGGTGTATGTCTAAAGCAATCACAGGAGACCCAGTCCTGCAGTTTAATGGCACAGAGTGACCAGCGATTGTCCCTGCTGCTCCCCAGCAAGGCTTTCTCACAAGGCCTGTTTCTCTCCCCAGTGTGTGGTTGTGAGCTCATTCCCCACCCTGCAGGCCCCCCCAACTCCAGTGGGGAAGGCCATAGTCCCTCCATGGGGCTCCCCTCACAGGAGGTTGTGCCTGAGGATTCCTAAAAAAATGCTCTCTGTGGTTACATGGTGGAATTTTTCCGTCTCTCTCATCTGCCTCAAGTAACCTGAATGATTGTGTTTTGACAAGGGTGAAGGTTCGTCTGGAGCTAGGTCCCAGTTCAGGGTTCACTCATATCCACAGCAGATGCTCTCTGAGGTTCCATCCCACCCTGAGCCTTGTACTAGTGTTACACGTGGTCTGAGGTTGGAAAAATAACTATTTTTGGAGTGCCTCTTTGACAAAGCTACTCCCCAATATGTTTCTCTCTAAGCCTAAAAAAAGGATAAATAACTCTGTCTCACATAAGCTGGGTAGCCTAGTGGCCTTTAGGATGTCTGTTTTTCTCATTTGTAAACTTATTTATTAGTGAGGATTACATTACATTAATGTATGTGACACACCTAGCACAGTGACAGGAACTTGCTAGGTGTCAATTTCCCTCTCATAACTTCTTGCATACCTATCTCCACATTCAGGGCTCTGAGTAGTGGAGGGGGATTAAGACTCAAGGGATCTAATGGTTTTCTCCAAATTCTCTCAGAAACCACCACCTCAGTCCCCTAACCCACTCCACTTGGCCCTTTTTCCTTCCTCCTTCCACAACACCTCTATTTCTTCTTTACATGAAGTGTCCTTGTTTTCTCCGATAGCCCCCTTTTTCCTCCCCCTTTGCCTTTCCCCTCCCGCCAGCCCCAGCTGCTGATGTGGCTGCCTGTTCTGATGCTATTGATTTTTTTCTATAAAAAATTGCTCAATTCATTTTCTCCGCTACAGCCCAGTGCCAGACCTCAGGGTAGGCCCCACAATGACTGAGTTGATTATGTATACCGCTTCCCCTGAAGGACTGCAACCACATTCCTTTTCCATTCCCAGGGAGGATTAGGCAGTGAAGGTGAACGTGATTCATAAACTCTAAAGAGCTAAACAGAGAGCAGTGGACCCTGTCTTCTCATCTCCATATTTACAAGGCTTAGCACAGGGCCTGGCAATGAGTGGGTCTTAATAATGTTTGCTGAAATTAAATGAATTATCTTTTCTTAGCTTCACAGCATTCTGGGCATATAAGTAGAATCTTCATTGATGTCTGATTGCCTACAGCAGTGGCTTGCAAACTTGACTACACATTAGAATCACCTGGGGAGATTTAAAAACTACCCGTGGCTGGCTTTAACTCAGACGAGTTAAACTCAGACTCTTGGGCAGTGTAGCCTGAGCATTGGTGCCTTGTAAGAGCTTGACAGGTGACTCTGATATGCCACACTGGCCTACAGGTCAAGACTAGATCCCCTAGCCTGGCACACAGAGTCCACTATGTCTTGGCTCCTGCCATGTTCCAGCCTCCCCTCCTTCCTCTTTACTCCACACACTCCAGCCACTAAGACACTGTTGCTCTTCCCCGGAACATCCCTGTGCCTTTGCTCATGCTGTTCCCACTTCAAAAATTGCCTTTTCCTAAACTCCCTTCCTGGCAAGCTTCTAGTCATCTTCTGTGATTGAGATCAAACACCACCTCCTCTGAGAAGAATTTTTTGTCTTCTCAAGTCTCTGTTTCTCCAAGTTTTCACCTCTGCTTGTGTTCTCTTTTTGGAATTAATTTTGCCCAATATCTCCGATTTCTGTCATCACCCTGGATTTATTTTCTTCTTCTCTAATTGGCCCTTCCTGTCTGACAGTCCGGGTCGATTTTTTTTTTAACTTGGTCTTGTACTCCAGCTTTGCCCCTGGACACAGATGTTTGGTGCCTTCTTTGGCTCTAAGCTCTGTTGCCCACTAACTGACCTTATTTCTCCATCCTTTCTAGGCTTCTAGAACCCTTGCCTGGGTGCAATGGCTGATGCTCTGCATCTCTGGGGGAGGCATTTGAATACAAATTGCGTTTGTTAGTAGTGGCCCACGTGTATTGAGTCTTTCCTATGTGCCGTGTTAAAGTACTTCATCGCATTATCTCACATAACCCTTTAATGATGGGTCAGTGGGACTTACAGACCTTAAGTAAATTGTCCAAGGTCAAACAGGTGGCAAGAGGCAAAGATGAGATTTCTACAGAGGCTAACTAACAGTCTCCAAAGCCCACATGTTTCATACCTGGGTGATACTTGGATGCTCCTTCTCTGTGCATTTTGTTTTTCACTCTGTTATTACACTCTGAGTGTTGTATCATAATTTATCGATTGGTGTGTCTTGTCCACCCCACTAAACAGTGACTTTCTCAAGGGCAGAGGATGAGGTCTATACTCCTAGCACTTAGCAAATTGCCTGGCACATAACAGAGGCTCAATAAATACTTATGGCCTGAATAAATAAATGCCCACTATAGCCTTGAGCAAGACTGGTGTAGAAAAGGAGACAGACCAATCTTGACCACAGTCTGGTCAAAACACCTACTCTCCTACAGCCCCCATGAGTGAGATCTCTGCTTGGCAGGGAAGGCAGATGGGTGGAAGAGTAGGGGCTGCCGGCCCGAGGGTGCCTTTCCCTGGTTCTCTTGAAATCCAGCGTCTGTCCTGTCCTATAGCCCAGCAGCAAGAGAACATTTGTTCCCTGAAGGGCCGGCGCTGTGCCAGCAGCAGGTGGTGGCCTGTCCACTGGGAGGGAGGGAGGCAGCAGGCAGGAGCACTGATGTGTCCCTGAGAAAAGATGCTACAAGTCTGCTCGCGGCACGGCAGTGACAGCAGCTGGGCCAAGGTTGCAAGTCACCATTCTGTAGCCATTAAAAACCAGTTGCTGTCCCTTTCATAATAATAAATTAAGATATCACTCCAAACTGTGCTGGGTTCAGAGAGAAAAAACAAAACAAACAAAAAAAGATAAAAACCCACAAAAACAAATAAACAAAAAACACTCAAAAGACAAAAACGAAAATAACCAAAAAATCAAACAAAAACACAAAAAAACACCAAACAAACAGTATTGGACCATATGTTATCAGTTGGATTGTCAATAAAATTGACTGGTTTCTTGGTAATTACAGAAAAGCTTTCTGGCTGCATTTCAAGAAGCAATTCTTCATTTTCTTCCAGAAATAAAAAGTGGAACAACAACCTGCACCCATCTGACAACATACACATTTGGGAACAAGAAGATGAGAAGGAGAGTAGAGGCAGCATTGTATTTCTGACTGCTTGTTTGGTTGCTGGGGGAGCTTAAGTGTTACTACTAAACCAAGTCATCAGTATTTCCTCTTCATGACTGTCTGAAAACATGCAGCTTTGCTGTTAGCAGGATCGGACTTCACAGGGTGCCTATGAAGTTGACCTCAATGGCCTGACATGCATTGGTCTTCTATAGGCCACTTTTTAATTCAATCACCAGATAAAGTGGCTTGGACCTCCTATCCTATCTACAGTGGGCAGTCCAGTGCCCTCTTGAAGACTTAAGGGGATTCATGGCATAGGTGACTATGATCTCCTATAGTTTCTTGTATAAATTTTGGATTCTTGATCAACCAGTTCACACTTAGGCCTCTTGGGACGTCCCCCCTGCCTCTCCCCACTCTGTCCTATTTATTGACAGGAGTTTTCTTCATTCAAAGCATCACTGATGGAAGGCAGCTATGTATATGTAGTAGACTCTTACTAAAAATTTAAGGTTGACTACAGGGATTATAGCAGAGAACAGGAACCAACCTAAAATGTAAACTAGGTTACTAGACGTCTCAAAAACTGCCAGCCTCTCTACCCACGGGAAGTCCTCACTCACTGTATTTACATTCAGGTCCTACTTACAGACATGTTTTATCAGATCACAACTGCAAAATTCCTATTACTTTGTGTGCAGAACTCTTTTTTTTTTTTTAAAGTCCTACCCATCTAGAACAATGTAGGAGGCCTTACTATAGACAAAGTTTCCATTTTTGTAAATAGTCAACAGTCTCTGAATTTTATTCTAAAAAAAAGCAATCTAACTGTCATACTAAGAGTGGGAATCTGATTGGATAAGTTTGACATCAAATTTTTACTATATTACTACTACAATTGCTATTAAAATTACTAATGTTATAAACATAAAACAATTGGGCAGTTTTATGCCATGTTAACTTAGAGCCTATGAGCACATGCTCTGATCCCTGATCTGAAGCAGTTTGGGGTGGGCAACAGAGTGGAACTCTGGATGTCACAGATATGTCACTCACATTAATCTACTTGGTGTGATTTCCTTAGAAGGGTCTGTGTGTATGGCATATATTCAAATTTTCAATCTGTGCTCCAGTTGGGTATGCCTGGTCTTTAAGAGGATGAAACCAATATCCTGACTAAGGGCTCAATCGTTTGCTTAATAAATGGATGGAGGAAAACCACTCAGTGGTATAATTGTCCTTTTCCACACTTGAAATCATCTCAAATATGTAAGATTATTTGTGAGTTTGTGTGCACTTGTTCCTGATGAATCAGAATAAATTCCACAAAGTATTCCCAGTAGACAGCAGGAGTTTGTGCTCTGCATTTTGGAATCTTCCATGGAGACTGGAAGAATACTTAGCACAATGTGGGCACCTAACTTGGTAGATGAATAAATGGAACAAATAATCCTGATATACGATATCACTCTACTTTGGAATGCTCACCTTAATGCTCAACTTAGTTAATTCTAACTTATTCCTATACATCTTAGCCCCTTATAATCTATGTCATAATACTCATTACATTTTCTTCTCACACTCTATCTTCCCATCACATTTGCAATTGCATTGTTTGAATTGTATTGTTTGAATATGTATTTGTACATGTGTTTGTGATTATTGATTGAACTTCTTTATTCTTCTCTATACTTCAGGCTCCCTGAGGGGAGGCCATGTTTGTGTTAGCTGCTCTTTTTAAAGGAATGGTCTCGTGCTTGGAAAGCAGAAGGTATTTGTGACAGAGATGGAATAATCTTCACCAAACCCATTTCCTCTTTATCAACACCATGAGCCAGGCTACACTTCCTAGTCTCACTGGCAGCTAAGTATGGCCATTTGATGGAGTTCTAGCCAATGGGATGTGAGGGGCAGTAAGATGAGCCACCCCCAAGCCTTACTCTTTAAAACCTCCCATGTGCGATCTTCCATGCTCTTTCCTCCTGCCTCTGACTTGTGGAAGCAAGTACAGTGACTTTGAAAGCCACATATTGAAGGTAGGGAAGCGATGAGATGGAAGGAACCTGGGCCCCTGAATGATCCTGTGGAAGAAAGCCATCACCAATCACGATTACCTGTTGAGAACTACCCTTGAAGGAGAAATGTTTATGGGATTTGAGTTTTCATATATTTTGAGTTTGGATAGCATTACCTCGACTCATACAGTATTAATTTTTTGTGTTTGTAATGATTAGATATATACAGAAAAGCAAATATTCAGGATGCTGATTGTGTCGTTAGAAATGTTGAATCCTGATGTACTATGGCAATCTTCAAGGCACTAGAAGAAAAATGGTTCCATAAGAATGAGGTAGTATCCCAGCTATCCAGCACTCTCTCCTCCACACTGCAGTTAACAGAGGCTTGTCCATCTTCGTATCCATACAAATACTCTCTTCTCTAACACACCTAATTTCCCTAGTGCTCTCCATCCCCAAATGGTCCTATATTCCTTCCTGTGCCATTGAAAAATCCAACATTTTACCAGACAGGAATGATCTTTTGAAATCAATTTGTATTAAGGAGTAAACTACTATTTTCTGCTTTACTTTCACAGGGAGGGTATGCATTTCTAGGGAGATTGGCAAAAATTAGTCTCTCATTGCTGATATTTCAGGAGTAGTGTAAAATGAAGCAAGCATTATTAAGCAGTGACAGGCAGTTTTTACAGCCTAATCATCATGAAGTGTTTGCATTACTCCACTCAGAATAACAGAGAATGATGGAGGGGGCTTGAGTTCTTGATAAGACATAGAACAGCCTTGGCAGCCCTGGATGCCAACCTCTGAACTTCTTGATTGAAGGAAAATCATTCCTAACCGAAATGGATGCCAATATTTTCCCCTGACAATGTACTTCCTCCAGAATCATGGATGTCAGGAGAATAAGAAGAGAAAGTGCATCTCTACCAGAAATAAAAAAAAAAAAAATTAGCCGGGTGTGGTGGTGGGCACCTGTAGTACCAGCTACGCAGGAGGCTGAGGCAGGAGAATGGCGTGAACCCAGGAGGCGGAGCTTGCAGTGAGCTGAGATCGTGCCACTGCACTCCACCCTGGGCGACAGAGTGAGACTCTGTCTCAAACAAAACAAAACAAAACAAAACAACAACAACAACCACAACAAAAAAAAAAAAAAGAAGAAGAGAGAGTATAAATTTAGAGGTTATGGGGCCAGGAGTACCATAGAAATACTTAGCAGTGGGTTAACTCTCATAAAGATATAAGGAATACGGTGGTCTGGCAACTGCAAACTAATCTACTCACCAAGAACATGACTTTGCAGAGGAATGGAACGAGGAGGTCTGTATAAAGTGTATTATTTCCAAACCAAAGTTTAGTTAAGACTTAGATGAGTTTAGCACCCAGGTTACCCTCATAAGTCCCAGACTATGGCCTCCCTGCCTCGCCCTCATCACCTGTGGCCTGACTAAGGATTTTAGTTCTCAAGTACACTTAAATTTAGTGCTTAACCCTGCATTTCAAGAAGATTAGTTGGGATCTGATGCCATCAGATCCTGCCATCCCCTCTTCTTATGGAGCTAGATTCAGACAGACCTCTTTGATTCACAGTGAGACCCTTCTATGACAATGATGCATCCCTTCCTAAAAGGCCCTGAATCTTTTCTCCACCTTTGAGACTCTTCCCTACCCCTGTTTGTTTACACAGGCCTTCATGACACCCCTACTACATGGCCTGCACATGCCTTCCTCATTTCCCCATCCCCAGTGCTCAGCGTGTGGCTTGGCACACATAAGGTGCTCAGTCTGTATAGAATGACTACATAAAATGACTTAGTAATTTGCTGAACTGGCTCCATCCTGGAGAAAAGACCAACTCCTGCTGCTCTGATTAATTTCCCTGCTTCTCATTGGCTTAAGTTTATGGCTACATAATCAAAACCACCCAGGACTGGGATAAGAGATAGATGCAACTCTTCCCAACTGAGGGAATGAGAGAATGGGACATGCCAAACATAACAAGATGCAGAGGAAAAGAAACAAGAACCTGCTATTATTACCAAATATTTCCAGTATTGGATGTTTTTCCTAAAGGGAAATTGAGCTAGGAGAACTCTACATCGGGGAGATGAGATAGTTGTTTATATTGGAAATGACTGAAGAGAGTAAAATAGATTGCTTTAAATCTAACATTCTGACATATATTGATCAAAACGTGATAAAATAAATTCTAACAATAACATTTCAATGGTAATTATATCCATGATGATTACTACAAACATCATTACATCACCTCCTCCTTTGCTACCACTATCACCACCATTTCTTGGACATCTATTATCTGGGACTAAGCTTCGTGATTTTACCAACATTACCTGATTTGATCCTATAAACTTGAGAGAGAGAGATCTCTTTTGCCCCAGGATCTATTTTCAAGGGAATCCAGCCTAAGATGTCAAGCCTTATGTTAGGCTAAGGATATGTTAGCCTATCTAAATAGGGATATTTGAGCTACCTGACAAAAACGAGTACAGTTATGGGGATAATGGGTTGAACAAATTTTAATACAATTTATATTTTTCTTCAAATTATGAAGGTAATACATTTGTTATAGAAAAAAAGAACAAAATTTATTATTAATAAGAACTCATTTTCTCTCTTCCTCATTGCCTTTCCTCACTCACCCACTCACAAATCCAAGTATTCTTTTTTTAAAAAAATTTATTTTTATTTTAAGTTCTGAGGTACATGTGCAGGATGTGCAGGTTTATTACATAGGTAAACATGTGTCATGGTGGTTTGCTGCACCTATCAACTCATCACCTAACTATTAAGCCCGGCATGCATAGCTATTTAATCCAAGTACTCTTAATGAGCGAAAGGTTTGATAAATTCATTCCCAAAGAGACTACTAGGGGACTTCTGCATTACCTTTTCCAGAGAGAAGTTTAGTCTCTTGCAGAAGTACTAAACTCCCAAGGCGGAGCTGGAACTAGAATTGATAGGAAGTTGAGGTAGAAGAGGCTCCCTAGTGGAGGAGACAGCTTTGAGTGAAGGTCTCTGAGATGCCCCTCGGGCTGCATCGTGGCGGCCCATTCTGCATGTGCTTCAGTCACATTCCAGATATGAGCATACGTGTGTACACCTGTGAGTGTGTCTGTGCATTGGAGAAGAGCAGTGAGCGCCATACAGCAAGAGATAATAAGGCACTTTTGCTGAGTAGTCCTTTCTACATGACCCTCTCCCTTATTTTCCAGGAAGCTCAAACTGAGGCAGAATCACAGCGATTTGGAAAATGGTGAGTTGCCAGCACCAGGCTTTCTCATTTTGGCTGGTGTCACAGCCACACTGAATATTTTCTTCCAAATTGTGAATGGGAACCCTTTGTCAGGGGAATTGGGTCCAAATGTGCTCACATTCTTACCTTTGCCAAGCGAAGCTTTTCATGACTACAGGATTGTTGAGGGATATGGTTTGAAAATAAATGTAGAGGTTCAGTGGCAAGGGCCAAGTTGTCATGGTACTCCACCTGTTTCTACTGCCTATGTCAACACAACAGCTACTGCTCTGAGCTTTGATGTTGCTGCTGAGGCAGGAAACACCATGGAGTCCTGAAATTCAGTGTGACACCTGTGAGTGGCTCCTGTGATTGCCTGGCAGGGCTGCAGACTGCACACATACATGCAAAGAGAGCTGCAGGCTCAACCTCTGCAATGTGACTCACATCTTAGGTGCTGCCAGGGATCTTGCTTCAGGTATCTAGAGATCTGACTTCAGGTACCCCGGAATTTGGCTTCCGGGTTGTTGCCAGGGGGCTGGGTAGTACCAGCTGCATGCGTACTAGCTGGGAAACAGCCAGCACCCTGGACTTCACCTTTTAAATCTCATTAGTAATAGGTGGTATGTGTGGTTGCTGCACAAAATGGACTTGAAATATCCAGGAAAAGTAAATCAAGACACCATTTCTTTCTTGTGGCTTGCTCTGAAAGCAGGATAACAGGCCTTATGTGGAGAGAGGTGTTGAAGATGAGTTGTATTTGTAATAGCAGTGAACAATAACAAAAATCCATTTCTGATCTGCAGACCTTAAATGTCTGGAGAGGTCAGATCAGATAAATGGCAGGAGTTCTAGACAGAGGGAAGATTTCCCATAGCCCAGCCATCCTGGGCTCCAAAGTGATTGAAATGAACTCCAGGGGCAGGCAGAGGAGACCCCAAAGAGGGGATACAGAGGGAGTGGGAGCAGATCTGGGTGGGTTGGCATCTGGGGTGGGGGCTTAGCTTAAGGACATTAGGCTTTAAATCTCATCATTTGACTTTTTCCCATCTTAGTCTTGGATTTAGAGACTCAAAGGTTTTTAACAGGAAACCCTCAAGATTGAGTGGCAGGAGGAGGCTATTTGTTTTTTTAAGTTTTGCTCTTTGGGTGGTAAGAAACAATGTGTCACCTTCATTACCAGAGAAAAAAAGGAGGTTTTCTTTAGGGAAACACTTGAATGGAAACTGAGAAGTTGTTGGGAAGTGAGGCAGCTCTAATGATTCCCCGCTTCTCCCTCATGGGCCTCAGTGTCCCACTACCCTCTCAGCGTTTGCTTTAGCCATAAGCACATCTACTCTATTCTTCTTTTGCTACCACCTGGATTTCGCATCGTCTTTGTTTCTGCTTGAAGCATCTTTGGCTTGCCCTTGGCTCTTCCTGATTATTCTGAGCCAGACTCTACCTTGGAAGCTGCCATTCCTAACATTATCTTAAGTTCTTAGCATTCCTTATTTCAACATTCCGAGAAAGGATGTCTGATTGTCTGCTTTTAGGTCCAATCAGCTATAGTGGAAGAGCAGAATCATTGAATATAAAACATGGAGATGTCAGCAGCAGGGGCTGTGAGCTGAACAGCTTCACTGGGAAGAGGATATGGGTGAGAAGGTACAGCAATGGGTACCTCCATTAACAGGTAAGCTGGATCCTCCATAGGAATAGGCACTAGCTGGTTTTGGATGAAGGTGTCGTAAGATCAGATACACTTTTGGGTGATCAGCATGATCTGGGTATGGACATGGCAGAGCAGGTGGAAGGGAAGGGACCAATATGTGTCAATAACCATCTATGAGCCAGGCACTTACCGGGAAGTATAATGTCTTTGTAGTTAGACAGACCAGTAGTGTCTGTTGCTCTGGAGGAAGTTACTTAAACTCACCAAGACTCAGTTTTCTCTGTATTAAAATGATGACACCTACCTCACTATCTGGCCATTGGGATTAAATATGAGAATATGTGTGAAAATTTATGTCATATGGTAAGCACTCAGATGTTTCCTGGTGGAACAGCATGGTGTGGATTAGGAACATCCAAACTCTGACATCAAGCTGAACTTTTGAAATAGAGGCCTCCCTGCTCACTAGTTGGGCAACCTTGAACAAGCTAGTTAAACTGTCTAGAGCTCAGTTTTGTTATCTGGTGAGATTAATAGCATTGAATGGTGTAAAGCACATTCTCAGTAAATGCTCATTATTATGATTATAGTTATTAATGTTTATTTAACTTTGAAATAATAATGTGTAGGAGCTCCTCAGGTAGATAATGGAAATAAGAAATTTCTTAGGTCATGGAAGCATGGAGGTATGGAAAATTTTGGAGAACAAAGAGGAGTCTGGTGAAGTAGGGTGGGGATACTGGGCAGATGCAAAGATTGCCAAGGGTTATATCATAAAGGCCGGGATACCAGCCTGGCATCAACTGCCTTAGATTGGGAAGATGCAAAACTGTGGTCTGGAGTCAGCCCTGCAGAAGCCTGTTTCCTGACTTTCCATCTTCAATCTCTTTTCTATGCAGTTACCAGAGTCATGTTTTGAAATCTCAAATCTGAGCATCTATCCTCAAATAGAGGCCTACATGGCTTCCAGTTCCTCCAGGAGAAGGTCCAAATCCCTTAAGATGACTTTAAGGCCCTCAAGTGTTCCAGGCTCTGTACGTTCTTGTGCCACAACTATGCCACAACAAAACAGTTTTTCCCCCATTTCTACTTTGTTTTTCCAGCTGTAGAGTCAAAGCCTCAAGAAGGGGAAAGGGACGAATGGACACCAGGTCATGTGCCAGGTAGCTGGGAAATGAATACTTCTATTTTCTATTCTTTTTTTTTTTTTTTTTTTTTTGAGATGGAGTCTCACACTGTTGCCCGGGCTGGAGTGCAATGGCGCAATCTCAGCTAACTGCAACCTCTGCCTCCCAGGTTCACAGATTCTCCTGCCTCAGCCTCCCGAGTAGCCGGGATTACAGGTGCGCACCACCACGTCTGGCTAATTTTTTGTATTTTTTAGTAGAGACGGGGTTTCCCTATGTTGGCCATACTGGTTTCAAACTCCTGACCTCGTGATCCGCCTGCCTCGGCCTCCCAAAGTGCTGGGATTACAGGTGTGAGCCACCGCACCTGGCCAAATACTTCTATTTTCATCTCTTAGGAAAGCATATGATGTAAATCACTGTTCCCATATTCAAATTTAAATAATGGCTTACCTTTCCGGGGATGTTTGTATTTGAATGAAGCAGCAAGTTTTTGCCACACTGTAATACTTTAACTTTACAGATATTTTGACTCCTTCTGTTTCTGATTTGCTTTCATAAATGAATAAAAATACATTATTTTACATCAAATTCACATGAGGTATTATTAATTGAAATAAAATAACAGAAAATTGGGAATGGCTATAACTTTCCATTATTAAATGTATTAGAGGTGAAAAAAATTGGTAAAGTTGAAAAATGTAAAAATCAACTAGGGAAATAGTAGTTTCTGGAGAAATAACCCAACAAAACCATCAAAGGCTAGAGCATGACATGGTAAAAAAAATTATTGGTAAAATATTGATAGTGAAAAAGATCATTTTGGAAAAATTTATAAATGCAAAATCGAATTAAAAAATTAGACTGGCCCAGGTGCAGTGGCTCACGCCTGTAATCCCAGCACTTTGGGAGGCCAAGGCGGACAGATCACCTGAGTCAGGAGTTCGAGACCAGCCCGACCAATATCGTGAAACCTCATCTCTACTAAAAATACAAAAATTAGCTGAGCATGGTGGCACGTGCCTGTAATCCCAGCTACTTGGGGGGCTGAGACAGGAGAATTGCTTGAACCCGGAAGGCATAAGTTGCAGTGAGCCAAGATCGCACCACTGCACTCCAGCCTGGGCAACAGAGTAAGACTCTATCTCAAAAAAAAAAAAAAAAAAAAAATAGACTTTGTGGAAATAATGGCCCCCAGAGAAAACTTACAAAGACAGAAACTTTTCTCATTTAATTTGATGTGGGCAAAAAAAATGAATGAAAGCTGTATCAAAAATAAATGTACATGGAAAACAGTGGATATTCATGAAAAATAATTTTAGTAAGATAGAAATAAAGATGATTAAAATACTACTAAATAGAAAATTGGTCCAAGAATTAAAATGGCTTAATTCTCCCAGAGAAATAATGTCTTTTTCATTCAGGAAAATTCACCAATACTGGTATAATTCTGGGGCAATGTTTGTATTTATGAGCATTGAGTTAAGACAATTTCTGGGTCACTACATTTTGATTGAATTCAGCAATTGTCAGCCAGAAATTGTACCACTCATTTACTGGGCAATAACACTATACAACTACTTACTAGAAAAGGAGCTTCTGGCTAAAATCTTTTTCTGAACCCAAGAGAATTGCAAGGATTTATCCATTTCTTCTGGGTAGATAGTTTGATTCTGAGAGTAAGCTGCAATGCGATGTGCTACTGACATGAGACCGTTCCCAATGGGAAGAACAGCAATCTCACTCCGTGATCTGGAAGCATACAGAAAAGCCTGTCTTCTTCAAAGGCATTTGGAGGTAAGCACCTCAATCCTGCTCCGACTGAGCTTCTTGGAGTGTCCCAAGGAATCGCCAACTCTCAGTCTCTTCTGTCATTCCCTTAAATTATTTCTCCTCTCTTCTCTGTTGCTGGGAACACAAATAGGACTGAAGGATCCTGGGGATTTGCTCCCTGCAGTTGGCAAAGCAGTGATATGATATGGAGTCTTAGTATTTAGAAGTAACACACATAGGGCACCTCCTCAATATAGCCCCACAGACATTGCCTGCTAATTTCCTTTGCTGCATCATTATCAGCACACAAAAGCATTTACTAGGATCTCTTTGAAAACGCTTCATTGTGACACTGGGCACAATGAAGGGAACAGATGTGATGGGCCAACCTCCAGGGGTTTGCAATCCAAGGCAGAAGGACAGACAGTGCAAACACACATGAGCGCTCAGGCATAACCTGCAAGCCAGGACACAGGTATGACAGTCGGGTTTGACACAGTGTGGGAACCACAGAGCAGCGGTCTTGCTTTTACATAAGGATGCTTCTTCTTACCACAGGGTTCCCCTAGGGCTCCTTTAACAACAAGCCCTCTTCTTGCATTTTTAATGGGATCTGATTTAAAATTATGCTTTGAAAATAACTTATGCGGGAACATATTGACTGCATACAGCTCATGATGTTGGTATAGGGAGAGGTGGCCAATACTGAATATGCCAGGCAAGAAATGTAAACTTCTGTTTACATAATACACAACCCAAGGGGCTCCTTCCATTGTGTAGAAGCATCAAAAAACCTGGTTCATTCTGTGCCTAGCAGAACACCTGGTCTGTGTTTGTTGGTCAAATAGTATTTATTAAATGAAATAATTAAATAATTACAAACAAAATGTCTACTCCATTCATAGGTAAGACGAATAAAACACATTTCTGTTTTCTACTTTTTCTTTCTTCTCCACCTTCCTCTTTTCCCTTGTTACTCCTTCTTTTTTTCCTTGCTTTTCTTCTCCTCTCCTTCTTCCTCCTCCTTTGATTCCTCTTCCTTGTCTTAACATTTCTCATTTTAAAGTGTGAACTTATTTTGGTATATGGTATAAATTGAGCCTTTGCACATTTTCCCCAGGGTGTTAATAACTTCCCTAATGCCACTTATTAAATAAGTGGTCCTTCCTCGGACCACTGATTTAAGTCTTTTCCTGACAGGGGCTCTAGTTTATCAATCTTTATGTCTCCAGTGCCTGCTGCAAAACCTAGAGATACTTGTGGGTATATGATGCTATATGATGTACTTAGGTTCTTTTTGGGTGTATGGTGTATTTGTGTTATGAAGTATGGTGTATGGCATATTTGTGTTGCCACACTTAGCACTTGTCATGGGAAGAATTATGCTTCCCCCAAACCAACTTCATATGTTGAAAGTTTTAAACCCTAGTACCTCAGAATGTGACTGTATTTGGAGATATTTTTAAACAGGTGACTATGTTAAAGTCATGTAATTAGGGAGGGCCCTAAGCCAATACAACTGATCTCATAAGAAGAAAAAATTTACACACAGCCATGCACAGAAGGAAGACTACATGAAGATACCGGGAGAAGACAGCCATCTATGAGCCGATAGAGGGGCCTCAGAAGAAGCCAGCTCTGCTACACCTTGATCTTGAACTTCCAGCCTCCAGAACTGTGAGAAAATAAATTTCTGCTGCTTGAGCCATGCAGTTTGTGGTACTCTGGTAGGCAGCCCTAATAAACTAACACAGCAACTATAAAAGTAACTTATTTTTATATTAGGGCCTATCTGTCTGTGAGCTATCAACTTCATTACTTTGAAATATCTGACTATGCTTTCAATAAGATTATTATATCATTTCAAATATGTAACATATTCTTAGAAAAAAATGAAGGAAATATAGAAAAATGTGAATTATGCTTATCTCTGACTGTGAGATTTTGGGTTATTGTACTTTTTTCTATGTCTCTTCCAGTGTTTTCCAGATTTTCTATAATAAGCATGATTACTTTTCTAAATAAGGAAAGTAGCTATTTAAAAGTTATATTAAGGTGCTATTGTGTGTATCAGATGGTGGCCTAAGAAGTGAAAAAGGGGAGGTTTGCATGTAGATAAGTTTTGCAACCTCTGAGGCTCCTTAAACATTTTTGAATTGCTGTAGCCTAGGCTTGTTTTGTAAAAAGTGCTTGTTGCTGAAAATGATGATTTGTTTGGATAAACCCCCTCCTCATTTTTTGGGTGGTGGGGGAGCTTTTTATTGCATAGTCACAATGGGAGGCATTGTTCACACAGACCAGCATCGTCATACTTCTATTCTTGTCACTGACAGTATTATTTGCAACTGCTTTTTTTCCAGCCTCTTCTAATTTCCACACTACCACTTATTGTATTTCATTAAAGCTGGGTTAGAAATGCAAGGCATATAATTAGATTGAGAACTATGCTATCGATTTGGTTTTCCATTATGATGTTATCACATGCACAAAAAAGTCATTTGGTACAATTGTTATGATTAAAACTACAAAAGAGATCTATTACATCAGACTTAGTTTTCAGTGCCTGATGCAGTGTAAAATAAGAGTGAGAGGGGTTGATCTGTTTATATTAGAGCTGCATATGCCATGTAACCATAAATGTCTGTAGGCTAATAATTTCAAAGGAACCTTTAGTAGATGAGAGGTTTTTTAGAAATTCATATTAAATAAAAGTCAATCAATACTTCAATACTCAATTTCTAAGGTGGTGGTGGATGATAATCCTTTTCCAGCTCTGCACTATGCAAAGACTCATGCTCCACATTTGCAGCTTTCTATTGCAGGGAGGCTAGGAGGGGCAAAGATGGATTTTGGCATTAGACAGAAGTGGGGTCAAGTCACAGTTCCATTGCTGCTTAGGAGAAGGCAGGATCATTATTTAATTCATATCTACCATGAGCCGGGCTTAATAGACATTATCTCTGTCAATTCCTACAAAGCTGTGAGGTTACTGGTTCAAGTTCATGTAGCTAGTAATTGATACGATTTTAGTTCCCTTCATCCCTAAATGTCCATGTACTCTCTGCAGTAATATTCTCTTTCTCTTTTGTTGAATAATGTTGGATAAGTTACTTAATGTTTCTGAGTCTTAGTTTTCTCATCTGATAAACAAGAACAATAACGTCCCTTCGTAAAGATGGTTTTGATTATTAAATGAATTAACATCTCTGTAAAACTGAGCATTGTGCTTGGCACATAATAAGTACCCAGTAAACACACTTATCTTTCTCTGCTTCTCAGTAAGTTCCCCCACAATCCCAGGGGTAACCTTGGAGTTATACTGGGTTAGAGGAATGACACTGATTTTCCTCATCTCTGCAAATGTAGGTAATGAAAAGGTTAAAAAAAAACAAGATCACTGATGTAGAAAGACCTTGTTTAATAGAATAATATGGGAACTAACTACAAAGCTTATCTTATAGCTATGCTTAAGTTGGTTTTGATAATCTACAAAATTGATTTAAAAGTATTTATTAAGCACCTAGTGCATCACAGACATGGGGGCTGGACAGATTCTCATGTACATGCTGTTTAATTTTTTTCCAACCACTTTCTGGGGGACATAGTTGAAGAAACTGGGACCCAGAGAAGGTGGAATAATTTGAGCAGTGACTTGGAGAATGATTACAGTTTCCACAAACAGAAATAAAGGTATGTACAGGGATCTTACATAAAGTGATATTGGGCTACATTTGATCTTTCTAGTTGTTTTGAGTAAAACAGTCAATTAGTCAGTTAAGTGGTGACTTAACTGCAATGTCTAGAGTAGGAGCTAGGTATGGCTGAACCCAAAAAAGGCTCAAATCAGAGTTATTGGATGGCTCATTCCTGTGACTTCTCTGCTTTGTTTCTGGTTGTCCCCATTTTCAGGAAAGTTGACTTATACCCCCATTTTCTCAGAAACATCAACATAAGGATAGTACCCCTTTTCTAGTCAATTCATGAAATTTCCCAAGACATTCTCTGATTAGACTTAGTTGAATTATGTGCTCATCCTGGATCTACTGCTGAAGCTAGGGTGATAGAATACACTGATGGGTCAGGCTTGGGTCACATGCCTAGCCTGGATTTGGGAGCAGAATCCACTTGAACAGAATTCATGGATGGAGAGTTGGGAGGGGTGGTGTAGCAGATACTCTCAGTGTTCTGCCCATACTTCCTAGGATCTCAGCAACATTTCCCTATATCTTTTTGTCAGGCAGCTGCCCTCAGGTTGTCAGAACCTGCTTTGCCTGTGCCCATGGAGAGCAGAGAATTTATGTGTCCCTAAAGGCGGCCCTTAGGAGTGGTAAGGGTGGGGTATGAATACTCTAGCTCCTTTCTCTTGGTGGAAACATCTCTCTCAGGTGTGTTCTATACTGTTTCTAGAGCTTCTCTGTGGAATTGAGCTAAAGTCATCTACTTGGGTTTATGATACTAAATATTTTCTAGTTGCACTTAACCACACCCTTACCGGTTTTCTTGGGAATAATTCTAAATAAATCACTTTCCCATGAGTCCTTGTTACAGGGTCTGCTTCTGGGGAACCTAATCTGAGAGATTTCTCCAAGGAAAAGTTGGGTACCTTAATTAGTCAGTTATTGCTGCACTAGAGCTAAATAAAAGACATAAATATCTAAGGCACTTACTGGAATAAACATCTTATTTCCGCTAAGAGGTTGGCTAGGGAAGCTCTGCTTCAGAGTATGGGTTGAGTATAAGCCTGTTCCACATGTCTTTTGCTCTGGGACCAGGCGTTGTGCAGCCCATCCTTTTCTCAAGACAAAAGCCAAGCCAAGCAAGGACATTTAAAGCTTCACTTCTGCTCACATCATATCTATTGGCCAAACATTCCATTGGCCAAAGCAAATCACATGGCCAAGTCAAGCATCAGTAGTCTGGGGAATATTCTTCCTCTACTCTAGACACATGGAAAAGGTTATGCATACTAATTCTATATCAGGAGAGAATGAGGAATTGGGAACTGTAACCCAATCCGCAACATTTCAATTGGAAGAAATTACTCCGCAGGCAAGAAATATTTTTCCTCCAGGAGATACTCTGCAGGCATAACCAGCAGATGTCTACCCTGATTTACAGTAAGTCATGTGTGATAGGCTGAGTAATGGCTCACAAAGATGATCGTGTTGTAATTCCCAGAACCTGTGGATATGTACCTTGTGTGGCAAAAGGAACTGCACGGATGCCATTAAAATATGGATCTTGAGATGGGGAGATTTTCCTGGATTATAGGTTGGCACAATGTAATTATAAGCGTCCTTATAAGATGAAGGCAGGAAGTCAGAAAGGAGAGAAGATGTTGCTCTGATGGCTTTGAAGTTGAAGGAAGAGGCCATGACCCAAGGAATGGTGGCAGCTTCTAGAAAGTAGCTAAGGCAAGGAATGGATTATTTCCTGGAGCCTCTAAAAGGAACCAGTCCTGGCAACACCTTAATTTTAGTCCCATAAGACTCCTCACAGACTTTTGACTTCCAGAACTAGAAGAGAATAAATGTGTGTTAGTTCAAGCCACTAAGTTTATGGTAATATTGGCTGGCAATAGGAAACTAATACACCACGTGGTTTACATATTTTAAAATACTTTAATCCTGTAAAGTAGACATTATTTTTACCATTTTAAGGCTGAATAACTTGAAGTTCCAATACATGAAATGATTGGCCCAAGGCCATATAGGTGACAAGTATCAGAGTTAGCATTCAAATGCAGGTCAAACTTCAATATTAATGCCGTTGCCATTGAAACACTATTTTAGCTTCTGTTTTCTGCTAGTGAGTAAATTAAGGAATGAACTCAGAGAACTCTAGACCATTCTTAATTCAGCAGGAGATGGGGGCAAATGAAACTTCTTCAACAATTGCCCTGGTCTTTGTGGTAGAGACTATATAAGTCTTTCCTCAAGTTTGTGACACATACAGCGATGAGCTCTTTGGGAATGAAGAGAAGGTGCCTCTGAGTATGGTGTTATGGCCTGAATTAAGTCTTCTCAAAATTTATATGGTGAAGCTCTAACTCCCAACCTGACTGTATTTGGAGATAGAGCACCTAAAGAGGTAATTAAGGTAAAATGTTGTTATAAGGGAAGGGCCCTAATTGAATAGAACTGGTGTCATTATAAGAAGAGGAAGACATGAGGCATGGGCGTGCACAGAGGTAAGATCATGCAAAGAGGCAGCAAGAGAGTGACCATCTGCCACCCAATGAGAGAAGCCTCAGAAGAAACCAAACCTGCAGGGACTTTGGTCTTGGACTTCCAGCCTCCAAAACAGTGAGAAATAAATTTCTGTCGTTTAAGCCACCCAGTCTGTAGTATTTTGTTATGGCAGCCCAAGCAGACTAAATACGGATGACATCTGACCTCTTTTGCCTTTCTGGAAGCTTCAAATCATATTAGGTTTGTTCTTAAAGTTTTAATAATTCATGCCTTTTACAATGGTAAACATTTGTACTTCATTTAAAGAAGACAGCTGTGTAGATTAATTCAAATTGATGTGATTCGAGAGCAGGCTATCTTTTCATACCGTAAAGAAGAGTGAGAGAAGAAAAGGTCTCAAAAATGTGTAGGCAAGTAGGGAAGTGTGCTGTAGAGAAAGTATCAGGTTTTTTGTTTTGTTTTAATACCCCTGACACTGAATGGGTATCATAAAGTTGTTCTTTTCACATTAGTATGAGCAGCGGCAGGGCCGCAGTCGACATCCTGAGGGTCTTGGGAGAAAAAAATGTGTGGAGAGTAATTTAACCAGAAAGAGGCTACCGCATTCTCAAAAAGACATTAAAGAAATTGCAAACAGGCAAGTATAAAATATTTATTGCACTCCAACTCTGGGCCATGCAAGGTGTGGAGTCATCTATTGAGTTACTATTTATAGAGTTTTTATTAATGAGTTGTAATAGTTTATTAATTAGGGCAATTCTAGTTGCAGTAACAAACAAATGCCAATACATTAGTAGATAAGCTTAGGAGAAACTTGTCTCTCGATCTGAATATAGTCCAAGGAAGCATTCCTGTAGGTGGTAGGATTTTTTTCCATGTGGTGATTTGGCGATCAGGGCTCCAATTTTTTGCTCAATGATTCTTGAGGAACCTTCTCTAGAACAAAGAGAAAAGGGGGGAAATGGCACACTGGCTGCCATTTTCATAAGTGATGCTCTGTACTTCTTGCATTTCATTGCTGAGAACTGGTCACATATCTTTAAAAATTCATGTTTTTTTTTTTAACTATGTGGAGTTGTCTTTGGAAAGCAGCTGTCCAGGCAGGTACTACAAAATCCCCTCTTGTGTAACGCAGAAACCATATTACAAGTACTCACTAACAACAAGTGAATGAAAGTGATGTACGTCACACCTGAGCCAAAATGGTTAAAAGTGGGTATAGTTTTTTACCCTCTTATTTGCTTACAGCGGAAGGCCCTGGGACATGGAAGAACCCCTAAATAAAGGAACCTGGGGTTCTGAATGACTGTATAGAATGCTTCCTTCCTCATTTATCAAGACTACCTGCATTTTACTGCAGGTGAACTGGAATAAACTTTTATTGTGTTTGTCAACAAAATGTTGGAATGGCCTTGCTACAGTGGCTAAGATCGCTCAAACAAATATTCATGGCCTCATCTGAAAGCAAGAGATGATGGTAAATATGATCTCAGGTTGGCCAACCACTTCTCATTGAAAGCTGTTTCAATACTTTGGAAACAGGAGTGCAGCTTTTAGGTGCTCAGTTAGCTGACTCTACACAAACACCTTTCACAGTGCCTGACTTTACTGAATGAATAAATGAATGGCCCACATTTAAGTGGATGCCCTCCTCTGGGAAGCTCTGTGCACGTTGATGTAGCTATTAAAAATTGACTACAGGACTTTTTACAAACATGTTAAGCTATTTATATACGTTATTTTATTAATACTGGTGATAATCCAGTTAATTAAATTTCATTTTATTGCATTCATTTATTTTTAAAATTGTGTCTTCCTTTTTGAACTGTGAGATTTTTGTTGTCACGATTGGTGCCCTTGGTTGCCGGTGCAGTGCATAGCACATGGCAAAGACTCAGTGTCTGTTGAATGAATACATGCTTGGGCAGATGGATGGACAGATACAGGATAGACATGAGGCCAACTGTGTGTGATATAGGGTCTAAATGCCAGGACCGAGGGGCAAAAAAGAGTAAAAGAAAAATAAATAGGCATTTTCACTAGGTGAGGAGTGGGTGCTGGATGGTAAACTGGCCTCAGGCATTGGGAGAAAGTCCAGTCAATAACTTCAAGCACAAATCAGAAATATGTGGTTTGGGGCAACAGTCTAAGCAAGGGATGAGTAGGTCTTCAGAGCTGAGGGATCTGGGAGTTGTCTTCAGGTCCTTCAGGCAAATACTCATGAGTCTGCTAGGCTAGACATTTCTGGCCTAAAAAGGTGCTGATTTAGTAAAAAGTCATGTATCTAAAATGTTTGGTTATCTAAGATTGAAGAGTAATCAGACATTTCTGGCTAATGTCAGCACTTTATATTTTTCAAACATCAGATGTATGATTTAAAGTAATCATGCTCCTCAGTCTAGTTCACTCTCATCATCAGTCTTCGTAGGTGCCCTTTAGGTTTTGCTATATTTTACTACTTGCTCTTTTTGTTCTTTCTCTCCACCTTTACCATCTCTTCCCCCTCCTCAATTACCACCACAATGGTATATTTGATATGTGCCCTCTAAACCACCTGTCACAGAAGAGGTGGTAGAGCACGCTGTTTAAGAATGCAGGTTTAGGAGACCAGGCTCAACTCCTCACCCTGCCAGACTGCATTGTGTGACCTGAGGCAAGCTGTTTAGCTTCTCTGTACCTCAGTTTCTTAATCTGTGTATGATTATTCACTGAATTAAATAGATTAATATATATATATATATATATATAGTATAAAATTGATTAGTACCTGGGGCATAGAGTGCTTGTAAACCATTGAAAATGTACCTATTGTTTATGTTTTTAAATAAATAGATGTATAAAGAGTAAATATAATTTTGTTTACTTTTTTCATTGAAGACTGAATTTTTTTAAACCTATGCCTTTTTCAATATGCATCTAGGTTCATTATTTCTAAATGTTGTGTAATATTTCATTCTATGCGAGGCCACTTTATATCTATTCATTATCTCAATATTGAACACCTAGGTTGTCTTCAGCTCCTGGCTATGACAGGTAGTGCTGCTATAAATATCAACATCTGTATCTTAAGATTTTTCTCGATGGTCTTTTAATGTTATAAAATTATTAATCAATTTTTTTGATAGGTCAGGAATCATGATGATTATTTTGTATTATGCTTTAAGATTTGGTAGCCAATATTTTATTTTAGATTTTTAAAATCTATATTTAAATAAGTATTTTATCTTAGAATAGTTTTGTATTTACAGAAGACTTGCACAGAAAGTACAGAGAGCGCCTGTACACACCACACCCAATCTTTCCCATTGTCAATAGCTTACATTAGTAGGGCGCTTTTGTCACAACTAATGAACCCATATTGACACATTGCTGTTAACTAAACTCCATACTATATTTGCATTTCATTAGTTTTTCTTAATATCCTTTTATTGTTCTAGAATCCCACTCATAATTCCACATTCTATTTAGTTTTCATGTCTCCTTAATTTCTCCTGGACTATGACATAACTTGTTTTTGATGACGTTGATTGTTATGAGGAATATTGGTCAGGTATTTTATGGAATGTGATACCAATCATCTGGTGTTTTCTCATGGTTAGATTGGGCTTATGATTTTTTAGGAGGAAGACCAAAGAGGTGAAGTGTCATTCTTATCCCCTTATATTAAGCGTATATACTATCAACATGACATAGCTGATGATATTAACCTTGCTCACCCGGCTGAGGTAGTATTTGCCAAGCTTCTGCACTAAAAAATTATTTTCTCTTCCCTCCTTTTCATACCATACTCTTTGGAATCAAGTCACTAAGCACAGTCCACACTCAAGGGGTGGGGAGTCCGTCTCCATTTCCTTAATAGGCAGTATCTACATACATTATTTGGAATTCCTTTGTATGGTAGATTTGTCTCTTCTCCCTCATTTCTTTATTTGATTCTTATGTATATTGTTATGGATCCATAAATTTCTAGTTTATAGTTTGGCTTATAATCCAGTACTCTTTTATTTGTGTTGTTGCTCAAATTATTCCAACTTTGATCTTTGCAAGCTCTTTTAATGGGCTCTTATGTCCTTTTGACATACTCCTATCATTGTGTGTGACTTTCTGGTACTATACGATGCTTCAGATGTATCTTGTATATTCTCTACTGTAGTCCTAGAATCAGCCATTTTCTCAAGGTTACATGTATGGTTTGGATCCTTGTCCCCTCCAAATCTTACATTGAAATACAATCCCCAGTGTTGGAGGTGAGGCCTAGTGGAAGGTGTCTGAGTCACGGGGCCAGATCCCTCATGAAGCGTCCTCCCTGCATTAATGAGTTCTCACCCTATTAGTTCATGAGACAGCTGATTGTTTGAAAGAGCCTCGAATCTCTGTTGTTCCCTCTCTTACCATGTGGCATGCCTGCTCCCTTTGCCTTCTGCCATGAGTGGAAGTTTCCTGAGGGCTTCAGCAGAAGCAACGCTAGTGCCATGCTTGTACAGCCTGCAGAACTGTGAGCCAAAAAAAACTCTTTTCTTTATAGATTACCCAGCTCAGGTATTCCTTTATAGCAATACAAATAGACTAGTACAGATCCCTAGTTCCTTTTATTGGAGGATGATGATAGAAACCAAAATCTGAGAACTGGATATGATCATTGCTACTGGGTATAATTGCTTCCAGGCCCTTTCCACAGACAGTTAAAAAATACATGTATGTATATTAAGCTGTGTGTGTATGCGTGTGTACATGTGTGTGTATTTCTATCTCTATAATTATTTCTATCTGTATTAGTATTAAGCTAAATATGAGCTTATAGTGATATTTCCAACCCTAACCCAGCCCACATGATTCATTATAGTCTTCTGCCTATGCTAGCCTGTTATGTCACTCTCCAACAGTGAGAAACCTGGTTCCGCCATCCAACATTGTTGTACTAATTTGTTTAATCCTAGTATATATGTACAGTAGTTTTAGAATTGTTAACCCATCCTTCTGTGAGAAACAACTTGGCCAACTAAAGGACAGTGCTTGTGTTTGTAGTCTTATACTTCCCAGTCATTTCTAAAGTTACTTAGGTCAGCATTATTATTATTATTATTATTATTATTATTTGGCCACTCTCTTCAGAGAGGTTATGCCATACCTCTGTAGTACAATTATATACTTTTGTCTTTGTCTGAATTTCATCCTGTGATTCCCCCAATGCTTTAATTAATTTTTTTTAAAAATAAGGCTTACTTTTTGGGCTGTTAAAATCTATTTTGGGGTTTCAGCAAATATATGGTGGTATGAATCCACCACTATGGTTAAATACTGTACAGTTTCACTGCCCTAAAAAATCCCTGTGCTTCCCCTAGTCAACTCTTCCCTTCCAGAAATCCTTGGTATCCATTGATTTGTTTTCTTTATACATCAGTTTGCCTTTTCTGGAATGTTATATAAATGGAATCATGCAGTATGGAGTCTTACATACTGGCTGCATTCATTTAGGAATATGTATGTAAGAGTCACTGATGTCGTATGGATTAATAAACTGTTCCTTTCTATCACTGACTAGCATTCCATTATATGAGTGTGTAATAATAGTATGTTTATCCATTTACCTATTGAAGGATATCTTGGTTGCTTCCGGTTTTGGCAATTATGAATAAAGTTGCTATAAACATTTTTGTGCCAACATTTGTGTGAATATTGCATCTATTTTAAAAATTAAAATTGGCTTATGTTTTTATTTTCTCACATTGCCATCTGGTTTTGGTATCAAGTATATATTAAAAATAAAGTGAATAGGGTACTTCCACCTTTTAAAATTTTTTTAAAAAACAACTTGTTTAAATTAGAATATTTATTTCTTAAAAAATGAAATCTTAAAAAATTTCTTTAAAATACTATTTTATTGTGTTATCTGGAAAATTGTCTAGGTTCGTGAATTTTTAGAATAGCAGAAGGTTTTGGTTACCATTTCATTAAAAAAGATTACCAATCTATTTAAATTTTTTAATTTTTCATGTGCCAATCTTGGCACTTTATATTTTTCTAAAAATATATCAGTTTTATACAGGATTTCAGAAGTATGGTTGTTTCATAAAAATTTCTGTTATATATGTATTTATTCCTTTTTTTCTTTCTTTCCTGTGTATTATTTCTGTTCTTACTTCCATTTTTTTTTCTTTATGTTTACTCTGGTAATCCTCTTTTTTTTAGCCTTTCCCATATTTTCTTTTTTATTTTTATTTTTTTTATTTTTTTTTATTATACTTTAAGTTTTAGGGTACATGTGCACATTGTGCAGGTTAGTTACATATGTATAAATGTGCCATGCTGGTGCACTGCACTCACTAACTCGTCATCTAGCATTAGGTATATCTCCCAATGCTATCCCTCCCCTCTCCCCCCACCCCACCACAGTCCCCAGAGTGTGATATTCCCCTTCCTGTGTCCATGTGATCTCATTGTTCAATTCCCACCTATGAGTGAGAATATGCAGTGTTTGGTTTTTTGTTCTTGCGATAGTTTACTAAGAATGATGATTTCCAATTTCATCCATGTCCCTACAAAGGACACGAACTCATCATTTTTTATGGCTGCATAGTATTCCATGGTGTATATGTGCCACATTTTCTTAATCCAGTCTATCATTGTTGGACATTTGGGTTGGTTCCAAGTCTTTGCTATTGTGAATAATGCCGCAATAAACATACGTGTGCATGTGTCTTTATAGCAGCATGATTTAGAGTCCTTTGGGTATATACCCAGTAATGGGATGGCTGGGTCAAATGGTATTTCTGGTTCTAGATCCCTGAGGAATCGCCACACTGACTTCCACAACGGTTGAACTAGTTTACAGTCCCACCAACAGTGTAAAAGTGTTCCTATTTCTCCACATCCTCTCCAGCACCTGTTGTTTCCTGACTTTTTAATGATTGCCATTCTAACTGGTGTGAGATGGTATCTCATTGTGGTTTTGATTTGCATTTCTCTGATGGCCAGTGATGGTGAGCATTTTTTCATGTGTTTTTTGGCTGCATAAATGTCTTCTTTTGAGAAGTGTCTGTTCATGTCCTTCGCCCACTTTTTGATGGGGTTGTTTGTTTTTTTCTTGTAAATTTGTTTGAGTTCATTGTAGATTCTGGATATTAGCCCTTTGTCAGATGAGTAGGTTGCGAAAGTTTTCTCCCATTTTGTAGGTTGCCTGTTCACTCTGATGGTAGTTTCTTTTGCTGTGCAGAAGCTCTTTAGTTTAATTAGATCCCATTTGTCAATTTTGGCTTTTGTTGCCATTGCTTTTGGTGTTTTAGACATGAAGTCCTTGCCCATGCCTATGTCCTGAATGGTAATGCCTAGGTTTTCTTCTAGGGTTTTTATGGTTTTAGGTCTAACGTTTAAGTCTTTAATCCATCTTGAATTGATTTTTGTATAAGGTGTAAGGAAAGGATCCAGTTTCAGCTTTCTACATATGGCTAGCCAGTTTTCCCAGCACCATTTATTAAATAGGGAATCCTTTCCCCATTGCTCATTTTTCTCAGGTTTGTCAAAGATCAGATAGTTGTAGATATGCGGCGTTATTTCTGAGGGCTCTGTTCTGTTCCATTGATCTATATCTCTGTTTTGGTACCAATACCATGCTGTTTTGGTTACTGTAGCCTTGTAGTATAGTTTGAAGTCAGGTAGTGTGATGCCTCCAGATTTGTTCTTTTGGCTTCGGATTGCCTTGGCAATGCGGGCCCTTTTTTGGTTCCATATGAACTTTAAAGTAGTTTTTTCCAATTCTGTGAAGAAAGTCATTGGTAGCTTTATGGGGATGGTATTGAATCTGTAAATTACCTTGGGCAGTATGGCCATTTTCATGATATTGATTCTTCCTACCCATGAGCATGGAATGTTCTTCCATTTGTTTGTATCCTCTTTTATTTCCTTGAGCAGTGGTTTGTAGTTCTCCTTGAAGAGGTCCTTCACATCCCTTGTAATTTGGATTCCTAGGTATTTTATTCTCTTTGAAGCAATTGTGAATGGTAGTTCATTCATGATTTGGCTCTCTGTTTGTCTGTTGTTGGTGTATAAGAATGCTTGTGATTTTTGTACATTGATTTTGTATCCTGAGACTTTGCTGAAGTTGCTTATCGGCTTAAGGAGATTTTGGGCTGAGACAATGGGGTTTTCTAGATATACAATCATGTCGTCTGCAAACAGGGACAATTTGACTTCCTCTTTTCCTAATTGAATACCCTTTATTTCCTTCTCCTGCCTAATTGCCCTGGCCAGAACTTCCAACACTATGTTGAATAGGAGTGGTGAGAGAGGGCATCCCTGTCTTGTGCCAGTTTTCAAAGGGAATGCTTCCAGTTTTTGACCATTCAGTATGATATTGGCTGTGGGTTTGTCATAGATAGCTCTTATTATTTTGAAATACGTCCCATCAATACCTAATTTATTGAGAGTTTTTAGCATGAAGTGTTGTTGAATTTTGTCAAAGGCTTTTTCTGCATCTATTGAGACAATCATGTGGTTTTTGTCTTTGGTTCTGTTTATATGCTGGATTACATTTATTGATTTGTGCATATTGAACCAGTCTTGCATCCCAGGGATGAAGCCCACTTAATCACGGTGGATAAACTTTTTGATGTGCTGCTGGATTCATTTTGCCAGTATTTTATTGAGGATTTTTGCATCAATGTTCATCAAGGATATTGGTCTAAAATTCTCTTTTTTGGTTGTGTCTCTGCCCGGCTTTGGTATCAGAATGATGCTGGCCTCATAAAATGAGTTAGGGAGGATTCCCTCTTTTTCTATTGATTGGAATAGTTTCAGAAGGAATGGTACCAGTTCCTCCTTGTACCTCTGGTAGAATTCGGCTGTGAATCCATCTGGTCCTGGACTCTTTTTGGTTGGTAAACTATTGATTATTGCCACAATTTCAGATCCTGTTTTTGGTCTATTCAGAGATTCAACTTCTTCCTGGTTTACTCTTGGGAGAGTGTATGTGTCGAGGAATTTATCCATTTCTTCTAGATTTTCTAGTTTATTTGCGTAGAGGTGTTTGTAGTATTCTCTGATGGTAGTTTGTATTTCTGTGGGATCGGTGGTGATATCCCCTTTATCATTTTTTATTGTGTCTATTAGATTCTTCTCTCTTTTTTTCTTTATTAGTCTTGCTAGCGGTCTATCAATTTTGTTGATCCTTTCAAAAAACAAGCTCCTGGATTCATTAATTTTTTGAAGGGTTTTTTGTGTCTCTATTTCCTTCAGTTCTGCTCTGATTTTAGTTATTTCTTGCCTTCTGCTAGCTTTTGAATGTGTTTGCTCTTGCTTTTCTAGTTCTTTTAATTGTGATGTTCGGGTGTCAATTTTGGATCTTTCCTGCTTTCTCTTGTAGCCATTTAGTGCTATAAATTTCCCTCTACACACTGCTTTGAATGCGTCCCAGAGATTCTGGTATGTTGTGTCTTTGTTCTCGTTGGTTTCAAAGAACATCTTTATTTCTGCCTTCATTTCGTTATGTACCCAGTAGTCATTCAGGAGCAGGTTGTTCAGTTTCCATGTAGTTGAGCGGTTTTGAATGAGATTCTTAATCCTGAGTTCTAGTTTGATTGCACTGTGGTCTGAGAGATAGTTTGTTATAATTTCTGTTCTTTTACATTTGCTGAGGAGAGCTTTACTTCCAAGTATGTGGTCAATTTTGGAATAGGTGTGGTGTGGTGCTGAAAAAAATGTAGATTCTGTTGATTTGGGGTGGAGAGTTCTGTAGATGTCTATTAGGTCTGCTTGGTGCAGAGGTTCAATTCCTGGGTATCCTTGTTGACTTTCTGTCTTGTTGATCTGTCTAATGTTGACAGTGGGGTGTTAAAGTCTCCCATTATTAATGTGTGGGAGTCTAAGTCTCTTTGTAGGTCACTCATGACTTTCTTTATGAATCTGGGTGCTCCTGTATTGGGTGCATATATATTTAGGATAGTTAGCTCTTCTTGTTGAATTGATCCCTTTACCATTAGGTAATGGCCTTCTTTGTCTCTTTTGATCTTTGTTGGTTTAAAGTCTGTTTTATCAGAGACTAGGATTGCAACCCCTGCCTTTTTTTGTTTTACATTTGCTTGGTAGATCTTCCTCCATCCTTTTATTTTGAGCCTATGTGTGTCTCTGCACATGAGATGGGTTTCCTGAATACAGCACACTGATGGGTCTTGACTCTTTATCCAATTTGCCAGTCTGTGTCTTTTAATTGGAGCATTTAATCCATTTACATTTAAAGTTAATATTGTTATGTGTGAATTTGATCCTGTCATTATGATGTTAGCTGGTGATTTTGCTCGTTAGTTGATGCAGTTTCTTCCTAGTCTCGATGGTCTTTACATTTTGGCATGATTTTGCAGCGGCTGGTACCGGTTGTTCCTTTCCATGTTTGGCGCTTCCTTCAGGAGCTCTTTTAGGGTAGGCCTGGTGGTGACAAAATCTCTCAGCATTTCTTGTCTGTAAAGGATTTTATTTCTCCTTCACTTATGAAGCTTAGTTTGGCTGGATATGAAATTCTGGGTTGAAAATTCTTTTCTTTAAGAATGTTGAATATTTGCCCCCACTCTCTTCTGGCTTGTAGGGTTTCTGCTGAGAGATCCGCTGTTAGTCTGATGGGTTTCCCTTTGAGGGTAACCCGACCTTTCTCTCTGGCTGCCCTTAACATTTTTTCCTTCATTTCAACTTTGGTGAATCTGACAATTATGTGTCTTGGAGTTGCTCTTCTCGAGGAGTATCTTTGTGGCGTTCTCTGTATTTCCTGAATCTGAACGTTGGCCTTCCTTGCTAGATTGGGGAAGTTCTCCTGGATAATATCCTGCAGCGTGTTTTCCAACTTGGTTCCATTGTCCCCATCACTTTCAGGTACACCGATCAGACATAGATTTGGTCTTTTCACATAGTCCCATATTTCTTGGAGGCTTTGCTCATTTCTTTTTATTCTTTTGTCTCTAAACTTCCCTTCTCGCTTCATTTCATTCATTTCATCTTCCATTGCTGATACCCTTTCTTCCAGTTGATCGCATCGGCTCCTGAGGCTTCTGCATTCTTCACGTAGTTCTCGAGCCTTGGTTTTCAGCTCCATCAGCTCCTTTAAGCACTTCTCTGTATTGGTTATTCTAGTTATACATTCTTCTAAATTTTTTTCAAAGGTTTCAACTTCTTTGCCTTTGGTTTGAATGTCCTCCCATAGCTCAGAGTAATTTGATCATCTGAAGCCTTCTTCTCTCAGCTCGTCAAAGTCATTCTCCATCCAGCTTTGTTCCGTTGCTGGTGAGGAACTGTGTTCCTTTGGAGGAGGAGAGGCACTATGCATTTTACAGTTTCCAGTTTTTCTGTTCTGTTTTTTCCCCATCTTTGTGGTTTTATCTACTTTTGATCTTTGATGATGGTGATGTACAGATGGGTTTTTGGTGTGGATGTCCTTTCTGTTTGTTAGTTTTCCTTCTAACAGACAGGACCCTCAGCTGCAGGTCTGTTGGAATACCCTGCCGTGTGAGGTGTCAGTGTGCCCCTGCCGGGGGGTGCCTCCCAGTTAGGCTGCTCGGGGGTCAGGGGTCAGGGACCCACTTGAGGAGGCAGTCTGCCCGTTCTCAGATCTCCAACTGCATGCTGGGAGAACCACTGCTCTCTTCAAAGCTGTCAGACAGGGACATTTAAGTCTGCAGAGGTTACTGCTGTCTTTTTATTTGTCTGTGCCCTGCCCCCAGAGGTGGAGCCTACAAAGGCAGGCAGGCCTCCTTGAGCTGTGGTGGGCTCCACCCAGTTCTAGCTTCCCGGCTGCTTTGTTTACCCAAGCAAGCCTGGGCAATGGCGGGCGCCCCTCCCCCAGCCTTGCTGCGGCCTTGCAGTTTGATCTCAGACTGCTGTGCTAGCAATCAGCGAGACTCCGTGGGCGTAGGACCCTCCTAGCCAGGTGCAAGATATAATCTCGCGGTGCGCCGTTTTTTAAGCCGGTCCGAAAGCGCAATATTCGGGTGGGAGAGACCCGATTTTCCAGGTGCGTCCGTCACCCCTTTCTTTGACTCGGAAAGGGAACTCCCTGACCCCTTGCGCTTCCCAAGTGAGACAATGCCTCGCCCTGCTTCGGCTCGTGCACGGTGCGCGCACCCACTGACCTGCGCCCACTGTCTGGCACTCCCTAGTGAGATGAACCCAGTACCTCAGATGGAAATGCAGAAATCACCCGTCTTCTGCGTCGCTCACGCTGGGAGCTGTAGACCGGAGCTGTTGCTATTCGGCCATCTTGGCTCCTCTCCTGGTAATCCTCTTATACATTTTTAAAAATTCTTAGTTCATTAGTTTTTAATCTTCCTTATTTTTAAAATAAATGTATTTATAATTTTTATTTTAAATATTGCTATAGCTGTAACTCACAAATTTTGTCATTTGGCTTTTTATTGTCTTTCAGATCTAAATTTTACTAATTTCCTTTCTGACTTAATTTTTACCTGTGATTTAGTAGTATTATTTTAATTATTGGACATATGGAATTTCAAAATTATCCTTTTGTAATTTATTTATGATATTATAGTATAACAATTAGATAACATAGTTTACATAATAAACGTTTTTTGCTTTTGCTGAGACTTTATTATTTGGCTGAATTTATAAACTTTCCAAGCACATTTAAAAAAAAATAACCTTTATTTAATCAGTGTAAAGCTTTGTTTATGTTTCAAATTGTCTATAATGTTTACATTTTTGTCTACTTCATTTTTTCAGTGTCTGTGATAAAAACATTAACATTTCCAGCTAAAGTTTTAATTTTATCTGCTGCATCATCATGTAAATTGTTGCTTTGTATATCCTGAAAATATGTTATTAGGTGCATATGTGTTCATGATTTATTACATATTCCTACTCTGTGAATTATTACTTATATCTCATAGTGTTCTTGTTTGTTTTTAAGTTCTGTTTTGCCTCATATGAAAGTTGAAGCTCTAGCATTCTGTTTTTCAGTATTTGTTTGGCATATCTGTTTATTTTCAATCATTTAGTTTCTTCTCAGTTCAAGTCTCTTATCTTCGACATTGCTGAATTTTTTATAAAACTATTATGGAAATATGTATCCTTGGAGTAATCTATTTTAATTATAAATAGCATCAGTACTTATTCCTACTATGTTATTTTTATATATCAATTGACGTATTTTTTCTCTTTCTTTTCTCTTAATTTTCCTCTCCCTTCTCCTTCTTTATTTTGATTCCCTTTATTAAGATTTTTTTTTTTTACTAGTTCAAAAGTTGGGTAATGTTTACTCTCATATATAAATTATAATTCAACTAGATATTCAAGTTGACTCAAGGTCTTTTCCTTCAAAACAAAAATTTTATGTCATTTTCTCCTCATACGTAGTGTAGCTATTTAGAATTTGATATTAATTTGATTCTTCACTATTTTAGAAAATTGTTTTAATATTCTGGAATTAATATTTTAAAAATTTATCTTTGAGTCTTGGGAGCTTTAAAAATTCTTTTTAATAGAGGTAGGGCTTGAAGAAATCTATCCTGTACTGAACTCTAGATCCTTTTGAATTTGAAGTGTCATAAATCTTTTCATTTTGTCAAATTATTGGTCACTATTCCCTCAAATACATTTTTTACTTCTACTTATGTCATTTGGGATTAATATTAAATATTGACCCTTCTACATATCTCTTCTACAAAACTTTTTATTTATTGTTCTTATTTGAACTTTCTTAATACCTCCAGTGATAATTCTTCACGTGGATCTTTGACCCACTAAATAACTTTGGCACTATATTCTGTAATTCAGCCTATCAATTTTTTTATTATAGTAATGGTGTTCTTATTACCAATAAATCCAAATAATTATGTTCCATATTTGCTTATTCCTGATTTGTTCATCTGTTATGCTCTCTATAATGTCTCTTTCTTTCTCTGTATAAATATTTAATAATACTTTTAATAATTATTGTTCTGTTTGCTTCATTTATTCTGCTGCCACTGCTATACATTGTTCAGTTTTTAGTATTTCTTTCCCTTTATTGATCTTTCTCAATATCTCATCATTTCCCCCTATGAACTAACATTTCCTTGAGACTCTCTGTTACTTTAGTCACCAATGTGTACCTAGAAGAAGGTTGACATCTGGACTCCTGCTTGTGATTTTCAAATTACCTATTAGTGATGAGGACAGCCTCTGGGGTTGCAATCCAGGCTTAACCATTTCCTATTTGCTGACCTCTCCTTCCTTTTGTAGGGACCCTTACCATTAGGGAATCTTCCAAGTGGTGACCCTGTGCTGTGTTGTCTAGTCTGAAGGCAGTGATCCTGTGCTGTGTTGCCTAGTCCATGGATTGGTCATGAAAGGGAGATGAAAAAACAATTAGAGGATCTTGGATCTGAGAATGTAAAACAGAGACAGAGGAAACATTCATGGAGTCAGATTCATCACAGTTCCAGTAGCAGTGGCAGGTGGCCAAGACTAGACCTGTGGTTTGCCTTTGGCTATGGCTATTATCCAGCGTGATCTGTCTATTATCTATCTATATTATCTATCTATCTATCTATCTATCTATCTGTCTATCTATGTAACCAATTTATTTGATTAAGAGACCCAGAGTATTTATCTTTTGCTAGCTCTGATAAATCCTGCTTAGAACACTATATGCTTTAACGTTTTAATGTAATAGCTTTAGACATTAACCAGAATATTCACTTCTGGGCCTGTCAGCTCGAAGAAACTTTTTATTTGCAATAAAAGATTAAAATGTAACATTATTGGTGTTGTAAGAGAAGAAAGACAACTGGATTTATGAATCTATTGCTGGCAAATTACTATTTTGAGTAATATATGAAAAACAGATTGGAAATGAGGTTTAGGGGCAAATGTTGCTTTGAAAGCAGGTGTCATGTATCACCCCCTGCCCCTAGTGAGAACAATTACTTGGTTTCCAGTGGAGCTTTTGCTTCCAAAGTGAAAGGAGAAATGTGGAAGACATTCCAGAGTTTAGCTGTTTATTTTATGTATTTATCCCTTAGTTGTCTTTCCTAATCATGGAGAAACCCCTGTCTGATTAATAAACAATTTCTGGCTCTGTTTCAGAATCTGGCTGCAGTGCATTTGCTATTTGATATTTGAGATATGTACAACATGTTCACAGTGAATTCTCCAACTGAAAACAGTAGAGTTCAAATAAAGTCAATTAATTCACAGAGTGAATGGATTGAAGCCCAGAATTGCATGTCTTGTAGAGGCCTTTTTGATTCACTTGCCAAAAGATATCTGTTTATAAATGCAGGAAGCATAACTATTTGGTACTTATGGCGGTTAAAACCTGATGTGATTTTTTTCTCCGTGTTATGGCTGATCTCAAATAATTGAACTATAGTTTACACATATTTCAAACATTTTTTCTTGTACCCTCTCCTGTAATATTTAGTCGTGTTCTTCCTGCTTTAACATATACATCTTCTCTTCCTAATTTTCTGTTTCATTCTCTCTCTCACTTCCACCTGCCTCCTTCATCCCTCTACCTGTTTCCTTTTGTCCTTCCAAATTCTTCTTCCTGTTTCCTTTTTTCCTTCCAAGTTCTTCTTCCAGTTCTTCTACTCTCCAAGTGTCCTTCTTTACCTTACCCTCTTCTTCCCTTTCCTTCTTCCTTCCCTCTCTCCAGACCTCATCAGTTGGGATCCCTGAAAGTGCTCACCTGCAGGTTCATGAAATAGGTTTCTCTGAGCACAGCAGAAGCCTCATTCTCCTTGCTCTTCTGTTCCCACAAATCCTCTCCTATAGCATGGTTGGGGGTGGCTCTTGGTAATATGTGCTCACTGAGGCCCTGGCAGTTACCTAACTTGTCTATATGCCTTGGCCCTGTACTAATAGCTGTTTGTTGTCTGTGTGTTTGATGGTGTGCTTATGTTGGTTTCCTCCTTTTTGCTCCAGGCCCATGCTATGTGTGAGTCCTGGCTTGACACTCAGCCTCCTTGGTTAGTGACCAGACATCCCCTTTTTGGCCGCATTTTTGAGTTTGGATGTTGTTCCTGACCCCCAAAAATGATAAACCAGGATCATATTCTGAAAGACGTAGTAACCAGATTCTGAATAATTCTTTACTTTGACTTCAAATATAGTACTCTCTCTGGAGATTCCTGTAGCTACCTCCCCAGCTATGATATTGCTTGATATTGATTCTTTCTTATATACCTGGGGCAGTCTCCACTTTATATTGTACCCAATATAAAGTACCTCTTGGGTACTTTATATTGAACGGTGGGATACTCTGCTTAGGAACTACCAAACACAGGTGTCAGTTGCCTTCTTTGTCAGCATAGCCCATTTTCCTCTTTCACACAATTGTTTTATTCATATTCCTTCCAGCCCTACATAGTTCTTTTTCCTTTAGAAGGAAAATGGATAAGAATTGGAAGCTGAAGTATAATTGACCAATTCATTATGGAAATATATTTTTTCTTTTGGCTTTTTGGCCAATCTCAATTTTTCCTAATTTTTTGTCCTTTTCTTTTCAGTGTTTCTTGCTAACATCTCTACTAAACCTTTAAACATTAGAGTTACTGAGACCTTGGTACTCTCTTCTCAGTTTCATTCAGTTTCTTTCACTGGTTTTAATGATTCCTACTGTTTCATAAGCCATCTTAATGGCAGTTTTGCCTAGAAATTTTCCCAGTACTTCTCATTTTGTTCATTCTGTATGCTTAATATTAATGGACCTGAGTTCCCAGATTAGTACAATTAATATCTTGTAAGTTATTGTGAGCTTTCAATAACAAGATTTGTCAAATTTCCCTGTAAAGCACAAAAACCTAAATAATAACAGCTAATACTGACAAACAGAAAACTGTATTTCAGGATCTTCTTTAAACATATTATATGCCTTTCTCAGTGTAAATTATCATAGCTTTCTATTGGCAGAAATTAGTATTCTACCATTTTATAGATGAGGTAACTGGTTCTAAAGAGTAATGTAATCACAGCACTGAAGAAACTGACTTTGTCTGATTCAAAAAAGAGAATTTATTAAAATAATTATCAGGTTGATTGGAGAATCAGGTTTGGCATTTGCTCGGCAAAACACTACCCAAAATCTACCTCAGAAAGCTGGGTTAGAGAGAAAGTTGTGATGCTGCCACCATAGAACTAACAATCATGGTGGATGCTGGAGGCCAACATTAAAGTTTGAACACTATCTTGCAATGGTAACTTCTACAGAAGAGGATTCTCCATGGCCTTACTTATTTGGATTATGAGCTTTCAGCTCAAAGCCCATGGTGGATGCTGCTGATCAGCAGATTCAAATGGCTGAGCCCTGTCTGTTGTGGAGGGTGCAAAAGCAGCATCGACTTCTTTTTTAAAATTTAATTTAATTTAATTTAAAGTTCTGGGATACATGTGCAGGATGTGCAGGTTTGTTACATAAGTAATCATGTGCCATGGTGGTTTGCTGCACCTATCAACCTATCACCTAGGTATTAAACCCCACATGCATTAGCTGTTTATCCTTAAGCAGCATCAACTTCTTTATCTTCTATGCTAAGAACTAGGCTCTGCCCCATTCAATATTTATAAGATGGGGAACACTCCAAACATAGGAAGGGGGATAGAAAAATAAGTCATGAAAGGAGTGTCAAGTGTCCTTTACCAGTAACTTAGCCAAAGTCATGATGCTGAGAGCTATCCAGTAAGCATTTGCTAAGACACAGGAATTCACATGCTGCCTCCAAGGCTAGAACTGGGAGCTAGTAATGAGAAATATTTAAGCAAAACCATGGAATTCTAAAATTCTAAAGTTGGAAGTCTCCTTAGAAGTAACTTTGATTGGAATTCCTTTTAGAGTCCCACCCCACCTGCTTCAAACACACTGTCTTGTTTAACGTCAAATCTGGCTATTTCTGTTCCTGCACACTTGTGTGGTGCTACCTGACTTTTACCCTTGCCACCTAATCTTGGCATCTGAGCTTCCGGTTTGGCATCTCTCTCCTAGATTTCTGAGTTTTGGCTCTGTGTTGCCTTTGGCTCATGTTACTGTTTCCTTGTAGATAGCTTTCTCTTTGGTTAGTAGACGTGCTGTTTATTTATCTATTTGTTTGTTTGTTTGTTTTTACTTGCTGAGGCAGAGCGTCCATGACGCTGCTTCTGTCTATGCTTGACTGCCAGTGATGGCTGGGTCTCGGCCCACCTTTATGTGTTTTCTGAACAAACAGAGTCTCCTGTTATCTCTCAGGCTCTTTCACATATATTATTTCATTTAATCCTTAGAACAAATCTGTGAGAGAGACACTATTATCGCCATGTTGCAGATAAAAACATTAAGGTTTAGAGAGATTAGTTTTCCCAAATTATGATGTCTTATAAATAGAAGATCTTGGATTTAAACTCAGCATTGCCTGACTTCTGAGGGTGCTCTTAGTCTGACATGTCATCCCACTGCATCTTCTAGTTACTTAATTTCACTGAATGCTATTTACAGTTAGTAAAGTTACTTCATTCTCTGAGGGCTCCCCTTGACTCTATTCCCTTCATCCATTACCTGGTATGTTTCTGTTTTCAGCTCCTTATGTTCTGACACATGTTCATATCTGAGAGATAAACATTTATTCTTCATCTTCATTCTGGATAGTAACTGATGAAATAGATTCTTTTCCCACAAGCTGAGTTTTAAGTGTAAAGTGTAACTTTTGCTTGGTTAATAAAAGCTCCAATGCATTCATTCTCATGCTATTATTAATAAGTTAATCATAAAATATGTATACAACACTATGTCACAGACATAGTTGCTTTTTCTTTTAAAAGACAGGGTCTCCGTCACCCAGGCCAGAGTGCAGTGGCATGATCATAGTTCACTGCAGCCTCAACCTCCTGGGGTGAAGTGATCCTCCTGCCTTAGCTTCCTGATATGATTTGGCTGTGTCCCCACCCAAATCTCATCTTGAACTGTAGCTCCCATAATCCCCATAAGTCATGGGAGGGACCCAGTGGGAGGTAATTGAATCATAGGGGTGGGTTTTTCCCATGCTGTTCTCATCATAGTGAATATGTCTCATGAGATCTGATGGTTTTATAAATGGCAGTTCCCCTGAACATACTTTCTTGCCTGATGCCCCATAAGGCATGCCTTTGCTCCTCCTTCACCTTCTGCCATGATTGTGAGGCCTTTCTCCCCAGCCTTGTGGAACTGTGAGTCCATTAAACCCCTTTTTCTTTACAAATTACCCAGTCTTAGATATTTCTTCATAGCAGTATGAGAACAGATTAATATACTTCCCAAGTAGCTAGAACTATAAGTGCATGCCACCATGCCCAGCTAATTGTCTAATAAGTTAATTAAAAATGTTTTTATAGAGATGGGGTCTTTTCATGTTTCCCATGTTGGTCTTGAACTCCTGGCCTCAAGCAATCCTCCTGCCTTGGCCTCCCAAAGCTTTGAGATTACAGGTGTGAGCCACCACACCTGCCCTTTTTAAATTTTTATTTTTATAATATTTAATTTCTTTAGTTTTATTATCTACACTTTACATTTAAAAAACTGAAGTCCAGAGAAATGATGCCTTTGCTTAAGGTCACGTAGCTAGGATCTAATAATGCTAGTTTTCTCTTGAAAAGATTTTTGGTAGCATATGGATAAAAACACAAAGGATGGAGGATCAGAAATATGTGTTAAGCTCATATCTACACCCAGGAACCTAATACTTGCCTCAGAATGAGAGTTTACCAGAATAGAAGAGCATGACTACCACCCCAAACTGCTAGGCTAAAAAACACTAAGTAACAAGTGACATGTAAGAGATAGACTCTATATAAGGTGCAGCATATGGAGAAAATCAAAATTTGAGGGTGAGGTAGACATTGAAAAGCAAACCTTCTGACAAACCAGCCCCCACCTTAAAACAAACAAGATAACCAAAACAAAACAATTTCTCACCCCAAAAGAAAACACCTTGGCATATCATATTCAAACTGCTGAAAACAAAGGAAAATGGGAAAATACTGAAGTTAGTCAGAGAAAAATAGTCATGTTACATAGGGAGGAACAAAAAATAAGAATTATGGCAGAGCATTCAAGACCCATGTACACTGGACGATAATGGAATAACATCTTTAAGTGCTGAGAGGAAACACAAGAGGACTTCCATAATCCACCGTGGTGGAGTAACTGAGAGTAGATTTGCTTTTCCACAAAAAACAAGGAGGGAACTGGACAAAATACATGACATAATTTTTCACACATTGGACAACAGGTATTGCAGGATGGTAATCTCTGAGAGAAGGGGAACAATAAGGTGAGTTCTATCATTGTTCTGGAAGAACGTTCAGGACTGCAGTGCAGGGAGAAGGCTCCCACACAGAGCATGGCATTCTCACTGAGTTGGAGATACATGGCTATGAGTTTGGGAAGGTAGGAGTAGCAGAAATTTGCTAGTCGTTTGGAGAGAGCTATGTACAGAAAAGTTCCAGAAAACTGCATGCAGGTACCCTTGAGACTTTGGCTGTATTATAATCTATTCAGGAATAGAGTACTGTTTCACAATGTTGACCAAAATCAAACACTATTAAAATGTGATTTAAACAATCCCAAGATCTCACACTGGACTGGGAGATGTTTGAATGATGTTTGGCTAGAGTAGAAAGACTTTGCTGAATACACTACAATTATCACTAGAGACCGAGACCTCAGAAGGCTAATAGAATAACAGTAATAGTAAGAGGTACATTATCCCTAGCAATATTTAAAATAAGATTTGAAAGAATTAAAGTGATTTTCAATAACTACTTTAAGCCAAAACAGCCTTCAAATCTATAAAAAGATAATACCAAAATCCAAACATTCAGTAATCCAGAATCCAATACAAAATATTCTAGGCATGCAATGAAAGAGCAAGTTTTGGTAATCAGAAGAAAAATTAGTCAATAGGAACAGAACCAGAAATGACAGACATGAATCTTAAAACAGCTTTTATTATTAAATTGTTAAATGTTAAAATATGCTCAAGGACTTAAAAATATGAATAACATGAAGAAATGGATGATAGACATAAAAATAATGAAATAAAACATCAAGAGTTGAAAAGGTAATGTCTGAAATAAAGAAATTTATGAAATGGAATTAAAGAGTAAATTGGAAAATGTAGAAGGAAGGTGAACAAACTTGAAGTATTCAAGTGGAACTGCAGGGAGGAAAAAGGTTAACTAATGAACAGAGATAGACTTCCACTGCTTATCAAGGTGTTATAACAGGGACTAGATTTACTCTCTCACCTAGAACAAACCAGAAAGAAAGAAACAAACAAAAAACCTTCAAAATAAAAAGAAAAAATCCCAAGGATTTTTAAGAAAGACAGGAAGCAAATTAAGTGAACCTCATTATTGTTGCATCTAACTGCCTTGAGAGAGTTTCCAGGCCATTGCATAGGGAACAGGAATCCTCACGGAGCCTGTTGGATCCCTTGAGTTGAGGAGATGGAGCTTAGAGTCTAGGGATATAAAGGTACCTGGAATTTGCTGGTCAGAGAGGAGAGAGAGGAGAGAGCTGCACAGAGAGCAAACTCCAGAGATTTGCAGAAGATTCCTCTTGAGTATTCAACATAGTATGCAACTAATGTTCATAGGGCATCTACCTGAGGTTAGGGGGAACTATACCCAAAAGGATAGAAGGAATAGTGCCTTGCACTCACATAGGACTGAAGAAAGTGACTATTTCTGCCAGTCAGACTGGAAAAATCTCATGATTCACTGGAAATTAGGTAAATTATCCAAAGAATTTGACTCAGTGGTGGGGAATGAACAGCCCCATCCTGAGCACTGTTCCAATCCCACCTAACAAATCTCAAAGGCCAGGTCTGAAAGGATCAAATTGTTTCCAATGACTGTAACTGCATCCAAGAAGAAAACTCATGATTGTTGATAGAAATACAAAAAATATCCAACACAAAACAAGGTAAAATTCACAATATTTGGTTTTAAATTTTAAAATATCAGGCATGAAATGAACAAGAAAAAGATGGCCCATAATGACGCAAAGAAAATCAATCAGTTGATATGACCTAGAATTAACAAAGGTGTAGAATTAGCAGGCAAATGTATTAATACAGTTTTAAATATATTTCATACATTCAAAATGTTAAGCAGAGACATGGAAGAAATAAAAAAGCCCAAATCAAACTATTAGAGATGCAAACTATAATGTGTGATATGAAAAATACATTTGAGAGGATTAATGGTAGATGAGACATTGCAGAACAAAAGGTTAGTGAACTTGAAGATGTAGCAATAGAAGCTAGAAAAAATGAAACATAGGGAGAAAAAATAGTTTTTAAAAATGAAAAAAAAAATAAGCATGGAACAACTGCAAGTAGCCTAACATAGATATAGTTGGAGTCCTTGAAGACTAACAGAGGAGAAGGACAGACAAAATATGATTGCATTTGATTATATTTGAAGATATAATCACCAAAATGGTTTCAATTTGATGAATATTATAAACACACAGAATCAAGAAGATCGATGGATATCAAGTACAAAAAATATGAAGAAAATTACTCCAAGATATATTATAATCAAATTGCTCAAAACCAGTGATAAAGAGAAACATTTAAAGCAATCAGATAAAAAACATATATATAGAGGAAAAAAGTTAAAGATGACAGCATATTGCTCATTAGAGACACTGCAAGTGAGAAGACAGGAAAACAGCATCTTTAAAGTTTTATAAGAAGCCATTTCTCTCAAAAATGATCTAGAGATTCAACTTAATACTGACCAAAATATCATCAGGCTTTTTAAAATAGAGAAATTGATAATAAGATTCTAGTATTTACAAGAAAATACAAAGGGGCCTAGAACAGCCAAAACAATTTTGAAAAAAAAATGTTGGAAGATACACAATCCTTATGTCAAGACTAATTATGAAGCTTCAGTGATCTAGACAGTGTGATATTCTTGTAAGGAGAGCAATTACATCAGTGAAACAGAGTAGAGAGTCCAGGAATAGATGTACCCTTTATATTAATTCATTTGTAACAAAAGTTGTAAAGCAATCAATTGGAGAAATGAGAGTCATTTCTGCAAAACCTGCTGGAGGATGTTGTGGGAGAAACAACAGCTTTGACTCTTACCTAACACACTACACAAAAATTAACTGAAAGTAGACCATAGACCTAAATGTAGCAGTTAAAACTTTAAAACTTCCAGAAGAAAATGTAGAAGACATTTTTGCAAATTTGAGGTGGAAAATATTTTTAAATTAGGACTCAAAAAGTTTAAAACCATAAAAGAAAAAAGACATAATCTTTATCAAAATTAAAAACCAGTGCTCTTTGAAGACACCTAAGAAAATGAAAAGGCAAGTAAAAGTTGGGAAAAGTATTAATAATAAATATGTCCAGTAAAGGACTTGCATGCAAAACACATAATGAACTTCTACAATAATAGAGAGACAGACAACTCAAAAATAGGCAAAAGTTTTAAGTGTACATGAAGCGTTCATCAAGAAAGATATATAAATGCCAACAAGAATAAACAAAGATGATCAACATCATTAATCACCAGGAAAATACAATTTAAAATCAAAACAAGATACTACTACATATTCATTAGAATGCCTAACATTTAAAAGACTGCAAAACCATGTGTTGGTAAGAATTTGGAACTGAATATCTTATACATTGCTGATATATATGTAAAAAGTAACAACTACTTTGAAAAACAGTTTGGCAGCTTCTTATGAAATTGAACATGTACTAACCACAGATCCCAGCATTTCCACTTCCAATTATTTAACCAAAAGAAATAAAAAAATGAAAACACATGTCCTCACACATTGTGTAAGGAAATGTTCATTGCAGGTCTAATGATAATTGTTCCCAGGTAGAAACAACCCAAATTCCCTTCAATGCGAGATTGAATAAACAATTTTTTGATATATTCACTGAATAAACATTTTTTTTGTTTTCTGAGACAGTGTCTTGCTCTGTCGCCCAGGTTGGAGTGCAGTGGCGCAATCTCAGCTCACTGCAAGCTCCGCCTCCCGGGTTCACGCCATTCTCCTGCCCCAGCCTCCCAACTAGCTGGGACTACAGGTGCCCGCCACCACACCTGGCTGATTTTTTGTATTTTTAGTAGAGACGGGGTTTCACCGTGTTAGCCAGGATGGTCTCGATCCCCTGACCTTGTGATCTGCCTGCCTCAGCCTCCCAAAGTGCTGGGATTACAGGTGTGAGCCACCGCGCCTGGCTGGAATAAACAATTTTTTGACATAGTCACACAATGGAACACTACCCAGCAATTATTAATAAAAGGATGAAATACTTTTAAGTGCATTATATGAATGAATCTCAAAAATATTATTCTAAGTGAAAAAAGCCAGACACAAAAGAGTATATGTCGAATATTTCATTTACACAAAATTCCAGAAAAGTCAAATTAATCTATAGTGGTAGAAATAAGATCAGTAGTTGCCAAAGACAAAGGGAGGGTGGAATTGACTATTAAAAGGAATGAGGGCACATTTTTGAGGGATACATTATATTTCTTCATTACTACAATGGCTATCTGAGGTATACATATGTCAAACCTCATCAAACTGTACACTTATGGATGCATATTATTATATATAAATTACATATCAGTAAAATTGATTAGTAAAGATACAGTTAAGATAGACATTTAGGGATATTTCAGAACTGAATATGTTTGAGTGAAGTAGCAGAAATTGATACTTCTGGATATCTGAGCTCAACAAATATAACACCTGTGCAATATATTTGAATTTGTTTAGCAGCTTAGTAAAAAATCAAAGCACATTAGATTGCTATCTAATAAAGCAAATACATTCAGAAACTAAATTATGCTAAAATTTATTATTTGAGTCCTTAGACAAAGAAGATTTAATAACATAAACACCAAAACTATCAACATCAGTTTTGCAACCAATATAAAATATGGACCAGTTTTTAGATGATGCTGAATTATAGGATATGAGATTTTGGAATTTATTTGCTGGCATGAGGTTCTATGAAGTAATTTTTGGGGAGCAGGAAATATTATATAATATTACAAGGTGAAAATACGTTGCATGATTTGCAATAGAAGTGGTACCCATTGTTGATAAGGAAAGTAACAAATCTTGTGTAAGGTGGATGAAGGAAGAAAGAACAGTGTAGATTCCTATGTAATGTCACTCGTGATAGGTATTAAATGCTGGAACCAGAACACAGGTGGTGGAAATGAAGTAGCCTGGATATATCCCGAACCTAATGTCGAGATAAAATCTTTAATGGCAAAAACAGCAATTACTTTTGCACCAACCTAACGGAATGAAATTTCTTGTTGGCTGTTAATACAGCATGGATGAGTCTCTCAATTGGAAGGCAACAAGCTAAGTAAGCTAAGTTTCCAGGTTCCTTTTCTTGTAAGATTCTCTAATTCTGTGCAGGCAGCCAACATGGGAATAAGCAATTACCTTTGGACCTTTCACACTGAGCATAGAGATTTTTGCCCAACCTTTGAAGTTTAGCTTAGCAAAGTTGTAACAATCATGTGAAAGATGTTTGGTGGGTATTTGAATAGTTGCTGGGATCTCAGACACAAGTGTGTCATTAAGGAATTCACAGCTTAATAGGGACAACAGACTCTAAAAGATTTGAATATGTTGTCACATGTACTAAACCTGAGGGCTCTGAGAGTACAGGGGAAGCCTCCTAACTTGAACTGGTGGTGAAAACTAATTCAAAGAAGGCTTCCAAGAGGTAAGTCTTCCTGGTGAAGAAAATGAGAAGGGTGCCTCATGGGAGTCATCTTCACATTGGGAGGGATTAGTTAGAACCCTGGAAGACGCACATAGAAATAGTTAATTAACATGATCATTTTTTAGTCTCTATCCTTCTCAACTTGACTTCATAAGAGCACTGGTGTTTTGAGAGGTGTTCATAGGTATTGCGTTCTAAAAAGAAAGCAAAATAAAACCACACTCGAACACAGGGGTTAAACACAAGATTGAACAAAATAAAAACCTTTTTATTACAGACTTTCTCAGAGCATTTGATTTACTAATGGGAAATATTAGATGAATATAATTAATATATGCATCATATGAATATAATTACATGTATTAGATGAATATAAATACAGCGTATAGCAGTTTCCAGACTTATGTGACCACAGAACACTTTTTTTTTTTTTTTTTTTTGGTAGAATCCCTGTGAATACCTCAACTGTGTGTTCTGGGAAGTTTAGAAAACATTATATCCTATTCATTTCTTAACTTTCTCTGTTGGCATCTGTCAAGGATATTGAAAAGATATGTTCATGTTCAACTTTTCCTGGTTCTCATTTGGACTCTTTCTCAGATGACCAAAATCTCATGCTAAATTGATTTCAGACTCCGATAGGAGAAAATCTATCATTTCCCCCAGTATTGCAGCAATCACACCACAGCCTGGAGCTGATTAGTCTGCTCAGTGCCACAGCCTCAGCCAGGCCAGGCCAGGGGCTGGGAGCTTTCCAAGCTGACCATCACTCCCAGATCAAATTCATCTCCTCCGAGCTCAGCCTGCTCCCATGCTCAAAATCTCAAGAATCTACCCATGTAGCGTTCCTTCCCTTTCTCTTTGGAACCATGGAGCTCCACTGGAAAGGAACCTGGGTACCTGACACCTTGGAAGGGTCCTGACATTTGTTCCTTTCCAACTGAAAGTCTTCCTTGAGGGGTGGAGCAAACTGAAGGCCCCCGCTAGCCCCACGTATTGCCCAAAGACTCTCTGAGGCTCTGTGCTGCTTACTTCCTACCAGGCAGAGATTACTAGCCTCCTCAGCAGATGAAAAAACGAAAGCTCAGAGCGGTAAGATCATTTGTCCAAGGTCTCAGAGTGGCGGAACTGGCAGTGGACACGACTAAGATGACCCCAAGAGCCTGCACTGTCAGTCGTCACCCCGTATTGTCTCTTGGTGCCAAACCTGCATGACATCCCAGTGCTAGTTTTGAGAGAGAACCCTCTTCCCTCTTCCCATTTGCATGCCTCACACTGTAGTTTAGAATGCCTTCTTTCTTTTGCTTTGATTCCCCCCCCAACCCTTTCTGGAAAGGATAATCTCCAAGAAATTCCCTTAGGATATCTCACGTCATTCCTAGTCTAAATTCTTCGAAGTGAAGAAGCGTTTTGAGATTCGGTGATTATTTTCAGCATCACATTAGGATGTGCCCTCCAAATTTAGTGTGTGAGACTAATGTCCCCAAGTGTGCATTCTGAACATTGTTATAGCATGCCCCTGTGTACACCCTGTGAACATTCCCGACAGTATCCTCTTGCAATCCCCACATACTAGCTTTCAGATATTCCAAAATGTAACCAAAATGAATTGCTTAATTGGATGGATATTAGTATTTTTCACTTGATAAAAACCATGTCTGCAAAGCACCTTAGTGTGTTGTTGTAACTTAGTTTATTATTATTGCTGATAAGGATAATAAACATTTCTGATGGTAAAAATGAACACATTCTTCATGTACTTCTAGGTCAGAAACCTCTGCTATTAATCAGATCCTTCTGAGTAGTTTCATATCTAGTTTTGATCCCTATGCCATATCCTTAGAGAAAAAACATGTACTTTTAATTTGGTCATGAAAGTTACTGTTTGAATAGATTTTTTAAGACTTTAGGCATTCTGGTTATTTAAATTGACTCAGACAGTATAAACTAGACTCCCTGACATTCCTGGGCCTTCAAGACTCAATGGCTTCTGGTAAGCAGCCACTCAGGCCTCCAGTTGGCCTTAACTAAGTCAGCCCCAACACACCAGTTCCTTAGAATTACATGCAAGGTCATAGGATTTCAATTAAAAAAATACTTTAACACGAGGCCAGAATACCTATGGCTGTAACCTGCTCTTGAATAAACTTTCTCCCTGTCATTTTTTTGTGTGTGTGAAATACTTTACTCTTTTTATAGATCTTGGTCTTTTGCAATCATACAGGATTCTATTTGTTGAGTACCTTCTTTGCATTGGAAATTTGAATTTCTTTTTACCCTTACAGTATACCTATAAGGCAAATATCATCAACTTCATTTTACAGATGAACAATAAGTTACTAGTGAACTGGTGATGAAAATTAAAGAAGGCTTTTGAACATGAATATACCTTTTCAATATCCTTGACAGATGCCAACAGAAAAAGTTAAGAAATGAATAGGATACAATGTTTTCTAAACTGTTCCCATAACACATAGTTGGGTATTTGCAGGGACTTATTATTCAGTTAGAACAATAAGTGACTTATTGATTAACTGCTTCTAAATGATATAAATAGGGTTTAAACTAGTATTTATCATGTATACACAATAAAGATTTATTGTTAACATAAATTGAGCATTTATCATATTCTAATCACTGTTCCATTAGATTGAACCACATAAAATTGCTGCTCTTTCACCTATCAAATGGCAATTTCATGTGGTTTAACCTAATAGTTGTCTCATTTGATTTCAACAATAGCCTTAGATGCAACTGTTTTTAATGTCATTTGTAGAAGAGGAAATGGAAGCTCAGCAAGATTAAATAATGTGCACAGAATTAAGCAGTCAATAAGGGGGACTTCTCCCCCAACCTCAAACCAAGCAATTCTTCTTCACCATGAAGTGGTGACTCTGATGAAGTGATGTGACACTTTTATTGTCTCCAGTGATGGTAATTTTGAGTTTATTAGTTCAGTCACTTCATTCAGTATACTGAGCACATACTGTAGATGTGAATCATATGTATTCAGCCTTTGAAAGAACAGAAAGGTGGAAAATCAAGCTAGTTAGCCAGAGTTGGGTTTTACAAAAACAGTGAAACAAAACCATCTGAAACTGATTTTTTTTTCATTATCTATGCAGGTAGGTCTTGAAGATTGTTTCTTAAGTTCTCAGAGGTTGGTTATTACTGGAAAAAATTAAGTGTTGATTTCTAAAGTAACTGGACCCTTTGGATAGTGTAGGTTCTTGTGTGTTTGTTCAGTCGTTACTTTCATTGTACCCTCTGCCTGGGATGCTTTGTTCCTAATCACAAGATCTTTTAAGTCTTACCTCTGCGGTCACTCTTTCTGTAGGGATCCTTCATTATTTTCCCTCTGTAAATGAACTGTCCCTCATTTTGGCTCTCATTGCAGTTGTTTTCACTTTTCGTATGTCACCAGTCTCCTTTCCTAAATTATGTTTTATTATCCATTCATCTATTCACCCATCCATCCATCCATTCACCCATCCATCCATCCATCATACTACACATCTATAAATTTCTAGTCAGTGTTAGGGGCCCTGAAGTTGTAGGGGTGAAATGATACAGTTTCCACCCTCAGAGGCTTAATGGGGAGACAGAGAAACAAACAGAACATTTCAGTCAACTATAGGTCTCCTTATTCCAGCTCTAACTCATCTGAAAATGCACTCCTATCAGTGACAGTTGCTCATGATGGCTGTGATTCTGGTGGATGATAAAGATTGGTGGGGAGATAAAAGAGAGAAAGGAAGAAATATGCTCCCTGTGCTCCAGAATGGGGTTGGGAAACACATGATGCATGTCTCTCCAGCCCACTCCAGCCTCCTGAGCTGAGGATCAGCAAGACAGATTATGCAGTGCGTCTTTGCAACAGAGAGGAGGTCTGCTCATCCCACATTTGGAGCACCCGTGGGTGGAGCAGGGAAGATTTCTGGGAAACAGTGTTTGAATTGAATCATGAAAATGAGTAGGAGTCTGCTACATGGGTAAGGGAGGGAAGAAAAGTCAGTAGAGAAGGTAGGCAGTGCTTGCAAAGGCCTGAGGTAAGAGATAGCATGCTGTGTGTCCACGCACGTGTGTGTATGTGTGTGTGTGTGTCTATAAGAAGTCTGCTATGGCTACTTTAAGATGAAAAGTGGAATTTGGCAGGAATTGAGTGGTCAAGAGCAAGCAGTGAGATAATGACATTTTTCAAAAAGATAGCAGTTTGGAGAATGGGGAACGCATATCTTACATCCATCATTAGACTGTGATCTGCTTGAGGGTGGAGATTTTAACCCTGCTTATATCCTGGTATGCCAAGCTCCTAGAATATCACTCCACACGCTTTGGAATTGCACTATAGCCTGGATATCACATTTCTTTCATTCTGAGGTGGCTGGCTTGAGGAGAATGAATGTCAGGAGAATATTGCTAGTTTTTAGGGGAGACACAGGGGAAAGAGAGGCACTGGGATATGAGTGAGAGGAGTCTTTGAAAGAAAAATGAGGCTTAAATCCATTATCACCAGCATTAAAATACAGCATTTCTTCTCTGAATAGTATTTGTTCCTGTTTACTTTCTTCCTTGTGGCATTGAGCTGGGCTGCATTTGCCATTTAGGCATAATTACTATTTTATTATTATTTTTTTTCACAGTTAAGTGGAGCATTTGAGCACAGCTGAATTGCTGGGAGCCTCGGTGGAAGAAATCTATTAGTGATACGGCTTGAAACAATACACAAAAGGCCGCTGCGTGTGGTCTGCCCTCCACGCTTTCAACTTCCTTATGTGGAACAATAAATCTCCGAGTCAGCTAGAACGCAGAGACTCCCATCCAACGAGAGCCGCATTTTTATCTTTTATTCATTGGCAGGAACATTAGCTGTAGGAGGTATTCAAATCACACTTTTATTTAAACAAACACAGCTGGATCGCAGCCTCTTAATATAGCAATTCTCTAATGAAAAATAACAACATAGTATTTATCTCTTTTCTTTTGTGTGACTCTCAATTTGCTAAAATTAGGCAGACTTCAATCCCATACAAAATTGGCATGTTTTCATGACCAGAGCTCATCGCAACTAACTGCAAAATTATAATGGGGATGTAATTATAGGAGGGCATGTGAAATACACATCCTTTTGCTGCTGTAAGCTATATGGGGTTATACAATTATGTTATAATAACATCATTTATCTTAAAGGAGTCAGACAGCTGACTTCATTTATTTAACTTGAGCACTCCAATTATGTGCTGTGTCAGTTTAACATAAATGTCTTGCCCAAAGAACATGGTGTAATAATAATGGTAATAGCAATAATAATAATAGCACACATTTGTATAGGGCTCTACAGAGCACAAAGGGTTTTTACAATTGCTGTCTTGCTGGAGTCTCCTAACAGTCTGTAAGGCAGGCATCGATGCCTGTAATCTTGTGCCCCATTTATTGTTGAGAAAACTGAGGTTCAGAGAAGTGAAGTGATGTTGACAAACCTGTACACTTATTAATAGTAAGTGGAGAGGTAAGAACTTTAAAGTCAAGTTTACTGACTTCGCAGCTGAGGACTATTCACCAGTAGTACCACATTTTGGACAGTGTGACATGTTTGTTCTCATCTCTTATTTCATTTTATCTCACAGTGATCTTTTAAGGCAGGTAGAACAGTCTAGGGTAGTGGGAATCGCAGGTACTAATTCTGTGAGCCTGGACAAATTAAATTATTAGACCCCAGATTTCTTGTCAGAAAAAATAGGGATAATAATACACACGGAGCAGGACTGTTATAAGAATTAATTAATATAATGCTTGTGAAGTGCCTGAACATAGGTGCTCAGAAAATGAATTCATTCCCTCTTCCTGTAGGACAAGAAAAAAATTCCGCTTTGCACATAACATAATTGCTGTGCCTTTTGCTTAACTGACTTACCCAACTCGCCAAGCTGGCGTCAGGGCAGTCACCAACCAAAATTCATGTCTTGTTATTTCAAATTTGCTTGTCATTACTTTTACACATCTTATAATGCCTTCAAATGTTCACTGTTATTTTCAGTTCTTTCTCAATTCTTTACAAAATTCATTTGCTTAAATACCCAAAAGTAGAATAAAATACTTGAACTGAAATCTTAGCACTCTTTGCCTGAAGGTGAGAGACCACAGGTGTAATGGACGAGCAGGATGTGGAGTCAGGAAGCCCGCGTTGGGCCCCCGGCAGTGGCAGTTACTAAGCTATGTGAATTTAGGCCAATCCTCTGACTTAGCTCATCTATAAATGTTATTTCAATCCGAACTTCCTGAGAGGAAGCCTAAAGTACATAATGTTTCTGAGAGAGAAGAAAAAGCTTGTAAAATAATCGACTTAGCTTACCCCATGCTAGTACATTGCTAGAAAGACACTGTCTCATTTAACCTTTATGTCAACTCTGTCGGATATTTTTCCCTGTTTTACAGATGAGGAAATGAATATTAAAAGATTGTCAAAGAGTTATAACATTTATATTTGGTTATTATATTTGTGGTTTGTGGGACTTAATTTTCAAGTTTCTTGACTAAGTAGTTAAATGGGGAAGATGGGTGGGGTCTAGTTGGATGCCTCCAATTTATACAGTTTTGTTTATAAATACAAAGTTTTATAAATGTCACAATTTTCATGATTCCTAGAGGAATGACCAAAAATATAGTTTCCGTAACATCAGTGTTTCAAACTGAGCCAGCAAGGATAAAGTTCCATAACTTAGGAAAATTTTACTTAGTGAAGTCATTTAAGTGTCTGAATTTCAGCTTCAGCCTAGGGGCCTAGGTATTTTGCAAGTGGGTTGGTGCAGGTTCAGAAAGCCAAAATGACTCAGCCAGGAAGGAATATAACAAGATTTTATGTCTGTGTGAATGTGCTCTTTTTATTCCTTCCTTCTTTCTCTGTCTCGTTTTCCCTACTTATCCGTTTATATATTTAATTTGCTAAGATTTGAGTTTTTAAAAAGTCCTATACTTTTACTGCTTTCTTGGAGCTTGCGGTGTATTGGGGGAACATTCTAGTGAGAAACCATTACAGTACAGTGAGATTACAGTGAGGCAGGTGCTACACTAAAGATGAGGGCTAGCTTTAATTTTGGCAAACCAATTGATTTGACATTATCAATTCTGCTTAGAGGATGGCGTCAAGGAGTCTTCACAGATGAGGAGTCTCTTGAGCCGATTTTTTTTGCCAGATGCTTTTAATTTTAAGTAACAGAAAATTTATGTAAACAATATATAAATTTATATAAACAATATATAAAGAGGGGCTTTTATTGTAGAGATTCTGGGGTATTAACATCAAGAATGGCAACATGGCTGGACCTAAGGAAAATCTGGGTCCATTTATTTGAACATTAACATTTGATTTCTCTCCATTTCTCATCTCTGTTTCACTCAGTGCAGATGGTCTCCTCTGTCTCTTGGTCACTTTGACAGGAGGTATTGTCACTGACACTTCTAAAGCTTTATATCTCATAGCCTCAGACACTAAAAGAGGCTGCTTCGATGAACTGTCCACTTTTCAAAGTTCTAAGGCCAAATTTCCTGGGGAAAGGATTCACTGGGTCTCTCTGAGACCAATCAGTCAGAAGTAGCGGTGGGGCAGGCTTACTTAGAAATGGGCAGCTTCCACAGGAGCTTCATCAAAGGAGTGGAAAGGTGGCAACTCCTCAAAGAGGGGACGATTAGACTCACAGACAAGTGGTTCTCAAGGTATAGTCCCTGAGCCCCTGAAGATCTCAAGGCCATTTTAGGGGGTTCATGAGGTCAAAACACTTTTCTTAATAAACCTAAGCTATTATTTTCTTTTTTTCACTCTGTTACCATTTGTATTGATGGTGCAAAAACAATGGTAAGTAAAACTACAGGTGCCAGAGCATGATAAGCAGTACCAAATTATGTAAGTAGTCATTGTATTCTTTAACACCGTGTACTCACAGTAAACAATGCCAGTTCTCTTTAAGAATTCTCTCGAATAATCAGTAAAAAATATTACTTTTATTAAATGTCAACCCTGTATAACACCTTTTTAACATCTGTGGGGCAAAGTAGTTGTGCCATGAAGGTTTTTTGCTCATACTAAAGTACAAAGGCTGCCTTGAAGAAAAGTAGTTGTGTAATTTAGTTGCAAGCTGAACTAGCTGCCTTTTTTCACAGAAAAATCTTTTTATTTGGAAGAATGACATAGAAAAACTATGGCTGTTCAGATCTGGGTGTTAGGCAGACATATTCCTAAAGAAAGTATATTAATTTAAGGAAAACAACTAACACTATTTGTTGGCCATGATAAAATTTGAGCTTTCACACAAAAATCATAATTTTGGAATCTGCCACTGGGAATTTGATGGTTTCCTAATACTTAAAGCCTTTACTGAAAAGATTTGTGGTGACAGTGAAAAATGTAATTTTTTTGATATTGTGTGGTCAATGTATCAATTTTTGGATGATCTACATGGCTCAGTAAATGGGTGTTTTTCAAATGACCCACACATGATGCTATAGAGATCACACATAAATAAAAGGCTCATTTAAGGTTGACCAATGGGTTTTAATGTAACACAATACAAAAAGTTCATCAGTATAGTTTCAGACTCCATATTGCAGCTAATAAGAGGTTATCACTTGTTGAATTTTTGTGCAGATTGAATTAATACCCACAGATTATTCCAAATTTTCTTCATATACTTCAACCAAACCAACATAGCAATACAGATTGAATGTAGATGCAGATATTAAAATCTGTATCCTATGAAACCAAACGTTAGAGAAATTTGCAAAAATGTAAAGCAATGCCAGTTTTTCATGAATTTTTTGAAAATATATTTTTAAATGAAAAATTTTTATATATTTTAGCACATATTACTGTTATTTGAAAATGAATTTCATGTAAATAGTAAAAATTGTTCTCATTTTAAATTTCTACACGGTAAATATTAATAGATATAAATAACATGAGCAAGTCATCTTGCAGTCCCCAATAATATTTAAGAGTAGACTCTGACTCTGAGACCAAAACATTTGAGAACTCCTGCCTTAGATACCCTCCACAGTCTTTAAATATGAACAAAGGCAAGCCAGGTGGGTAAGAGATGGAAGAGCATTCCAGTGAAAAGACAGGAGGCATGAGGCAGTGTGACTTCAGGAGTTTAAGAAGAGATGCAAACGGGAAATGGAGTATGTGGAGTAGATCATGGGGAGATAAAGTTGAAACAAAAAAATTCAGTGCCAGGTTATCTGGAGCCATACAAAGGTTTTAAGTAAGAAATGATGTAATTGGCTTTGGGTTTGGACATGGCATTTTGTTGTCAGTGTGGAAGACAGGTAGGCAATGTGGGTGGAGTGAGGGCTGGATAAAACTAGAGACAGGGAAACAAGTGAGGAGGCTTCTGTCAATAGGCACAGAAAATAAGAGAGACTGAATTAAGGCAATGGTGGTAGGGATGAAAAGGAAGATGCACGTTGTGCAGAATTTTAGGAAACAATTGAAAATAATGCCATCTGGATGGAGGCTATACAGAGTAGATTTAATAGCTGGACCCCTGTAGGAAGTGAGCGATTATAGTAGTTACTATCTCTGGGATTCTTTATTTTAATAAATTAATAATTACTTTAAGAGAGTCAAGTCTAACTCTAAGTCCCAGGCTCCCAAAGTTTACGTTTGCAAAGTGGATGTATTACTTAAGACTAGGTTTAGCTGTGTATAATATTCATAGGAAACACCAAACAATCAATAGTGACTCAAACAAGAGAGGAGTTTGCCCCTCATGCAAAAGATGTTCAGGGCCATTTTCTGCTTTACCACCATCAGTATATTGCTTTCATTCTCAAGGTCACCTCATTGTCCAAGATGGCAGTTGGAACATTACATCATTGTTCCAGGCTGGCAACAGGAAGGAGGAGGATAGGACAAAAGGGCCCAGTTTCCAGTCAAGTCGGTTTCCTTTAGCAGCTTTTCTGCTATTTCTACCACTTTTCATTACTTAGATCTTTTTCATTTTACCACAGTCAGGTGCAAGGAGGATAGGAAACGCAGTCTTTTAGCTAGGTTCATTGCTGTCTCAAATAATTGAGGCTTCTATTACAATGAGAGAAGGGGGAAATGTTTATGAGATTGTATTCAGCAGCCTCTGCCCCAGAGAGCTAGAGTTCTCTTTCCTCTCCCCAGAAATGTCTTTATCTAGAATTACTTGTCTTTTCCTTTTACCATGAGAATTCCTGGGAATGACAAGGACACCTACTTTTTTATTTGGAAGGCTCTTACCTGGCAACTTGAAAGTTCCATAACACAGTCTGAGAACTGAGAATAAATAAATCCCTGGGACGTCTCATTTCTTCTTTTTCTGAGCTACTATAATCATCTTTTTAATTGCTTGTCCCATTTATTTGCATTTTTTTTTACTCCAATTCAACCTACACAGTGTGGCAGGATTAATTTTTCTGAAGTAAATTTCAAGTCATGTTATTTCATTTGTCAAGAATCTTAATTAATTTCTCATAGCCTCCTGAACATTCACAAATGCCCACAAAGCATTCAAAGTCCTCTTGCAATTTTACCAAAAGCGACATTTCCAGGCATACCTCCCATACCATATGCTTTAGCTAAATGGGGCCTAACAAAATATGGAAAACCTAACCTCTGTGGTTTTGCTCAAGTTACTATAGCTTTTACGAATTCTAGCTCTGCAATTGCATAGGACTGCAAAAATTACAGAGGACTTCTTGAATTCCAGTTTCCTCTCAACACCATTTATTGACGAGACATGCCAAGATCCCACTCTGTGACCACAGATACATTCTAAATGTTATGCTTCAAGAGCACATTTTTCTTAGCCAGAGCAATTAGGTAATAAAAATAAATAAAAGGCATTTAAATAAAAAAGGAAGAAGTTAAATGGTCTTTGCCGGCAACATGATCTTATATATAGAAAACCCTTATATATAGAAAACCCTCCACCAAAAAAACCTGATAAAACTAATAAACAAATTCAGTAAAGTTGTAGGACACAAAATCAACATACAAAACCGGTAGCATTCCTGTACAGTAAAAACGAAGCATCTTAAAAAGAAATTAAGAAAATAATCCCATTTATAATAGCATCAAAATATACCTATAAATAAATTTAACTAAGGAGGTTAAAGGTCTATATACTAAAAGCTATAAAATGAATGGTGATGAATGAAATTGAAGAAGATACAAATAAATGGAAGGATATCTTATGTTTATGGATTGGAAGAATTAATATTGTTAAAATGTCCATACTATCCAAAGCAATCTATAGATTCAATGCAATCCCTATCAAAATTCCAATTAAAAAAATCCAATGATATTTTTAACAGAAATAGAAAAAAAACCAATCCTAAAATTTGCATGGTACCATAAAAATCCTCTACTAGCCAAAGCCATCTTGAGCAAAAACAACAAATCTGGTGGCCATCATACTACCTGATTTCAAAATATGTTACAAAGCTACAGTGAGCAAAACAGCATGATACTGGCATAAAACCAGACATAGCAACAAATGAAACAGAATAAGGAGCCCAGAAGTAAACCCACATGTATATAGTCATGATTTTTTACAAAGGTGTTATAATGTATTATTTCCCCAAGAACATGTAATGGGGAAAAGTTAGTCTCTTCAATAAACGCTGATGGGAAAACAGGATATCCACTTGCAGAAGAATGAAATTGGACCCTTTTCTTATACCATATGCAAAAATAAACTCACAATTGATTAAAGACTTGAATGGAAGACCTGAAACTGTAACACTACTAAAAGAAAACATAAGGGAAAACCTTCATTCCTTTGGTCTGGGCAAGGGCTTTTCAATATCACCCCAAGAGCAAAGGCAGCAAAAGCAAAAATAGACAAAGAGGATTGCACCAAAAACAAAGCATCTACACAGAAAAGAAAACAATTAACACAGTGAAGAGACAACCTATGAATTAGAAGAAAATATTTGCAAACCTGGCCGGAAGCAGTGGCTCATGTCTGTAACCCCAGCACTTTGGGAGGCCAAAGCAGGTAAATTGCTTGAGTTCAGGAGTTTGAGACCAGCCTGGGAAACATGGCAAAACCCCATTTCTACAAAAAATACAAAAATTAACAGGGCTTGATGGCACACACCTGTAGTCTCAGGTACTTGGGGGGCGGAGGCAGGAGGATTGTTTGAGTTCAGGAGGTGGAGGTTGCAATGAGCCAAGATCGTGCCACAGCACTCCAGCCTGGGTGACAGTGCCAGAACCTGTCTCAGAAAAAAAAAAAAAAATTGCAAATCATACGTTTGATAATGGGTTAATATCCAAAATATATAAGGGATTCAACAAATTGACAATAAAACAAATAACCAGATCAAAGTTTAAAAATGGGCACATGATCTGAATAGACATTTCTCAAAAGAAGACATACAAAAGGCCAGTGGGTATATGAAAAAATGCTGAACATCGCTAATTATCAGGGAAATGCAAATCAAAACCACAATGAAACATCATCTCACACCTGTTAGGATAATTATTATAAAAAAGATGAAAGATAACAAGTATTGGTAAGGATGTGGAGAAAAAGGAACCTTCCACATTGTCGGTGGAAATGTAAATTAGTACAACCATTAAGGAAAACAGTATGGAGGTTCCTCAAACAATTGAAAATAGAGTTAGCATATGATCCAGCAAGCCCACTTTTGGGCTTCCAGTGGAAATTAAATTAGTATCCCAAAGAGATAACTTCATGTCCATGTTCATTGCAGCATGATTCACGATAGCCAAGATCAGTGTCCATCCACAGATTAATACATTTAAAAAGTGGTATATATGCAAAATAGAATACTGTTCAGCCTTAAAAAAGAAGATATTCTGTCATTTGCAACAACATGAATGAACCTGGAGAACATTATGCTATGTGAAATAAGCCAGGCACAGAAACACAAATACTGCATGATCTTACTTATATGTGAAATCTAAAAAAATCAAACTCAGAAGCAGAAAGTAGAATGGTGGTTACCAGCAGATGGGGACTCAGGGGAATGGGGAGGTGCTTGTCAAAGGATACAGAGTTTCCATTAGATAGGGGGAATAAGTTTTGGAGATCTAACGTACAGCATGGTGGCTATAGTTAATGATAATGTATATTTGAAAATTGCTGAGAGTAGATTTTAAATGTTCTCCCCCAAAAATTAAGTGTGTGAGAGGATAGACATGTTAATTAGCTTAATATAGTCATTTCACAATGTGTACAAAACATCACACTATACCCTCAAAAATATAAATAATCATTATTTTATGTTAATTAAAATGTTAAGAAAAAAGAAAAAGAAAAGATCATCTTCCTTTAACCCATGCTAAACCACCGCTGATAGTCTCAGGGAAGAACATATTGCTTAGAAGTGAAGAGTCTGGCCATGTGCGTAAGTGCTGCTCCCACATCTCTGACATAGAATGCTACATTGTGTCCCTAACCTGAACCCTGAAGTTACTAAGTGGACAGGATTTGTTGTTGCTGTTCACTATTATCCTTGGCTCCTTTTCTGACTCTACTCAACAACCCAAATATTGTTTTGCTTTAAAAGTAGACATTGCCGCATTGTCTGCACACGCACCTTTTTCTTTTATCTAAGTTATATTATTAAACTTACAAACTAACCATTAACAGAAATTAAAGCCCTGGGAAAATTATCAAGTGCCAAGGACTTATTAATAAGGAAAGCTTTGTTTTCACATTGGCAAACTGATAATCCCCTGTGCTCCGGTCTCTTGAAAGTTGTCATGGTATGCAGTCCCTAAAGGGAATCCTGCCTGCTGTACTCCTACCTGCTGTTTTTGGAAATGTGTTGTGGGGACACAGATGGGTAGAATGAGGACATCTGAAATCTGTTCTCTACTTTTACCCAAGATCCACAATAAGGTATAATATAAATTGTTCTGGCAGTCGATTCAGAGAAAATTCCCATGTGTGTACTATGAAATTTGTAGGACACTCAGCAAGGCTTTTAATATTTTGAGCCTGAATTTCCTCATCAATATTTGGAAATTGGCACCTGTAGAACAATTCACTTTTCACCCTGCCAATAGCCATTTAAGAAAGTAGGGCATTTCTTGTTAATATCACCATTTAAAAGGCTCAGACTTGTTAAATAATTTATTTAATATTGTTTTCTAACTTAGGGTAAGTAAATGTCCATTCTGAGATTCAATTCTACCTCCACTGGTTTCAGTTTTATCATCTATAGAACATATTATAATGTTATATTACAAGACAATTTTGGGTACTAAATGAGACAAAATATGTGGAAATTTCTGGTGCCTGGTAAGTGCTCACTAGGACTGGTTTTGAGAAATGCAGCTAAATTAAAATGGAGGTCTTGCAAATGACTAGCTTCAAAGCTCTGTTATGGAGACATGTATTATTTCTCAAACATTTTCTGAGACTACCTACCATCTGCCCTGTTATGTGCTGTGTACTGGGGTTACAAAGATTAATAAGCCATGACTCCTGCTATTAATGGAGTACATGAGTTAATGTATAGAACAGTGCTTGGCACAGAGTAGGACCCAATAAAAGTAAGTTTTGCTATAATAATAATAATAATTTCATATTGTTGTTCTTGTTGTTATATCTGCCTTTTCCATGGTCCCCCAGAAAATAGCATCTGGGCCAAGATTAACTGCTGATGCTCTCTCTGGGAGCTGTAAAGATAGGGCAATAAAAATGGGGGAAAAGAAATTGAGTCAGGGAAGTATAGGAAGCAGTGCAGTGTGATGTATTCAGCAGATAGCTTGTTGGAGGTGCTTGTTTGGCCTTGCAGAATGCCTCTGGAGAGGCTGTAAAGAGAAAGCACACCAGAGAACAGTACTTGAGAAGAAGGAAGAGGGAGTTTATCTGTTTGGCTCTCTCCAATCTTTTCCTTTTCCCTACTATTCAAACTTTGCCCCCAAAGATATCAATTCCTCTGCGCTTTCCAGGTACATTATTTGTCTTCCTGGGTGGCTTTTGGGAAACTAGATCCTGAATTCTATGGTAGGGTATTTCATCTAAGGGCAGAAATGGCTGGAGAGACAGAAACACTGGACACATGGCTGGTCAGCCTGGTTGTGTGGTGTCTGTTACAGAAGAGAGTCCAGCTTTCCTGAGCAAGTATATGTTTAGCTTCATTTGGTAGAACCACACAGACCTGTACTAAGTGTGTCAATACAACAATGCCAATGCAAAACAAATATCCAAAGGCCTCTGAGATGGGTGAAGCCAAGGGAATCTAAATCTGACCCAAGATGTCCCATCTGTTCCCCTCCTGGGCCATTCCAATCCCCCCTTGCCCTCTTATATCTGGCTCTTGTACTACAATATGGGGTCTCCCCCGAGTATTTTTTTTTTTTGGTGTTCTTATTCCTTCCCAAAGAGGGAAGAACAGGTCCAATCACTGGTAGAATCCTCCTCTAGATTGTTTGTCATTTGTTGTCTGCAAGACTTAAGCCACGAAGCTTACAGAAACAAAGTATAGTTTCTGCTGCTGAAACTGATGCTGAGGCCGTGAACGACATTTATTATCTCCATCCTTTATCATTTTAGATTTCCCTCACCATTGGCCAATATTTCAGTTAGTCCAGTTAGTTGCCTGTTGGGATAAGACAGACCCTCATTGCTGATGGAAATAAGCCCTTACTTGCCCAACTCTGGTGGGGTTTGTGGTTACTGTCATTGCCCATTGATGATTATTAGTCAGCATGGAAATATTAAAAGACCCTTCAGTGAATTGCCTGAGTTCCACATATACTCTTCCCTGCTGCGTTTATGACATAGTAACGTCTTTCTTTGTCTACAGTTCCACTGAAAAGATGTGCTTAAAGTAGGCACGTCATAATTACAGTGTTTCCAGTTTAGTGGAACCATTATTTAATTCTCTGGTGGATGTGTACCCTATACTCAAGAACAAAGTTGTGGGAGAAGGAAGCACAATCTTGCAAGTAGGTCCCTGGATGTGAGAGTGGGCATACTTACTTTCACCCCTTGATACCTGACCCATACACTGTAGCTATTGTAGATTCAGTGCCATGTATAGTTTTTTTTGATTCAGTACATATTCCATATTCTGGAAGTTGGGAAGCAAGGCAAGGTGATGTGTTACTCATCATCGGTTGCTTCACAAACACCATAAATATTGACCTCAGATCTCTCAGCAGTTGGGTCCACTTGGCCCCATGAAACATTTCTCAGCAGGATGTACAAAGAGCCCAGATTTCAGAGCACTCCCAGAGAGGACAGAAGGAGAGACATTTTACTTGCTTGGTTCCTTTCTTTATCTCACTGGTTAAAGTTCACCTTCTTGGGAGTTAATTTATGCACATTTCTAGGTTGTGTCATTTAGTTCTTTAATATATCGTTATTGGCAGTTAGCATTATAAGTACTGCTATTATCATCCATAATTATCAGTCTGTCTATGCCAGGAGAGAGAGGTGCATAACTTTACATTTGTATCTGTATCTATATCTCTATGTATCATGGTAAATACGTGACAAATATATGTAATGTGAATGTTGTTTCTCTGAGCAGGAAGATTTAATCATGTTGGGGATCTGAGGCATTAGCTAAGATATGGAGAAAGGGATTGCTTGGAAAGTGAATTCCAGGCACAGGAATAGCATGAACAAAGACCCCGAGGCAAGATATACTGAGAAATGTGCAGGAAGGCAGGGTTTTCCAGTTAAGTAGGAGCAACGTCATATAGGATCCTAAATTTCTATTGAGAACCTTGAAACCATTCAAACATTGGCAAGTTGCTCATTGTTATCCTTCCTGTGCTTCAAATTCCTCATTCACATCATAGAATAATAATGATGCCTACCCAACTTTTTTATTGCTAGCCATGGAGCAAGCAAGCATTCATTAAAAGTTATGCATTATTAGGCATCAGGAAGTCATGAAGTATTCTCAGTGGCAGAGTGACATGGTCAGATTTATGCCATTGGTGTAGAGAATGGATTGGAGGGCATGAGGGTCAGATGCAGAGAGACTAGTTATTTGTTGATATAATATTGTAATAGCCCCAGGGGGTGATGGTGACCTAAACTAGTCCACAGTCAGTGGGAAAGTAGAGGAACTATTCAGATGGCAAAAGGTACAGGACTTGATAGGTAATTGATTGAAACTAGTGAATGAGGGGGAGGGCGGACTCAAAGATCACACCCAGGTTTTGACTTGGGTGACTTGGTGACTATAATGAAATAAAGTAAGAGAAATACAAAAGGAATAGAGAACAGAGAGTGTTCAGAAGGAGGGCATCATCAACAGTGCTGAACTGGAAAGGGCCAGTAAGCAAGGACTGAAATGCCTCCATTGTGTTTGTATTCATGATCTTTGTGATAGCACTTCCCAGAAGTCATCATTATTATTATCCCTTCTTTACGGAAGAAAACACTGAGGCTCAGAGTTGTTTTGTGAGCCCATAAGGTCACACAGCTGGTTGGGTGCAGCATTCAGTGTGGGTATTCATAGATTGAAAGTAACAACAACAGCAACAACAGCAAGAACAACACTCTTATTGAGTGTCCACTGTGGGACAGGCCCTGTACTAGGTGCTGGGAAGCCAAGAAAAGTACAACAGCTCCTGCCTTCAAGGAGACCACTGTTTTGGAAGCCACATAAGAAAAATACATTTAAATTTATCACAGAGCTGTGGACAGAGTAAGGGGGCAGGTGGCACAAAGAAGTTTTGTGCTTGTGCTGGGGACATGGAAAAGATTTTGAAGTGGTGCTGTTGTTTTAGCTGACTCTTGGAAGAGGAGTAGGGATTTTCCAGGTCAATAGCCAGTGTGAGTTAGGGAAAAGGGCAAGGAGACAAGTTGGAATTTCAGGTTAGGGAACAGCAAGTGCAGAGGCAGGAGGATGAGAAAGAGCCTGGCATCCCCAGGAAACCCAAGCACTTCAGTATGGCTAGAGGTAGGCTGGGGCTGCTTACTGGGTGTTTGAAAAGCCACATTAAGAATTTTGACCTTGTCTTGCAGACCAGAGGCTCTTAATGGGTAAGTTTCAGAAGGTCCATGAAGTCCCTGAAATCTTACTCGTAATTCTCTACAGATCCCAGTTGTTTCAGAAGTTGAGGGAGGGACTTCAAGAAGAAGGTAGTGAGTGGTTATCAATGTCAAATTTGAAAACAGATATACATCTTATTCTTCTCAGGAGTTAATTGTATTTTATAGACAAAACTCTATGCAATCTTCAGATTGTTGAACACTTCCTACTCTGCCAGGCAGTCAGTGTGGGTCCTCTGAGAATCAGACAATTAGATGTGCAAGAGATTTATTGCGGGAAATGCTAACGAAAGGTAAAAAGGGAGGAAGCAAAAGGCAGGAGAAACATTCAGACTGTGAGTCAGATACAACAACTATGAAGGGAGAGGAAGAAAGATTGGGCAGGAAGAGCCTCAGGCAGGAAGAGCCTCAGACAGGGCACATCTTTGAGTGGGATTTCGCTAGGCTGATTGGGAGTTGCCACGCAAAAGTTGCCCATTAGAAAAGTCCTGTTTGGGAGCATTAAAGACCTGAATCTCATATCTCTCCTACCATGCTCAGTCAGTGGCTAAGAGCAGCTTAGAGGAAGTATGGCATCACAGCCAAATCAATATCACATCAAATTCCAAAGTGTGGCAACAGTAGGCTGCCAGTCAACTACACTCCCCACAGCAGGTTCTTTAAAAGGGAGGTTTGACTCCGCTACACAATATTTCAGATTGACAAAAACCTAATGTGACAGAGTATTGATTGGTTACTGAATGTTGTTGCTCTGAGCAGGGAGAGTTAATCCTGTTGGGGATCTGAGGCGTTAGCTAAGATATGGAGAAAGGGATTGCTTGGAAAGTGAATTCCAGACACAGGAATAGCATGAACAAAGACCCCGAGACAAGATATACTGGGAAATGTGCAGGAAGGCAGGGTTTTCCAGTTAGGTAGGAGCAACATCATATAGGATCCTAAATTTCTGTTGAAAACCTTGAAACCATTCAAATACTGGCAAGTTGCTCATTAACTTGAAGCACAAATTATGTGCCAGAATTATGAATAGAGTCTGCACTGAGGACAAAGATTGCAGTTCCCCCCATGTTTTTTTTTCTTTTTATTATACTTTAAGTTCTGGGATACATGTGCAGAACGTGCAGATTTGTTACATAGGTATACACGTGCCATGGTGGTTTGCTGCACCCATCAACCCATCATCTACATTAGGTATTTCTCCGAATGCTATCCCCCACTAGCTCCCCAATCCCTGACAGGCCCCAGTGTGTGATGTTCCCCTCCCTGTGTCCATGTGTTCTCATTGTTCAACTCCCACTTATGATGAGAACATGTGGTGTTTGGTTTTCTGTTCTTGTGTTAGTTTGCTGAGAATGATGGTTTCCAGCTTCATCCATGTTCCTGCAAGGGACATGAACCCATCCTTTTTTATGGCTGCGTAGTATTCCATGGTGTATATGTGTCACATTTTCTTTATCCAGTCTATCATTGTTGATTGGTATTTTGATTGGTTTCAAGTCTTTGCTATTGTGAACAGTGCTGCAATAAACTTATGTGTGTGAAGTGTCTATATAGTAGAATGATTTATAATCCTTTGGGTATGTATCCAGTAATGGGATTGCTGGGTCAAATGGTATTTCTTGTTCTAGATCCTTGAGGAATTACCACACTGTCTTCCGCAATGATTGAACTAATTTACACTCCCATCAACAGTGTAAAAGCGTTCCTATTTCTCCACATCCTTTCCAGCATCTGTTGTTTCCTGACTTTTTAATGATCACCATTCTAACTGTGTGAGATGGTATCTCATCGTGGTTTTGATTTGCATTTCTCTAATGACCAGTGATGATGAGCTTTTTTTCATGTTTGCTGGCTGCATAAATGTCTTGTTTTGAGAAGTGTCTGTTCATATTCTTTGCCCACTTTTTGATGGGGTTGTTTGTTTTTTTCTAGTAAATTTGTTTAAGTTCTTTGTAGATTCTGGATATTAGCCCTTTGTCAGATGGATAGATTGCAAAAATTTTCACCCATTCTGTAGGTTCCCTGTTCACTCTGATGATGGTTTCTTTTGCTGTGCAGAAGCTCTTTCCTTTAATCAGATCCCATCTGTCAATTTTGGCTTTTGTTGCCGTTGCTTTTGGTGTTTTAGTCATGAGGTCTTTGCCCATGCCTATGCTCTGAATGGTATTGCTTAGGTTTCTTCTAGGGTTTTTATGGTTTTAGGTCTTATGTTTAAATTATTTAATCCATCATGAGTTAATTTTTGTATAAGGGGTAAGGAAGGGGTCCAGTTTCAGTTTTCTTTATTAGTCTGGCTAGAGGTCTATTTTGTTGATCTTTTCAAACAACCAGCTCCTGGATTCATTGATTTTTTTGAAAGGTTTTTCATGTCTCTATGTCCTTCAGTTCTGCTCTGATCTTAGTTATTTCTTGTCTTCTGCTAGCTTTTGAAGTTTGAAACCTTCTGCCAGTTTTTCCAACACCATTTATTAAATAGGGAATCCTTTCCCCATTGCTTGTTTTTGTCAAGTTTTTCAAAGATCAGGTGGTGGTAAATGTGCGGCATTATTTCTGAGACCTCTGTTCGGTTCCATTGGTCTATGTATCTGTTTTGGTACCAGTACCATGCTGTTTTGGTTACTGTAGCCTTGTAGTACAGTTTGAAGTCAGGTAGTGTGATGCCTCCAGCTTTGTTGTTTTTGCTTAGGATTGTCTTGGCTATATGGGCTCTTTTTTGGTTCCATATGAAATTTAAAGTAGTTTTTTCTAACTCTGAAGAAAGTCAGTGGTAGCTTGATTCGGATAGCATTGAATCTATAAATTACTTTGGGCAGTATGGCCATTTTCATGATATTGATTCTTCCTATCCATGAGCATGGAATGTTTTGCCATTTGTTTGTGTCCTCTCTTATTTTCTTAAGCAGTGGTTTGTAGTCCTCCTTGAAGAGGTCCTTCACATCCCTTGTAAGTTGTATTCCTAGGTATTTTATTCTTTTTATAGCAATTGTGAATGGGAATTCACTCATGATTTGGCTCTCTGTCTATTATTGGTGTATTTGAATTCTTGTGATTTTTGCACATTGATTTTGTATCCTAAGATTTTGCTGAAGTTGCCTATCAGCTTAAGGAGATTTTGGGCTGAGATGATGGGGTTTTCTAAATATACAATCATGTCATCTGCAAACAGAGACAATTTTACTTCCTCTCTTCCTATTTGAATACCCTTTATTTCTTTCTCTTGCCTAATTGTCCTGGCCAGAACTTCCAATACTATGTTGAATAGGAGTGGTGAGAGAGGGCATCCCTGTCTTGGGCTGGTTTTCAAAGGGAATGCTTCCAGCTTTTGCCCATTCAGTATGATATTGGCTATGGGTTTGTCATAAATAGCTCTTGTTATTTTGAGATATGTTCCATCAATACCTAGTTTATTGAAAGTTTTTAGCATGAAGGGGTGTTGAATTTTATCAAAGGCCTTTTCTGCATCTATTGAGATAATCATGTGGCTTTTGTCATTGGTTCTGTTTATGTGATGGATTACATTTATTGATTTGCGTATGTTGAACCAGCCTTGCATCCCAGGGACAAAGCCAACTTGATCGTGGTGGATAAGCTTTTTGATGTGCTGCTAGATTTGGGTTGCCAGTATTTTATTGAGAATTTTTGTATTGATGTTCATCAGGGATATTGGCCTGAAATTTTCTTTTTTTGTTGTGTCTCTCTCAGGTTTTGGTATCAGGATGATGCATGCCTCATAAAATGAGTTTTTCTATTGTTTGAAATAGTTTCAGAAGAAATGGTACCGGCTGCTCTTTCTACCTCTGGTAGAATTCTGCTGTGACTCTGTCTGGTCCTAGACTTTTTTTGGTTGGTAGGCTATTAATTACTGCCTCAATTTTAGAACTTGTTATTGGTCTATTCAGGGATTTGACTTCTTCCTGGTTTAGTCTTGGGAGGGTGTATGTGTTCAGGAATTTATCCATTTCTTCTAGATTTTCTAGTTTATTTGCATAGAGGTGTTTATAGTATTCTCTAATGGTAGCTTGTATTTCTGTGGGATCAGTGGCAATATCCCCTTTATCATTTTTTATTGTGTCTATTTGATTCTTCTCTCTTGTCTTCTTTATTAGTCTGGCTAGAGGTCTATCTATTTCGTTGATATTTTCAAACAAACAGCTCCTGGATTCATTGATTTTTTTTTTTTTTTTTTTTTTTTGAGACGGAGTCTCGCTCTGTCGCCCAGGCTGGAGTGCAGTGGCGCAATCTCGGCTCACTGCAAGCTCCGCCTCCCGGGTTCACGCCATTCTCCTGCCTCAGCCTCCCAAGTAGCTGGGACTACAGGCGCCCGCCACTACGCCCGGCTAATTTTTTGTATTTTTAGTAGAGACGGGGTTTCACCGTTTTAGCCGGGATGGTCTCGATCTCCTGACCTCGTGATCCGCCCGCCTCGGCCTCCCAAAGTGCTGGGATTACAGGCGTGAGCCACCGCGCCCGGCCCATTGATTTTTTTGAAAGGTTTTTCATGTTTCTATCTCTTTCAGTTCTGCTCTGATCTTAGTTATTTGTTGTCTTCTGTTAGCTTTTGAATTTGTTTGCTCTTGCTTCTCTAGTTCTTTTCATTGTGATGTTAATGTGTCGATTTTAGAACTTTCCTCTTTCTCCTGTGGGCATTTAGTGCTATAAATTTCCCTCCAAACACTGCTTTAGCTGTGTTTCCGAGATTCTGGTACCTTGTGTCTTTGTTCTCATTGGTTTCAAGTAACTTGTTTATTTCTGCCTAAATTGCGTTATTTACCCAGTAGTCATTCAGGAGCAGGTTGTTCAGTTTCCATGTAGTTGTGCTGTTTTGAGTGAGTTTCTTAATCCTGAGTTCTAATTTTATTGCACTGTGGTCTGAGAGACTGTTTGTTATGATTTCTGTTCTTTTGCATTTGCTGAGGAGTGTTTTACTTCCAATTATGTGGTCAATTTTAGAATAAGTGCAATGTGGTGCTGAGAAGAATGTATATTCTGTTGATTTGAAATGAAGAGTTCTGTAGATGTCTCTTAGGTCTGCTTGGTCCAGAGCTGAGTTGAATTCCTGAATATCCTTGTTAATTTTCTGTCTCATTGATCCATCTAATATTGACAATGGGGTTTATGTACCACTAAGAGAGGGAAAAATGCTTACAATAAAACCATGATATATCATTTATTGAAAACCACATCGTTATTTCAGAAATGTTGATGCCTGAAAGAACATATATTAGAATTTATGAAATATGGTGATGAGTTTTCCAGAAACATTATCTAATACATTATTATAATTATACTTGTAATTGTTGTAATTATTTGTAGACATCACCAGGAGAAGATAAACAGACAAAATCAGGGTGTATTAATCCATTTGGGCTGCCGTAACAAACTACCATAGATGGGGTGGCTTATAAACAACAGATAAATTTCTCACATTTCTGGAGGCTGGGATGTCCTAGGTTAAAGCACCAGCAGATTTGGTGTCTGATGAGGGCCTGCTACCTGGTTCACAGACAGCCATATTCTTGCTTTGTCCTCAACATAGCTGAGGGTCCCAGGGAGCTCCCTCGGGTCGCTTTTATTAGAGCACTCATCCTATTTATGAGGGCAGAGCCCTCCTAAAGCTCTCATTTCTAGTACCATCATGATGGTGATTAAATTTTAATTTAAGAACTTTGGGGGAACAAAAACATTCAGTCTATAGCATAGATAAGATCAAAGATGGCTTCCCTTTTCTATAAGGTAACCATTTATACAAGAAGACTTTGATTTCCTCTACTGTTTTTGGATCTTTATTAAACTCTGGAATAATTATACTTGGAAGAGCAAATGTAAGACTACAGGGCTTTCTTATACAGTTATGCATATAAGATTTGCATATGTAATTCAGAGCTTTCTTATATGGTTGTGGAAATTGTGCACTGGACAACTATAGGGAGAGTGGTTAACATGGTATACCATATGAATCTTGCTCCCTAGGGTTGAGCATTGCATATCCTGTGTGAATTCATGTGGTTGGCCTGCACAAATCTCATAGCTAAGTCTATGCAGCCTCATCTCTGATCCTTTTTTCTGATAAGCCAGCATCACAGCACAAGACTTCTGCTGGGAAAAGAGGGAATGGATGAGTTTGCAATCAATTTTGAGATTAAAGTTTAAGTTGTACATTTAGTAATGAAAAATGACTAGAAATGATAAAATCTACCTAAGATATTGCAAAGAAATTGGAAAGGATGATTTGTCAGAATGTGGCTAAAGGTGTTAACGGCAAAAAAAGAAAATATATTCGTGTTTTTACCACATCATATTGAGAATCCTCAATAATATGGTTATATAAAATTGAGAGAAAAACATGTCTTTTGACTCAGAGAAATCTTCATTCTTCCTAAGACAGACAGACATATGATAATGAATTAAGTACTACTGGAGAGAAGGGTTCCAGTAGGTGCAAGGAGGGGGTAGGGATTAGTCCTGAGCGGGCAGCAGAGGAGACTTCTTTGAAAAGCTGACATTTTATTTTTTATTTTTTCAAAAAAATTTTTTTAAATTTTAGATTCAGATGGTACATGTGCAGGTTTGTTACATAAATATATTGCATCATGCTGGGATTTGGGCTTCTATGGAACCCACCAACCAAATAGTAAACACAGTACACAATAAATAGCTTTTCAACCATTTCTATTCTCCCTTCTTCTCCCCTTTTGGGGTCCCCAGTGTCTATTGTCTCCATCTTTATGTCTGTATGTACCCATTGTTTAGTTTCCACTTATACGTCAGAAGATGTGGTATTTGATTTTCTGCTTTTGTGTTAGTTCATTTAGGATAACTACAGCTGCATCCATATTGCTGTAAAGTACATGATTTCATTCTTTTTATGGCTGAATAGTATTCCATGGTGTACATGTACAAAATTTACTTAATCTAATCCATCATTGATGGGCATCTAGGTTGATTCCATATTTTTCTTGTTGTGAATAGTGCTGTGCTGCGGTGAACAACATATGAGTGCATGTGTCTTTTTGGCAGAATGATTTATTTTCTGTAGGATATATACCCAATAATATGATTGCTGGGTTGAATGATAGTTTTATTTATAGTTCTTTGAGAAATTTCCAAAGTGGCTGAACTAATTTACATACCCACCAACAGTGTATAAGCATTCCCTTTACTTTGCATCCTCACCAACAGCTTTTATTTTTGACTTTTTAATAATAGCTATTCAGACTGGTGAGAGATGGTATTCCACTGTGGTTTTGATTTGGATTTCCCTAATGATTAGTGATGCTGAGCATTTTTTCATATGTTTGTTGGCTAAAAAGCTGATATTTCATTTCATTTTTTTAAAGGTTTATGTTAGGTTCGGGGGTACATGTGAAGGTTTGTTACATAGGTGAACTTGTGTCACAGGGGTTTGTTGTACAGCTGATTTCATCACCCATGCAAAAAGCCCAGTACCCAATAATTATTATTTGTGCTTCTCTTCTTCCTCCCACCCTCCACCCTCAAGTAGACCCCAGTGTCTTTCATTCCCCAAAAGCTAACATTTTAAACCAGCCCAAAATATAATAATTTTAATCTGAAGTGGCATGTGATTTCTGTTAATGATAAAAAAGATAACATTTGAAAAGGAGTCCTTTTGATAACCCATGTATTAAGGACTAAATGTTTGTACCTTCTCCCACCCCCAGAATCATATGTGAAACCCTAACAACCAATGTGAATGTATTTGGAGATAGGGTCATAAGCAGATGGTAGAGTTTAAATGAGGTCATAAGGGTGGAGCCCTAATCTGATAGAGCTGTTGCACTTTTCAGAAGAGGAAGAGATACTGGAACGTGTCTCTGTCTGTGTGCATTCAGAAAGAAGGCCATGTGATACAGTTTGGATGTTGCCTCCAACCAAATGTCATGTCAAAATGTAATCTTCAGTATTGGAGGGGAGGCATGGTGGGGGGAGATTGGGTCCCCCCACCCAGTGGAGGCAAGTTTCTCATGAATGGTTTAGCACCATCCCCCTTGGTACTGTCTTCACAATAGTGAGCTCTCATGATATTTGGTCATTTAAAAGTGTGTAGCACTTCCCCCTTCACGTTCTCTTGCTCCTGCTCTGGCCATGTGACATGCCTATTCCCTCTTCACCTTCTGGCATGACTGTTAAGTTTCCTGTGGCCTCCCTGGAAGCTGAGCAGATTCCATCATCATGCTTCCTGTACAGTCTGCAGAACCATGAGCCAATTAAGCCTCTTTTCTTTATAAATTACCCAGTCTGAGGTACTTCTTTATAGCACTGCAAGAATGGACTAATACGCTATGTGAAGACAAAGGGGATGTCTGCAAGCCAGGACGAGTGCGTCTACCAGAAACTGAGTTCTGCTGGACTTTGATCTAGGACATCCAGCCTCCAGAATGGTGAGAAAATAAATTTTTATTATTTAAGCCACTCAGCGTGTGGTATTTTGTTATGGTAGCTCAAGTAGATTAATGCACCACATCTACTCTGTTTTCTGGCTCTATTCAACTAATTTTAGGCCATAACAATAATATTAATTCATAATTCCCCAACAATACAGAATAGTTTAGTTTTTGCCTTGCTTTTTATCCATCAGATTTCATTAGATTCTCACAATAGGCCAGTGAAATGTAAGTTATTTTCACTGGGCTATTTATAAATGAAAAAATTTTGAGACTCAGAGTTTCAGCTAATAAGTTGCTCTAGGTTCATTGCTATTTCTACTCAAATCCAAACACTGTTTTAGCCAGGACAAGGGTCAGAAGCTCAGCAACTCTAAATCATAACAGCTGCATATCTCCTCCCCACCTAAATATTATGGCGATTTTACAGGGAAAAAAATGAAATAAGATTTTTTTTCTCAGAAGAGCAAAGCTTCCAGAGTTTTAGCAACTCTTTGAAGCCTAATGCCATAAAGTTGTTGACTTTATGGGGGTGTGTGGTGGGAGGGAAAGTAGAAGAAACACTTATTATAGTGACTGTAAAGAATAATCCTAGAACATATTTGATCTATCTTCTATATGAACTATTCTTTCCAAAGATGTATGTTCCAAGCCATTATATTAAAACATCAGTTAAGAGCCTTATCAGGTATGGTAATGCCTCAGATGGAATTTGGAAAGTGCAATTATTAGGGTGCAAAGACAGCTTCAAAACCACCAAGCAATCACACTCAGTCAATTATGATGTTGAAGTGAAAATAGCAGCAATTGGCATTTGGAACTGTCATCTGGAAATTCTTGTTTGTGTTAATTCAGGGGCACAATTTTTATAGCAGGAATGATAACTCTATTTCTGGAGGGCCCTCCTATCTTGCAGATTATGATAATCTCTGAACCAACCTACAGTCCCTGAGACTACAATTCTGGGAAGGCTCTCTGCTAATGCTCCCCTACTGTTTTTTTTTTCCACCATTCTTCAAGCTGTATTTAACATTAATTTGCTCTCTGGATTGGTTATTGATTACACTGGAGTACATGGAGAAGCTGGCTAAGAGGCAACACTCTTTACAAAGTTCATTCACTTAAGTTTACAGAGGATGTAGGTGGGTCTGATCTGCTGGAGTCAAAGGATTTAAGGAAAAACGGGCTTTCCCTAAGAGTAGCTAGCCTTGTACGTTAGCTTATTCCAGGTGAAATGAATAGGGCTCCTGATTGTATGAAGCCATGTGAAATTTACAAAATACTTTCTCAAACATGATCTTGATTTTTCTTTCTTCCCTCTTTCCTTCTCTCCTTCCCTCCTCTCTTCCCTCTTTTTCTTACCTCTTTCCGTTCTTACCTCCCTCTCTCCCTACTTCTTTTCTATTCTTCCTCTCTTTCTCCTTCCTTCCTTTCCCTCCCCTCTTCTCCCCTCCCCTTCCCTTTTTTCCTTTCCCTTCCCTCCCTTCTCCCCCTTCCCTCCCGTCCTCTTCTCTCTCCTCCCCTTTCCTTCTTTTCCCTCCCCTTTCCTTCTTTTCCCTTCCCTTCCCTTCCCTCCCTTCTCCCCCCGCCCCTGTCCTCTTCTCTCCCCTCCCCTTTCCTTCTTTTCCCTTCCCTTCCCTTTCCTTTTCCCCCTCCCCTCCCCTCCCTTTTCCTCCCATTCCCTTCCCTTTCCTCCCCTTCCCTCCCATCCCCTTTCCTCCCTTCTCCTCCTCTTCCCTTCTTTTCTCTTCCCTTCCCTGTGATCCTCTCCCCTTGTCTTCCCTTTCCTTCCCTTCTTTTCCCTTCCCATTCCTTTTATTTTTTTGCAATCATGTAATGACTACTGAGCACCATGCCAAGAACAATATGCATTCAGAGCCAAAATATTGTTAGTTTCAAAGAGCTCAGTGTTTGTGAGATTGAAAAATAAATAGGTGATTCTAATATAGGTTGAGAAGGGCTATAGTCGAAGCACAAACTGTTTCCTAAACAAAAAACTCCTAACCCCAAGTGAGCTGGGTGTTAGGGTAAGGGTGAGGTTAGGAATAGGTTTCTGTGCAAAGGAGCCCCTGAGCTACTTCTGAAAGAAGAAACTTAATTTAGATTAGTGACCAAGGGGAGGAAGAGCTTTCTAGGAAAAAGGACCAACAAATGCCAATGATTGCAGATAAATGTGTTTTCTTTTTGGGGAATACAAATAGTTTTGTATAGCTGGGGTTGAAGATGAGGGAGGTGGAAAAAGGGGTCAAGCTGAAGGGCAGGGGATGGGTGGCGGGGATAAAGTTCTGGTCAGGTAAGTAATGGTCAAATCATGATGGCTCCTGTGTGCCATATAAAGAAGTCTGGATTTAACCCTGAAGATAATGAAATCTGGATTTAACCCTGAAGAAATGAAATTCTGAGAAGCGAAGAATCACAGTCTGGTTAAATTCTAATGAAATTTTTAAGTCCCTTGTCGGCCTTCAGGATTCAGCCAAATGTTCAGAGTGTTGTTACACTCTTAGACTTCATCTGACCTATATGCTGTCTTTACTTTGCAGAAAGTAGGAGAGCAGTTGCTGAGTCAGCACCGCAGGGAGACAAGTGTGTAAGGAACATGGATTATTCATGGGCCCTGTGCACTGTTCCAGGTGCAGCCATGATTGCCGTGGACTGGGCCCATTTGTAATGCAAAGGCATGGCAAGAAAATCCATTTTCTCATTTTCAGAGACGATTTTATCTCCACGCTCCTGCCCATGTTACAAATTTAGGCTGATAAAGTGAAACAGGAGGCAGAAGAGCAAAGTGAAATTTCTGATGACTGTTTGCAAAAGGAATTTTTAGATACCAATTTGTGAACTCCTTTATTCAGAAGGAAATGATTCAGAGAGAATGTATCTTGAGTCGTGGTGGTATAAAACAATGAAGAACGGGTTTTGAAGTCAGACAAATGTGAATTTGAATTCTGTGACCTTGAGCAAGTCAGGTAGCTTATCTGCACCACAATTTCTTTATCAGTAAAATGTGAGTGATAATATTGTGAGAGATGGAATTTTTGGCCCCAATTTTTCACCTCTTCCTGGATCCTTGACCTTTACCTTGTGACTGTGAAGTTGCTTCCACTAGAGGCAGAATATACTTTCTAGTCCTTTTATTTTGGGTTCAGGCATGTGACTTATTTTGGCCAGTAGGGTACCTGGGGGTAGGGAGGAGGGAAGTAACCATGCAATAGGCCTCAATCCTGGCTTTAAAAGTTATCACATGTTTCTCTTTCCTTCTTGCACTTCTGCTATTGCTGTGAGAAGAACTGCCCTAGGATTTTACAGGCACCCCAGCTTGAACTTCAATGAAGCAAACTTGCACTCACTCCACAACAAGGATTCAAGCAAAGGGGAACCGGTAACTTGAATCAGAGTTGTTTGGCTGTGTCCCAGTTGACCCACAGATGTGAATAAGAGAGAAGAATTTTCATTTCAAGCCACTATGTTTGTGGTGACTTGTCATGCAGCAATAGCAAAATGATACAAATACTGTGATAGACTGCTTCTGAAATGGCTCCCAATGATCTTTCCTCATGATGGTCACTCCATAGTGTATTTTCTTTTCTTTGTATGTGGGCTGGTCTTGTTGATGTAGTAACTTACTTTTAACTAATAGAATATGGCAAAAGTGAAGGAATGGCACTCTTGAGGTTAGATTTTAAAAGACCATGACAACCACCTTCCTGACACCTTTTCTCTCTCTCTCTCTGCTTACTCACTCTGATGAAGGAATGTGCCATATGTGGAGACCTGCATGGAAAGGAACTGAGGATGCTCTCTCACTAAAAGCTAGAAGGAACTGAGGCCCTCAGTCAACAGTCTACAAGACACTGAATCTTGCCAGCAGCCAAGCAGTGAGCTTGAAAGCAGATCTATCATCAGCTGAACCTTCAGATGAGACCGCAGCCTAAGCAGATACCTTGGTTGCAGCCATGTGAGACAACCTGAAACAGAGGGCACAGCTAAGCCTCAGCCAGGTTCATGACCCTCTGAGGAAACTGTGAGAAAGCAAATGTCATTTTAAGCTATTTAATTTTGGAGGTAGTTTATTACACAACAATAAATAACTATTATAATTATCTTGAGGATTTATTTCCTGGGGAGAATACATGGAATTGCATATATAGGTCCTCATATGCAGAATACTGGTACCCTAGAGATGTTCACCCCAGAGATGTTTTAGGAACCTGTGAATATGTTACATTAAATGGCAAAGTTTTCCTGGATGGTTTAAGTTTAAGATGGAAAAGTTTTACTGGATTATCCAGTGGGTCCAATCTAGTAACATGAGTCCTTAAAAATGGAGAATATTTTTTGGCCATGATCAGAGAGACATGTGATGATGGAAAAAGTGTCAGAGATGCAATGTGAGGGGACTAAAACTGCTGTTGCTGACTTTAAAGATGGAGAGAGGGGAACCCGAGTCAAGGAATGCAAATGGCCTCTGGAAGCTGGAAAAAGCAAGAAATGGATTCTCCTTTAGAGCCTGTGGAATAAAATGCAGTCATGCTGACACCTTGATTTTACCTCAGTGAGACCAATACTGGAGTATGACCTTCGGAGCTGTAAGTTAATAAATTTCTGTTGTCTTATGCACTAGTTTATGGTAATTTGTTATAGCAACAATGGAAAATGGATACATAGCATAGCCTATTAGGACTTAGTGAATATAGGTTTTCTTTATCCTTTTTCTTTCTCCCTTTCCTTATTTTTGAAACAAGTGGATTTAACTTTGTATAAGAGCAGTTTTGTACAAACTTCATGGCATTATTTGAAGATTATGGGGAGAATATCTTTAAGCTCTTTGAAAAATGCCTGGCACACGGCAAGCAGTCAAATGTAAGCTATGATCTTTATGATTGTAATTGTTACTGTTATTATCCAGAGGCTCTGATTTCAATTCTCCATTCCACTAGGAAACAGAATATTCTTTATTCCAGTGAGGAACTATGATATAGCCAGCAGTGAAAAGTGTTGGACAGAAGCCTTTTTTTTTTTTCTGGAACTCCCAATGTTCAAACTTAAAATTTTTCTACAAAAAGTTTTGGGCCATTTTTTATAAACTTGTATGTTTCTGAAAAATAGCCTTAGTTGGAGGCATTTACTCTTATGGGTAAAAAGAAGTCTCAGGACATGAGAACTCTCCTCAGATATCTCATGGGCTGTCAAAACGGAGAAGGAACCAATTTTTTTCTGTTTGTTTGGTCTCATTGGGTAGAAGGAGTAATGGTAGATACTTCAGTGAACTGAATTAGAGTCACAGGAGCTGCAAAGGACCTGAAGGCTCCTATAAGGATACTTAATATGTGAAACCAGCAAAGACAAAATTAAAGTATGTATAATAATTCTATAAAGATGTGGTGGAATGCACCCTTTCAATTCCCAAGGAGACTCATTCATTCGATAATCTAGTCTAATGAAATAATGGTAGATGTAAATATGTATACAATGATTTTTTTAAAAGACAATGTTTACGTTGACACATAAAAATTTTATTGCACCCTGCCACCCAGCTTTGGCTCAGTAGATGGACCTCACCCCAGGGTTTTGATCCCAATTAGTGCTATTGTTCTTAGAAGAATATCTTATAACGTCAGGTGATGCAAAGTGGTTCACCAGATTGAGGAGCCCATGTGTTGTAAGAAGAGACTCGGTGTTTCTATCTGCCCTTCTCTAAGTCAGTGACCTGAGGCAACGTTTCTAACGAGCTGAATGTCTGTGTCTTCTTGCCTTTGTCCATGCTATTATCTCAGTTTCCCATGGTTCCTCACTGCTTAAAGGATAAAGTCTTGATTACACAGCAGGACATTAAGGGCCCCATCACAAACTGTTCCCCATCTACCTTTCTAGTTTTATTTCCTACCAAATCTTACCAGGCATTACAGACTCCATACGATTAGTCATTCATTTATCTCTTTCATGTCATTTAACAATATTTTACAGATTATAATGTGGCCATGTTAGTGACTCTCAGGGTATTACAGTTTAGTGGATGAAACAGACATTTAACAAATAATACAAAATAAAAATAGAAGTAAAATTGTGATGAATATCCTGAAGTTAGGTTATAACAGGGGACTAAGAGTAGCAGGAGACTGTATAATTGGGGGGGTGGGGGCTGGTCATGGAGGGGCTGAGGAAGCCCTTCAGAATTTTGTTGGATTGAGGCATTATTTTGTGTTATTGCTGTATCAACAAGGCCCAGTAACAGTTTTAGCACAGTGCAGGCATGCAATAAATGTGAATAAAATAAACGGATGAGTGAAAAAATTGATATTGACAAAGGATAAATTAATCTGCACACTGTATCATAACAAATTAAAGCACACACACACATTGTTTAGGAGCACATATTAATGTAATTAGATATTAAGTCATATTTTACAGTTTACAATGCTTTTCCATGCAGCATCTCAAAGAATTGTACATACACCAATGAATAAAATTCTTGTGTTTGCTTTGTAGAAAACTGAGACTATGAGAAAGTTGCCCAAGGTAACATATCTAATAAGGAACAGAGGCAGACATAATGCTTTGGTCCTCTGGTCTCAAATGTGGGGCCTGGTTCTTCTTTATTTATGAAGAAATAAGGGTGGGATGATTTCAATAATACAGGAATAAAGTGATGAAAATCAACACTTAAGTGGGTAAAATATTAAACAATCTTATCTGACTGAAGGAATAAAAACATTCTCATTGCATTGAAGAATCACAGGCTCAGATTAGGGAGAAAACCCAGAGGGGTGAGCCTGGCAGGTATAGCAGCTTGTCACCCAGAAACACCTGCCAATCCAGGAAGAGACAACTGAGAGGATGAGATGTGAGTCCAAGACCCATTGTGGATGGGGATCCACAGTAAACCATACACGCTTTGAACTGGGGACCTTAAGGCCTCCATTCAAGATGGGACAGTGAACCAGAAATAGTCTTTTGTCCTAGGGACTCAATCACTATAAACGGCCTAATGTGAAGTTTCATTGCTAGTGCCCCTAGCCACTGCCAGAGGCAAATCTAAATTCTCCTTGGAGCAGGAAACATCAATCCAAGCCTGCATTATTTCCATAATTAATATTTTCCTCTAAAATATTCAGAACTCAATCAAAAATAACCTGAAGGGAAGTGTTCCTTGACAAGTTAAATTTCATCTCTCAAATATCATTCTGTCCACGGAGCTTGGTTTTATCTTGAGGCCATTAACGGGCTTTCAGGAGGGGACCGTAATACTGAGGTACATTTTCTAGAGAGAAAACTCTGGAATCTCTAAGAAGACTGGGTTAGTGTTCAGTTAGAATTATTTTAACCAGCTTCCACTTAACCAATTGACTAACCAATTTAGAGGATTAAATACTGTCCCTCATTCCCTCTGTAAAACATTCTGATCGATATCAGGTGCTAGTACTTTCATGTACTTGTGCTCCAGTGAGTGGAGTTGTATGTTTTCAGAGTCACTTGGGTTACTTACCAAATTATTTATGCCAGTTACAGTTCTTAGTGTAGATGTATAATTTGAGTAAGTATTTTATAAGCTAATAAAATATTACTAAGAAAGGACAGTTTTTGTTACAATGAAAGTGGGTTGAACACTTCAGAACAACTCAATAGAGGTGCATACAAAAGAGTTACCATCAAATAAAGTATAAACAAGAGAACTATAATGATTCAGGAAATTTGCAAAATTTTGGAAGGATTCCATATTTAGATTATATCTCAAATATATATATATATATATATATATATTTTTTTTTTTTTTTTTGAGATAGGATCTCACTCTATTGCCCAGGCTGGAGTGCAGTGGTGTGATCTCTGCTCACTCCAACCTCCACCTCCCAGGTTCCAGCGATTCTCCTGCCTCAGCCTCCCAAGTAGCTGGAATTACAGGCACCTGCCATTGTGTCTGGCTAATTATTCTATTTTTAGTAGAGACAGGGTTTCACCTTGTTGACCAGGCTGGTCTAGAACTCCTAACCTCAGGTGATCCACCCACCTCGGCCACCCAAATTGCTGGGATTACAGGCGTGAACCACTGCGCCCAGCCATTTAGATTATGTCTCAAATATTTGAAAGTTTTTATTTAATTGGAAATTACATGAAATAAAGGATTCTTTCTGTTATGAAAGTTACATTCTAGCTTCCACTGGAATTCTAATACAGGAAAGATTGTCATATAAAATGGACTTATGCGTATGATATTACTACTTGTTAATAACATGGAGTAAAATGAAATACTGTCATATTCATAATATGGCATAAAATAATATACTGTTAAATCATAATATATTGTTTTATTTATTATAGTAATTATTGTATTATTATAATATACCAATAATATATATTAACTAAAAATGCTGTAATACTCTTTTTAATATTAATAATAAAAATAAAATATGCAGTATATTCCATTTTATCAGTCACTCCTTATATGAACACCATTTATCCTTAATGACTATTCCAAGGCTCATCAAAGAGTAGGCATTCAAGATTACCTAATGAATGAATAAGTCAAGTAATCTTTCAATATTGCAATGATTCTTCTCAGGTATCTCTCAAATTTGTCAATATCAATTAAAAAATGTGAAGCTCACAAACTGACACATTAGTTGTTGGTGTGCTCTCAACAGCAATGGCCCTATTTTCTGACAGAACTGACTTATAAGGCACTTGGTATCCAATAAACTTGTAAATCTGGTTTCTCAGAAACTGCTCTTATTCTAGGTTATTCTTCATCCTGAACTTGTGCAGTTAATTTTTAGAATCTCAGTAGAAGAGTCTGCATCAATTTATTCATTTTATAATTCCACAAACTTTTATAGAATGCCACTATGTATCACACACTGGCCTAATTATCTCCATAAATAGGCATTTTATTCATTTTGGCCTGTTCATTAAATTGCAGGAGTTATTTTGGAGTCTTGAGCCTATTATCTAAAATATTAGATATTTTTATCAACTGTTTGTCACCTAAAAATTTGACAAACATGTTATTTATGTAATTATAGAAGTCATTGAGGGAAGATGTTGAAAGGGACTGGACCAAATTAAAAGATAGTAGAAACCACTGGAATATGGCTTCTCGGCTGTCAAATTCTTATTCTCATCCAGTTGGGGCTGGATGTGGAACAATTATGACAAGGTGGAATTTCAGATATCCAATATGACTTAAGGATAGTGTGGTTCCTCTTGGTAATGTTTAAGAGGCTATCCAAGAAAAGAGATAATAAGGTCCTGTTCTAAAACGGACAAGGCCAGTGCCCAAGGGCATCTAAGAAAGAAGCAGCCAGGAACATAGCCAATGTGGGGAGAAGAAACTAGGAAAAGTGAGTTAGGCTCATAGAGATAGGCTCATAGAGGTAAGTCTTTAGAAATTCCCTAGGAAAACTGTAGGTGGTCATGAGAGATTTTTTAGAACATTCTAAGTTCATCTTGTGTGAGTGTGCTAATGTCTTTTCATGGAAGTAAAACTGGATGGAAATAGTTGACATTAACACACAAATCAATCATCTTTTTTTTTTTTTTTGAGACGGAGTCTTGCTCTGTCGCCCAGGCTGGAATGCAGTGGCGCGATCTCGGCTCACTGCAAGCTCCGCCTCCCGGGTTTGCGCCATTCTCCTGCCTTAGCCTCCCAAGTAGCTGGGACTACAGGCACTCGCTATCACGTCCGGCTAACACGGGGTTTCACCGTGTTAGCCAGGATGGTCTCGACCTCCTGACCTCGTGATCCGCCCGCCTCGGCCTCCCAAAGTACTGGGATTACAAATCAATCATCTTTTATATTGCCAAATCTGGTTGGGTCCTTACTTCATCTCAGTTACTGGGAAGGAGTATTAATTAATTGCAAGTGTAGGATTCCCTGCCTCCAGACCAAGGAACAACCAATCAGGCATTGTGTAAATATATTTCTAATCATACCCTGTAGATATAGAAAGAATTGGCACTCCCTGGCCAAAGGATTAAAGGGCTTTTCTGATGCTCTCAGCTGGCAACTAGCCCAGAATTGCCTTGTTCTCATGTCCTGGTCTTTTTTGCTTGGATTTCTTCAATATTAGGAATTTCTCTGTCCTGGTGAAAGAGTGCAGCTTTCTCATTGCCTTACCCCTGGGTACTGGGACAAGGTGTAGGTGGAAAAGTTCTAAAATGCATTAATTCTACAAACATTTATTGACCACTGACTGTGTGCCAGGCACCCTTTTAAATGTTTGTGGTACACCACTGAGAAAACAGAAAAAGAATCCTGCATTCATGGACCTTTACCTAGCAGAAGATAGATAGTAAGCACTAAAAGCAATCAAGAAGTAAAAAATGTATTTTCTTAGAAGGTCATAATTACTATGGGAAAAAGCACAATAGAGGCACAAGGGAGATAAGAGATGTTCAGGAGCTGGATGGACAGATTGTTGTATTAAGTAAACTGACCAAGGAGGCCTCAATGAGGTGACATTTGAGAAAAGTCTTAAAGGTGAAGGAGTGAGTCATGAAAATCATTTGCTAGAATCCCAGGCAGAAGGAATGAAGTAAAGGCCCTGAAGTGGGAGTGAGACTGGCACCTTGGCAATGAGCAGAGTCAGTGACGGGGAGTAATAGGAGTCAGAGAATTAATGAGGGACCAGGCTATGTGGGTTTATAGGCTTTGTAGGACTTTGGGCTTTTACTCTGAGTGAAATGGAGAGCTGTTAAAGTGGACAGTGGAATGAAATGATCTGACTCAAGTGTTAAAAGGATCGCATTGGCACTTGTACTGAGAACATACTATAGGCAAACAAGCCTGGATGCAGGAACATCTACGAGGAAGTTGTTGTAAGAGTCCCAAGAAAAGTTTTTGGTGCTTTGGTTGGGGATGATAACAGTAATTAGAACTAGCCAGATTCTCGGTGCATTTTGGATGTAGATCTGACAGGATTTCCTGGCAGATTGGCTGTTACATGAAAGGAAAGGAATGTCAAGCATGACTTCAAGGTTTTTGACATCAACAACTGGAAAGATTAAGTTGTTAGAATTGTGATGGGAAGGACTGTGGATGGAGCAAGTTTCAGGGGGAAAACAGAATTCAGTTTTGGACATATTGATTTTGAGATGCTTGCCAGACATCCGAGTGGAGATGTTTGAGTAAGCACTTGGATACATGAGTATAGAGATGAGGATAGAGGTCTAGATGTTTGAGTAAGCAGTTAGATTCATGAGTATGGAGATGAGCATAGTGTTTTCTTTATTATGGAGAGCTGACTTTTCTGTTTAATACCACAGCAGTTTTCTAGGATGGGAGTTGGGAGGAAGTGGATGCAACTGGCATTTTTTATCTTGTGACTTGTGTCTGGATGGGATATGTGTCTGTGTTGAAATCTTCTACCTTTTCCCCTCTCTGCTTCTGAAGTTGCAACCCTGTCAGTCCTCAAAGGTAATACTTCTCTGATTCTTGATATTTCATCTAGAACTGCTTTGAACTGATGTGCCTCTTGATGTAGTCCCTGAAGCAGCTAGTTTCACTCCATATTTTTGCTATTTTCTTGAAAATTCCTTCCCCTCTTCACTATTTCTCTTCATTCCCAGAAAAGCTGGATCCACTGACCTAATGGTTATGACAACAAGGAGTTAATAGCAATAAGTTTGTTGTTAACTCCTTGTATACCACCAACTATTATTATGGTGTTAATAACAGTTATAGCACCAACTATTATTCAATGTTATAGCAAATTCCGAAGGCCTCATCTTGTTCACAGGTGTATCATGAGAGGCTTTGTAATGTGGCATTAGACTTTGTTACATGACAGATTCTGGGATATTTTGTTACATGTCAGAGATCATGTTACATGTCAGGTTCACTTTCTCTATGGTATTATCCTGAGGTTTGAGAGAATCTATTCCAAGTGAACCCATAATGGTTCCATGTGATCAACTTACTTTTTCTGCATGCTAATAAAATATGTTTATGACCATTTCTCTTGCCAGGAATAAAATTATACGTACACATCTTAATTTCTTGGGATTTGATTACTTCTTCTGCTTTGAAATTAGACCAAGTTTAGCCTGCCTTTGCTATTTTGGCGTATCTCCAATTCTTCATGATTTTCTCATGTAAGTATGAATTTGAAATTTTTATATGCATAGATTTTCATTAACACTATGTCATATTCAGAGTTGGCAAAGGATGTCATTTTTGAGAAAAACATAAAGACTTTTCTAGTAGAAAAAGAAGCCTGAGCGGTTTTCTGACATATGTTACTATATTTACAAAATAAACTGGTTTTAGAGATCAGTTTATAAATTTGACATAAGGTTTAGTATTTCCATTCTATTTCTTTATACTTTTAGTTTTATTATGCAAATGACACAGGAAGCCACAAGATTTTTAGTCATGGACTAGCTGTGAATATATACAGTAAATCCTTTTCTATGCATTTTGTGGTTTAGTTGAAAAAGTGTGGCTTTGGGTAGAAAATTGAGGATTGAATCCTGTTTCTGCTTACTGACAAATTCTGTAACCTTGGAGGTCACATGAATTCTAGTAAACTTCTTTTCATCATCTGCCAAATAGGGATAATTATAAATGTGCCACAGGTTGTTGCCTTTTATTCATTCAGCAAAGTTATTGAGTATCTGCCATAAGCCAGGCACTATATGATAGACATCAAGGATGAAACATGAAAGATATAACCCAGGCCCCCAGAAAAATCACTGTCTCAGAAATAAATGTGTAAACACACTAATAAAATTGAGTGTGGTCATTTCTGTAATAAAAGGATTATATTGGAAATGTATCCTTTTACTGTACATAAGAGGTTTTGTTTGGCTGAAGTCTATAGAACAATTCTAGATTCTCTTCATATTTAAAGGTCTTCAACTATATTAAGAACTAAAAATGAAAAATTCTTACCAAATAACTTAGCTACCATGCAGACATGTAAAATACAACTGAAATGTATGCTCTGGCTGTGTTAGAACTTCTTTGAATAATAAAGTTACTGATGAAACAACAATCTCCAGTCTTTACGCGGTTTAAAGCAAGCTACAAAGTCAACCTCAAAACATGAGAAGATGATATGAAAGATTATGTAGTATGATAAAATATTTGGGCTGATAGGTTTCTTTAGCCTCTCAAAATTTAGAATAAAGTGGATAAATCTAGTGGACTTAAAGATCAAGAATATATACTTTGAAGCCAAAATGCCAACATTCAGTTCTGTCTCTGTTTTTACTAACTGCATAACCTTAGAGAAGTCAGTTAAATTATTTGTACTTCCTCAATTTCCTTCCCTGTAAAATGGAGAGAATGATAGGGTTGTTGTGAGGACAAAGAACAGTGCCTGGAACATAGTAACTACTATATAGGTGTTTCCTATTATAATAGTATCAATACCAATAATAACATTGAAAATCGATAGTACTAAAAATGAATTTAGTATTCTTTAGTTAAAGATTTTGCATTCAAATTCCAGGCAGTATAACCCATAAAGGAAAATACATTAAGATCACAAAGACTGGAAATTAGGAAGTAAAACTACATTATTTGCAGATGATCTGATCATCTACTTTGAAAGTTCAAAAGCATTTTACAGGCAAAATATTAGAAATAATAAAATATTTTAGCACAATAGCTAAATCAGTATTAAAAAAACTCTATTGCATTTCCATATACTAAAATAAATATTGGCCCCAGTTCCCCAGTTGTGTTATTAAATAGCTATAAGACCTTGGGTAAGTAGTATCACCTTTCTGGTCTTGGCATTTGATCTATCTGTAAACTGAGGGTGTTTTGTTCAGTCTCTGCTCTGGTCCCTGCAGTTCTAGTGTATGATGGATCTCCAGATGTTTCTGCCTTACCTCACCTTGTCGGTGGTGCCTTTTAATTAAAAAAAATTCTCTGACATTTGCTAAGTGAAAAGTGTTGTTTTACATGATAATTTTGATATACTTTTTTTGATATATGCCTCTACTAAGTTTATAACTTAGTAGCAACTGAAATATAAATGATACCTAATATTTTCTTAGCTAATCAAAGGTAACAAAGTGTTTTCATTTGTATAATGAAATATTTCGTGAGTATTTAACAAGTACATAAGAACGTGAATACCAAACAGGATGTATTAAACTCAATAAAAGAGGTAGAAATTGAATAGCATTTGGGGAAATTTCTAGCTAACAGTCACTTACTGGTCACTCATGTTTATTTCCCTTTTCTTCCTTGGATTTTATAAAATTATAGTACAGAATTAAATTTTTAAACCGCCCCCCAAAATTATCAGCCCATGAGGATACTGATTTCTTCTGCATTGTTTGCTTATGTATCTCCAGAACCTAAAAAGTACCGCATTGCTTGTGGGCACTTAATAAATGGTTGTTGCATGAATAATTGAACAACACAAAGAAAACAGATGAGGCCATTTGAAGATGAGATATTTCAACAAATACACAAAAGACAATGCAAGTGGGAAAGTCCAGTTTTAGTTATATGGCAGATTAGATAATCTAATTGACCCTTTTGCTGAAAACAACTAGAAGCTACAGGTTTTATGTGAGTCTTTTTTATTAGCTATCAAGAAAGGAAGGAGATGAAAATCAACATGAAAATAGGAACTCAGAAAGATAAACGTAGCTCTGCTTACTGCTTTTGCTCTGAAGGTAATTGACGAAGACTGGTAACCTTAACTTGCATGGCTTTGAAAGCATCATGGACAAGAGATCAAGCCTAATATGAGGACTTTTCCCTTCTTATAACTGAGAATGCCTTGCAGTGAATTGTTTGATGAAGTCTAAACTTCCTTACTCTGAGAAAACAGCAAGGAGAAGTGTCTTAATCTTTTGTGTTTGTTGGGGAAAAAAGCTATCTATCCTAAGAATATTAACTAAAAATTAGCAATGATTGAAATGTGTAGGCAAAATTGACACCACCTGAGTTGCTAAAAACAAAACAAACAAACAAACAACAACCTCTCAATTTGATAACTAAGTTAAAAGTGTCCTAGATTTATAGTATCCAAAAATGCTTGACAGAAACAAATGTCACAACTCTTTGCAGAAGTCCTTGAACTAGGCTTAATAAATATCTAGTTTCAAGGAATATAAATTCTCAGTTAAAAATTAAAAAACACTGAAGCAAATGAACACCATGACAGCTGGCAGAAACTACAGATAAAAGAATCAGACTGAACCTAAAACACTTCAGATATTACAATTATTAGGGAGAATATAAAACACATAAGCATAAACCTGTTTTCTGTGTCTAACAAATGATTTAAAAATTCAGAGGCTTGCCAAAATAAGAATTATTATATTTTTGCTAGGGATTTGTAGGTAGGGTATGGCTTTGCTTGGTTTTTATGAGAGCTGATGGGATTTTCTGAGCTTGAGTTCAAGTTGAAGGTTGGCTTTAGGTCTGTTCCATGTGCTTCTTATTTTGGGACTCAGGTGAAAGGCATAGCAGCTACATGGGGCATGCTTTTCTTATGGTGGGTTGCAGTAGTGCAAGAGACCAAGCCAAGTAAGGCAAGCACATTTAAAACCTTGCTCAAACACAGCATATGTCATGTCTGTTCACATTTCATTGGAAAAGCAAGTCATTGCCAACTCCAGCGTCAATGGTGCAAAGGAGAAACCTCCTGCATGTTTCGGGAAAGAGGAGAATGAATATTTCATGAACAGCAATCCAATTTACTAAAATAAGCTTAAATAAGGGAGGATATTAAAATATTAATTATGAACAGACTATAAAAATGACCAAGCAAATTTGAAAAAGAACCCAAGAAATGTATAAACATGGAAAATAACATTTACAATAAAGATTCAATGACAATTTTATAGCACATTAGATATAGCTGAGGAGAGAATTAAACTAAACTATATATCTGAATCTGAAGCAGCATAGGGAAACTAAAAGATGAAAAAATGTAGATAAGAGGAGAAAAGACATGGCTAGAGTGAGATATAACAAATATTTGGTCAGAGAAGAAGAGAAGAGAGAATGAGGAAAGAAAATGTTTAAAGAAATTTTGGCTGGAAATTTTCAAGAACTTAAAGAAGACAAAAATTATCACATTCAGGAAGCCTAATTAATTTCAAACAGGATAAATGAAAATAAATCTACACCTACATCCATACTGCCAAAACTGGAGTAAAATTCATATTCTAGTAAAATTCCAGAGCATTAAAGAGTCAGAAAATATATTTAAAACAGCCAGAGGAAAACAGACTACCTACAAAAGAATACTAGTAAGTCACTCAGCTGACTTCCGAATAGCAACAATGGAAGGCGGAGGACAGTGGGACGACATTTTTCATATACTGAGGGAAAATACTTATCAACTCAGAAGTGTATAACCAATGAAAATATCTTTCAACAATAAATGCTAAGTATAGTTATCTTCAAACAAAATCTTAACCAAGAGATCCTTATTACAGGAAATTCCAAACTTCAAGGAAACGGAAGTTATCTTTTTTTTTTTTTTTTTTTTTGAGGTGGAGTCTTGCTCTGTCGCCCAGGCTGGAGTGCAGTGGCACCATCTCGACTCACTGCAAGCTCCGCCTCCCAGGTTCATGCCATTCTCCTGCCTCAGCCTCCCGAGTAGCTGGGATTACAGGCGCCCGCCACCGTGCTTGGCTAATTTTTTGTTTTTTAGTAGAGATGGGGTTTCACTGTGTTAGCCAGTATGGTTTTGATCTCCTGACCTTGTGATCCACCTGCCTCGGCCTCCCAAAGTGCTGGGCTTACAGGCATGAGCCACCATGCCCGGCTGACAGAAGTTACCTTTAATCAAAGGTTGAGTTATAAGATGAAATGATAAGTGACAATAATAATTGATAACAAAATAAACATTGATAGTGTAAAACAAAAATATTTTAGCAGAGTTAAAATAAAACAGTGGAAAATGAAAACACATGGCAAATACTCTATATAAATTTGGTGAGTAGTGATAGGAAGAAGCATAAAGTTATCGATAAAATTAGGACTTTGGAAAACTAAGTATGCATGTTACATTTCTAGAGTAAAAACTAAAAAACGAAATGTATAGAGTATAGAGAGAAAAATCTGAATGAGAGAAATAATCAGTGTAAAAGTAGGCAGGAAAAAAATTAAAAGAAGCATAGAAAAGCCCTGCCAAACAGAAAGTACACAATAACATCATAGTAATAAATTGAAATAAATAATTGTTATGGTAAATGTAAATAAACTAAACTCCCCTTTTGAAAGACAAAGATTATGAGGGTGGCTATGTATACAAACCTAAGATAAATACAGTTTACAAGGGCCATCCAAAGTACATAGACATGAAAGGCTGACAGTTAAGGAATGGAAAAAGAGAGATCAACAGACATGGAAATGAGTCTCTGATATACTAACATCATTTGTGGTATTTGAAAAAAATTCACTTTTTCCAAGCTACACTGGACAGTACATTCAAATATAATCCCCATCTTTAAGTGTGTAACTGACCATTTCTTGATGTGACTATGAACCCTCTCCTAGCTTAGTTGGGATTACTTTCCCTGATGTGCCACAGGCCATCTTGAGCAAAATGTTGCGTAGGTGCAGCCCTATCCTGTTAGTGTCATTTATAAATAGTGTGTCATTTATAAATAGTGGTATGGATTTGGATTTTCACAAGGGCCTTCCCTTAAGGAGTTTAATGTGACATTTTCATGCAGGCTGTTAGGAAAAAAAATTTTTTTTTTTTTGAGGTGGAGTCTTGCTCTGTCGCCCAAGCTGAAGTGCAGTGGCGCTATCTCGGCTCACTGCAAGCTCCACCACCCAGGTTCATGCCATTCTCCTGCCTCAGCTTCCCGAGTAGCTGGGATTACAGGCGCCCACTACCACACCTGGCTAATTTTTTGTATTTTTAGTAGAGACAGGGTTTCACTGTGTTAGCCAGCATGATCTTGATCTCCTGACCTTGTGATCCGCCTGCCTCAGCCTCTCAAAGTGTTAGGATTACAGGCGTGAGACACTGCGCCCGGCCAGAAAAAGATTTTTAGAATGGTGTGCTTTGGAACTTCTTGAATCACCTGGTGGCAGCAATCAGCTCTTTTGCCTTTGTGTGAAGCTGTCTGATCGTGGGATATTTATTTTGTTCATATCAGCCCCTGACGTCCCTAGCACAGCTGAGTGGGAGTCATTGTGTTTTTGTTTTGCATAGTTCCTGAGTCAAGATTTGTCTACTAACTCCTACTGCCTCTGTGTATGTGAGGATGTGGAGTACATTGTATTAAGCTATGGTTATTGGGCATTTAGCTAGGCTCACTTAACAGATTGCAGAGTTCATTTCTATACATCTGTCTTACAGAGTACATGATTCAGATTCATTTCTCAACAAAATGATAAACTGCTTTGTGCTAGAGACCTTGCAGGTCTCTAATAAATAGGTGGAAAATGATAAAGTTAAAATTCACAGTGTTGTGGTTCCACTGACACTTTGCTGCTTCCTGCTTTTCTAACTGTTATGTCACATTTTCCATTAGAGTTCTAGGTGATTTCCTCAACTTTTTCTTCCTTCTTTGATTAATGCCACACATACCCACTGTGTTAATTTTCCTATAGCAGAGTTCCAGGCATACTGCTTTTGCTGAAAACATTTCATCATTCTCTGGCGCTTAGAAAAAATTAGTCAAACTGCCTATCTTAGCCTCTAGGCCCCTAATGATCTGACTCTATTCATTCTTTCAAAGCAAATTTTAAAAAAATCATTATTGCCCTTTTGTCATCCTCAATTCTTTCTGTCAAAGTTAAAACTTGTTCTTTGTGTACATCCTATGTTTCCTGTTTCCTCACCTTTGTTTACGTTGTGCCTTCTGCCTGGAGTACCCCCCACCCCACTCTCATTTCTATAACAAATCATATTATTATTTTGGTAAATTCTGGGAAAAACAATTTTCAAGTATTATTTTGTATAGTTAGAGACTAACTGAATAGTCAAAATTATCATGGCCAGAGTAGGTAAAAACTAGCTAAGTAATCTCCTTAGAGAGTTCCTTATTAGACAGTTTTTTTCCTAAATGTGTTGAATATTGCCTTAGACTCTAGCTGTGTGTGTGTGTGTGTGTGTGTGAGAGAGAGAGAGAGAGAGACAGACAGACAGTGGAGGGGGTGTGGAGAGAGACTGAAAGAGAGAGATCTTGTGAAGGTGTATGTATACTTGAAAATGGACATTTCACCAAGACTGAGCATCTTTTTTCTGTAATGTCTTATTTTAGTGGATGATGCTAAGGGTAAGTCAAAAAAGATGTTTCTTTCCAGCCAATAAAGAAGTTTGACCTAAACTCCTAGAAAGGAAGGTGAAATGAGCTCATTTGCACCTGTCTCTATGTACACTGGACATTTTTGGGGTGTTGCAGACAGTGTGGAAAAGCTCAACATCATAGAGTCTAAAAGCTGTGAGGACCTAGTCAGTCCAGCCAAGTCCAGAGAAAATGTTCTTCAAAGTGGGTACATTTTGTTAAGCCAACGATCTCTTACTGATCCAATTTCATATGACCTAACTTCTCTGTCTTCATTTCTGACTTAGATTAAGTAAGAAGAAAGAAATGCAAACAATGCAAACAATGAGAAACAATGCAAACAATGAGAAACAATGGTCATTCCATTATGAGATTTGATATGATTTGAGAAAGTTATTACTAATGATATGGACTAGCAATTTTCATGTTTTTTTTTTTTTTCCCCTAGTAGATTCTTAGGGATTCTGAAAAACACCTTACAGACCATGTGAGAGGTAACGAGGAGGCTCTCCTGGACTGAACTGTGTCCCCTCCAAATTCATATGTTGAGACCCAAACTTCCAATGTGACTGTATTTGGAGCTAGGGCCTTTAAGGAGTAATTGACATTAAATGAGGTCACAGGGTTGGGACTCTAATTTAATAGGACTGGTGTCCTTATGAGAAGAGAAAGAGGCACCAGGCACCAGGCATGTGAGCCCACAGAGGAAAGGCTATGATGTGAAGACAGAGAGAAGGCCATCACACACAAGCCATGGAGAGAGGCCTCCCCAGAAACCAACCCCACCGACACCTTGATCTCGGACTTCCAAGCTTCAGAACTGTGAGAAAATAAATTCCTATTGTTTAAGCCACTCAGTCAGTGGAATTCTGTTATAGCAGCCCTAACAGACTAATACGGAAGTCAAGTAGACAAGTCTGGTCTCTGTATTTCTATTGGAACTGGATTTACTCTGCTCCTATGAGTTATCTCTATGGGAGTTTGATATAAATTGTTAAAAAATTGAAGCAGATAAACATGAAATTGTAGAGCAATTTAACCAGGTGTTGTAATGGAAACATTTCTTCCTGATGCTGGCCCCATGTTGTGTTTATAAGTGGAAAGTTTCTTCCTCTCCAAGTCCACAGGACTCCTTTCCTTTCTAAGTACTCTACGTGGCTGGCCACATCATTAAAATATGAGTTATTTTGATGGCAGAGAGAAGATATCACTTATCTTTGTGACTTCTCCTTCCCCTGTCTCTTCCACCCCTTTCGGCCAATGGCATACTTAGTCATGTGTACTTAGTAATGTTAAATATGTAAGTAAATTTGACCTATTGAAGAATGGCCTCTATAGCCTCCTAGACAACATATAAACCTATATTGTAAATCTTCTAGTAACAGAAAGCAGAATAGAATACAAGTTTTTTACAAATCTTTACAGATTTCTTCTAAGAGTTTGGTTTTTCATAAGTAGTTCTTACCATTTTTGTCTCTATAAAAATTTCTGTGCCCTCTTATTGCCTAGAATATTTTCTATTCAGAGATTTTACAAGGAATATTCACCTGATATTGGCACAAGCACAAAGTTAGAATTAGGGAGCTATTACTGGACATGATTCCTATGCATTTCCCACAATTTTTATAACAACTGTATATTTCAGTTTATACATCTCAATTAATCCTCACACTACCCCGTAAGGTTGGTAATGGTATTCTCATTTTTCATTTGAGGGAACTGGGACACAAGGATGTAAAAGTAACCAAAATTATACTGATGATAAGAAGGGAATTTAAGGTTTGAATTATACATTTTATTCTACATTGTGTTTCTTGCTTTTTATGTGCTTAACTATGTAAAAAATAAAAGCCGTAGAGAAATATATTTATAGGATGAATAGTCAGATATGAATCCGTATGGTCAATTATAATCAGGTCCAGATGGTTAGTGCTCTGAGCTACTAGAGACCCCATTTGATGCCCCAGTTACCTACCATCATACAATTAGGATCAGTCGACACTTAATAAAAAAGATGGCATAATTTGGTGGAAAGAACATGGGCTTTGAAATCTGTCCTGAAATAAGTTTTCAGTCCTGCCACTTACTACCTGTGAGATACTGAACAATGAAGAGTTAACTCCTCTGAACCTCTGTCTCTATTTGTGTAAAATGTGAAGAATTAGTAATGAGTTTCTTATGAGAGGTACAGGAGACAGCAAATGAGAATGCATCTATAATTGCCCTTGACACAGAGTAGGCACACAGTGGGCATTCAGTAAGTGCTAGCTGAATGTGAATCTTAGTGTTATATATTAATATAAATTAGTGTAAAATGAAATCTCTCCTTGTTGTGGTCTGAATGTGCCCCCTAAAATTCCTGTATTGGAAACTTAATCCCCAGTGAAACAGTGTTGGGAAGTGTTTGGGGAGGTGTTTAGGTCGAGCCCTCAAGAATGGATTAACGCTGCTATAAAAAGGGCTTGTGGGAGTGGGCACACACTCTCTTGCCCTTCAGCTTTCCAATATATGAGGAAACAGCAACAAGGCCCTGCCCAGATGCTGGCACTTTCATCCTGGGCTTCCCAAACTCTAGAACTATAGGGAAATAAAAATCTGCTCTTTATCAATTACCCAGATTTGAGTACTCTGTCATAGCAGCCCAAAATGTACTAAGAGACTCACTTATAGGGGTTTACAAGCTAACTGTTGAGATACTAAGGAATGAGGACATAAAGGCAGCCAAGGCCAAGTGCCAAATGAGAGAAACCATGACAAGTCACTGGGGGAGGAGATTCTTGAGGGCTAGGACAGTTAGGACAACTGACTTCTTTTAGGAGGTCAGGCTCAAGCTGGGCCCTGAAGAAAGACAAGCTCTTATTTGTATAGATGGGGGAAGAGGGAGCATGTGCGTTGCAGAAAGGGAGAAATGCCTTGGAAGAGAAATGTGTATGGAAAAAAGCATAGATAATTATGGGTGGTGCAGATCCTGTAAGGTGGCTTATCCATTGTACAATTTACAAAACCTTTTGCCTCATTGGAGCCTCTCCTCAGATCTAAGAGGAGCAGAGAACAAATTTTACTGTCTCCTTTTAAAGAATAAAGATGGAACTGAAACTCTGAGAGGTAAAGTGACTTGGCTAAGGTAGCGCCTCTAATCTGTAACAGAGTGGGGCATCAAACTCCAATCTGCTGCTCCTGAGGACTCAGGGAGGTGGCAGGAGGAGGGAGGGAATAAGACTAAAGAAGTTAGAGAAAAATTGGTGACTTTGAATGGCAATCTTAGGGTTTTTTTCTTTTCTCTCTGTAAGTGTAGAAAACCCCAAAAGCTTATGACCAAAGTAAACGTACAAGGTAATATTTTTGAAGGTTAGTTTGGCCACAGGATCTGGGGTGGATGTCTGTTCCTGAGACAAGGCAGTGTTCTTCTAGAATCTATTTATTCCAAGACCGTTGTCAAAATGAGTTTTAGGCCAAAGAGGGCTCTGTCCTTCATACCATCTTAGAGAAAGCCTTCTTAATCAGGGAAATGGAGCTATTAGCACACTGGCAGCCTTTTCTGTTCTGCATTTTAAATTGTTAATTCAATTTATTTCTGGATAAAATATCTGTAAATCAAGCCAGTTTGCAAAACTGACAGCTCCATGAAAAAAATGTTAGGGGAAAGAAGATCAGATGCATGACTAAGCTATATTTTAATTTAAGCAAGTGTTCTGATTAAATCATAAAGGGAATAAAAATGGCATAATGGGAACATCGTAACTTACTGAATTGGGGTCAGGTTTATCTCTCCATATAGCACCAATGCAATGAAGCAGTGGGCTTGGTGGAAAGATTCAGCTTTTGGAGTAGGTCAGATCTGGGCTGAAATCTTCGACAAAAGCTTGGTGATTTTTCCTTCACTGTTATAACTAGAGCATCTAGGACAGTATCAGAGTAGGTACTGTACAAATCCTTGTTGAAATTAAATGAAATGAGCACTTAGCCCTACCACTTTCCAACTGGAAAACATGGGAAAAATGAGTTCACCTTAGTATACCTCAGTTTTCTCACGTGTAAAATAGAGATAATGATATTACTTTATATAATAGTTGTAAGGATTAGCAATAGTAAAATATGGGCTTGTGGGATGGATTGGTTTAGATACCAGCTCCATGAGACCTGAGGTCGTAACCTAGAGTTACCTCTTGATGTATTACACAGCATGCTTTGCTGAGCTGCGACCATGCCCTGAAATGCCCTAGCTAAGCCAGACATTATTTAAGTTTATATCCTCTGCAAGGATTAGCAGGGTTATTATACTAATAGATGTTGAATTGTCAAAATTAAAATTTTTAGGGTAGCATAACTTTGATTCAAATTATTTTATTTGTTCATTTAGAGATACCTACATGATGGGCACACTTTAAAAATTATTATTATTCTATGATCTTTGATCTTGCCCACTGAGAGATACTATATTCTTTTGTCTTTTAAATTCCTACAACGAAGCCTCTTTTAAAGTGTTCCCATTTTGAAGGTGAGGAAACAGACTTGGAGAAATCTAGTGACAAGTTCGCAGACACAATAACATAAAAAGCAGTGCTGACGTTTGAACAGGACTTTTGGTTTCAAAGCCATTGTACCTTATAGGTGTGTTCCATATACATTTATTAATTGAATTAACGGGCAAAGGCCAATCATACTGGGCTTTAACTTCCCTTTAGTCACAAGATGTTCTTTTAGCTCCCAGAGTGAAGATATTAAAAACAAGAATCTGGCTTTGGTTCAGTTGCTAAAAGCATGTGTAGTCTAGAACTGTTAGATTTTTGTCAGACTATTCAGAAATATATATCAGTCTTACAAGAGCAAGGACATTTGTTCAATTTATAATGTACCCTCCCTTACACCAAAAGAAAAAGTAAAATAAAATAAAAAGGCCAAGGTAAAGCGGCTATGAATTTAATGTTCATAAAGGCAGCAGCGCACAGTTATTGTGTACTAATTATGTAACAGGCCTTGTGCTATGTGTTTTACATACATTATTTCACAATGGCCCTCTGAAGAAATAGTGTTGTCCACAAGCTTTAAAATAAGAAACTGCTCAGAACTCTCCCTTGGCTTCCTATCTCACTCAGGGTAGTGCTCCATTTCTCACAATGGCTCAGAAGGCCCTCCACAACCAGTTCAATGATCATAAATTGAGTGTAGGAAACACAATATGGGAAGTGAGATTAACATGTGTTACCTCTGCCCTACTACAGATATGGAAATGCTCAAGGCAATGTTACAGGAATATTGCCCAATGTCAGGAAACCTAAGTTTGGGCTTTGGGGTCAAACCTTTCATTTTCATGGCAATGTTTGAGAAAACCTAAATGAAAAGGGGCTGAATGTTGCCCTCACGTCACACAGAGTACAGAGTGGACAGAGGGCTGCAGTGTGACCAAAAAAGACAAAGGACTTTCTCAGTGAGTGAGTACAAAGGGGCAGTCACTGTGTGGGGCATATGTGAGGAAGCAAATATCCTTGAGGATACTTTTGATTAAAAACAAAAGAAACCACATTTTCTTTATCCAGTCTATCACTGATGGGCATGTAGGTTGATTCCCTGCTTTTGCTATTGTGAATAGTGTTGCAATGAATATACGCATTCATGAGTCTTTGTAATAGAATAATTTGTATTCCTTTGGGTATATACCCAGTAATGGGATTGCTGGGTCAAATGGCATTTCTGTTTTTAGGTCTTTGAGGAATTACCACACTGTCTTCTAAAATGCTTAAAGTAATTTACACTCCTACCAACAGTGTATAAACATTCCTCTTTCTCCACAACCTTACCAGCATCAGTTATTTTTTGACTTTTTAATAATAGCCATTCTGACTGATGTGAGATGGTGTCTCATTTTGGTTTTGATTTGAATTTCTCTAATGATCAGTTGGAATGAGGATGTTAATGGAACACTATGCAGCCATTAAAAAAAAATGAGTTCATGTCCTTTGCAGAGACATGAATGGAGCTGGAGGCCATTATCTTCAGCAAACTAATGCAAAACAGAAAACCAAATACCACATGTTCTCAATTATAAGTAGGAGCTAAATGATGAGAACACATGGACATATAGAGGGAAACGACACACACTGAGGCCTACCTGAGGATGGAGGGTGGGAGGAGGAAGAGGATAAGGAAAAATAACTAATGAGTACTAGGCTTAATATCTCGGTAATGAAATAATCTGTACAACAAACCCCCATGATGCAAGTTTACCTATAAAACAAACCTGCACATGTACCCCTGAACTTATAATAAAACTTCAAAACAAAACAAACAAAACAAAATAAAGCCTCTAATTAAAATGGAGAATGAGTAGCTATGGAGACAAAGGCTTTTCTGTAGATACTAGAGACAAGAAGGAGGCCCTGTTGCTTCAAAATGCTGAGGTTCCTTGAGAATGTCAGTGTAGCCTTCATAAAGCTCCGGATTTCTCTCTTTTGGGGCCATGAGGGGTTATTTGCTAATCTGGAAGTTGGCATTTCGGGTGAACTGGATTTTAACTCAGCTCACTCTTCATTTTTTTGATGGCCATGGAGAAGGGATAGTGAGAGATTGAGAAGTGGAGGCTCTGAACTCCTTGTGGAGCTGTGCTCACCTCACCCTCCACCTGGGTGAGCAGGAGTTGCAGATCCAAGGGCTTTGGGCCACTAGACCTCTGGGTGGTGAGGACAGACTGTGCAGAGAAGTCATCAGCCTAGGGATGGCCTTACCACAAACTCTCTAACCCTGTGCTTTACACACTCCTGACAGGTAGAAAGTAAATTTGCATAACAAACTGTTTAAATATTCAATTTTTATCCAGCTTCAAGGCACTCTTTGTCCTCGGTAGTTCTAATGATTAGTGACCCCTTCAAAATCAGCATCATTTGTCAAATCAAATTAGCCTCCTTACTAACTGCAAGGCAGTGACATTCATCTTTTTGATGCTTTCAAACCAGTCGGAGGTAAAGTTCTCAGATGGAATGGGGCTTGGTATGCTGCATGAGTCACTTCCTCAATGAGGCAATTGTCAGAAAAATAGGAGACGTAGCTCTAAGGTAAATATTGTTGGGTCATTTGAAATGTATGCAGATTTGACATTTCCCTTCTGATTAGCATGTCTACACATTAAAGTTTTGTGTATGTCACATTGGATAGTTCAGATGCCAGGGTAATGTCAGTGAGCACTTGATAGAAACTTAATTTTGCTCCTGATGAAGAAAATGGAAGGATGAAGAGGAAAACCTAAGGTGAGAACCTTATTTAGAGTGTACAGGGGGTATTCAGAATAAAAAAAAAAAATGCTGGGAAGGAAAGTGTCATTATCTACTATGTGCCAGTTACTTTATTACCTAATTTAGTCCTTTTAGGGATATTGACCCCGTTTGAATAATTAAAATAGGTGAATCAACAGGCTTAATGCCAACAGATAGTAGAATAGTAGAGCTGAAAGTTCAAGCTCATGTGTGTTTGATGCTGAAGTCCATGCTTCTTCCTGCAGAGTGTTGCCTCCATATGATGCAAAATATCCAACCTAGCCCTGACATGAAAACTTAATTGAAAGTATCCAACAGTGGGTAAGCATCCTGACTCTGTCATTACGTTGCAAATTTAAAATTAGAAACTCAGAGCATTTCCTGGTACAACTTGTTCTTTTGTAAATAATGACTCTTCAGTCTCCACTTGAACACTTGCAGTGACCAGGAGCTAGCTTATGATTTCACCATTCATCCATGTCTATATTTATTCCTATGTCCCTTCATATACCAATAATTATGTCCTTCCATATTTAAGTGTACAATTGTATCTGCATCTAATTATGACTTTAGAGTATTTGCTCTGTTAGGGACTATGTTGTGTCTTTCACTTATTGTATCATTTATCATCACAAGAAGCCAGTAAGATATGTTATATTATTATGTAGACTTAATGGAAAAAAAATACTTGGACTTAAAAAAGATAAGTAGCTTGCCTGAGCCACATAACTAAGGAGCAGCATGTCTAAGTAGTACATCACCTCCCAGTTTCAAACTTTTTTCTAATACAGTGCTAATCCACAGCTCATAATATGCAGAAAGAGCAATATCAGCTTTTATCCTCAATTTGAACTTGCCTATCTAATCCTGCTTTCTTATTTTGTGTTGTCAAAATCATATAAAATATAGTACTTGTTCAAGAACATTGGCAAAGTGCTCCAACTAAATCCAGGCTTTAGAGATCATCTGTACATAAGGGCTACCGCTAGGCACTTTTCTCATACCCAGCACCATACATTAGATCTGGGGTTGGCAACTATGGCCTACAGGTCAAATCTTTGTCCATGCCTGATCTTTTAAATAAAGTTTTATTGGAACATAGCCATGCTCATTCATTTACTTATTGCCTTTTTTCTCCACTACGAGAGCACAGTTGAATAGTTGTGACAAGACCATATATCCCATAAAGCCTAAAATATTTACTCTCTGATCCTTTCGACAGAGTTTGCTAACTCCGCATTAGGACTCTTGCATAAATCTATCATGTTACCTATGGAAAAGGTGTACAAAAGGGATACAGAGTATCTGGGGGTGGCCATGCATGCTATAGAATAAGTTGCAGAGTAATTGCCAAAATAGTGTTTTAAGCTGGAGAACCAAGACAAAGAAATGGTATCCAAAGTGTATTTTAGTTCAAGCTCTCTGCTATTAATGCAGGGATTCTAAAATTGCTCCTGCAATTCTCACCAAAGGGTCAGAGGATATTAACTTTATTCACTTATCCTGAATCTTCCCTGTAAAACAGTGATTCTCTCTCTCTCTCTCTCTCACTGTCTCTCTCTCTCACTGTCTCTCTCTCTCACTGTCTCTCTCTCTCTCTCACACACACACACACACACACCACTTACTGAACCATGAATAAAAATCCCAAATCTACTGAGTCATAAAAGCTTGGAATGAAACCAGGACATCTAAAATTTCAAAATGCTTTATCAAGCAACCAATGTCTGGGTATCATTGCCACAAGCAACTACAAATATATCTAATTCCTTTTGCAGCAAGCATTTGAAGATAATTATCATTTTCGTGGCTTTACATACATCTACATGTCAATAACTTGACCTTGGCTTTTATCTGAGCTGTCACTTGGCGTTTCCACTTGGCATCTCAAACTTTTCCTGCCTCAACACAAATTTTTGATTCCCCCACCAAAATCATCTCCATTGTCATTGATGGCGCCACTCCCTATTCAGTTATTTAAGTTCATATTCTAAAATGTTTCCATGATTTTTTTCTCCTCCCATCATATCCTATCCACATGTAAGTCTGAAATATATCCTGATTCTGTCAACCTCTCCCCATCACCACCCTAGGTCAAGACACCATTATGTCTCTCCTGGACTATTATGAGACATCCAGATCTTGTCCTTGCTTGGATTTTTGAATCCTTACAATCCACAATCTATTCTCCCCAAGATAGTCATAGTGATCTTCCTAAAATTATGTCAAGTCATTTTGTTACTTAAAGCCCTTCAATGATGTTTCATTACATTTAAGAAACAATACAAACTTCTTACTGTGTTCTGCAAACTACACGGGCTGATGATTGCCTAATTTTGTGAATCCATCTTTATCACTTTTCTACTCAGTAATTCATCCTAGCTGCATGTGTCTTTTTTCTGATCCTTGAAAACTAAGCTCATTCACTTACTGGGGACTTTGCACTTGCTGTTGAGCCTAGAAACTTCTTCATGGCTGGTTCCTCCTTATGCGGGAGTCAGCTCGGAGCATCCATCGCTGACTACCCTATCTAAAGCAGCTACAGTAAATCCTCGCTTAACATCGTCAGTAGTGTTCTTGGAAACTGTGATTTTAAGTGAGACAATGTACTGTATAACAAAACCAGTTTTACAAAGAGTTAGATTCCTATGGCATACAGTACATCATTTCACTTAACATTGCAGTTTCCAAGAACCTATCAACAATGTTAAGTGAGGACTTATACTTTAAAGCAATATGTTGGTTTTATTGCAGCATCTTCTTCGAGTTTCCATGTAGCTCTTATCACTATAAATATTATTATGAAATTATCATGTTTATTTGATTGTTTATTATCTGCCTTTCTGCAAAAGAATACAAGGGCCACAGGAATACACCAAGTACCTAGAACAATGAGTGGTGCATAATTCTTGCTTAATAAGTATTTGTTGAATGAATACTGCTTTTCTCTTTAATGTTTTATTCTTCAAGCTAAATCTCCCTACCCTTTCAAACATTTACCAAAGTATACTATGTGACTACAGTGTGAATTGGTTAACTATAATCTGTTCCCTGGTCACAAACAACCTATTCCAGAGCAGAACTTTCTATACTTTCTAAGAGGAGAAGCTGGTTTTCACTTTCCTTTGCAAGCTTCCTATGCATTTAGTACAATATTGTATACATGGTGGGTATTGAATAAATGTTGATGAATGGACTGTATAATGACTTTGGGGGTCCATACATCAAGATTTTCTTGAAGGGCAGGTAATTACTTGTACTTTATATCTGACGTTTTAATATAACTGGTGGCGGTCATTATCCCTTGTAATTGCATTTGCATCCTAGTCAATTCTTTCAAAAAAAAAAAGGAGAAAATAAGCAGAATTACTTTGTGAGCAATCCACAATTGGATTTGCATTTAAAAATTGCCAAGTGAGCACTCCTGCCTGATGGCCAAATGAAATTAATCTCTCCTAACTCAAGGTCTCATCTATTTGGAGAGAAGGGAGCTGGACTCATGGAGTGCTGCTGGCTCTCTAAATGATAAAAGTCATCACTCCCATTATTTATATTTTCAGGGTGCCTATGATGTTCTCTCACTGTGCTAGCCAATGGGAATATAGAGATGGCTAAGAGATTGTCCCTATTCTTCAGTTCTCCAATTCTAGGTTACATGATCAGAGGCCCTGTTCCGCCTGCACACTACTTCACAGAAATGCCCCACATTCTTAATAAGGGCATGGGTCAGATGTCCATGTTCATAATAGTCTATCCCCTCTTCTGGACACAGCTGTTGGTTCATAGTTAGACATCTGGCCCAGTGCAGTTAGTTTATATTTCTCAGAAGTTCGAATTAAAGGAATAAAGGGTAAGGGAGTTGGCCCCTGAGTTGTGTAAATGGTAGAACACAGATGTCCATCTGTGTTGCTCAGGTCTCTGGGAAGGCTTTATTTTTGACCTTCTTGAGACCTGATTGTTCATTTTTGCTTTTAGATTTCAGTGAGGTCTTAAGAGAATTCGATAGGCTTCTGTTTCTTGCAGCAACATTTCCATAAGAAACAGCTATGTAGATGGGGAGACATACAAACCAAAACCTGTACTTCAGTGTGTTCAGTACCATAGTAGAGGTTTGGGCAGGTTGCTATGTCAACAAAGAGGGAGTTCCTTAAACCTGGTCTAGGAATGTCAGAGGAAGCTTGCAGGAGGCATCAGCTAAACTGAGTCATGACAGAAAAGTAATAATTACCTTGGTGAGAAATGGTAGGGAGAAGAAAGTCAGGTTTAGGCAGCATGAACAAGCCAAGTGGAATGCAAAAGAGCAGGTATATTCTGGGAAGCACAAGTGTAGTATGATTGGAGCTCAAATAACAAGATGATGAAGTGGTAGGTAAGCACATAGAGAAGCAGGTAGTAGCCAGACTACGGGGTGTCTGCCGCTAAGGTGTTAGGAGTGGGGGCTTTACCTTGTAGGCTTCTCACCTGCTGAATGACCAGTTTTGATCCTTTCTCTGAAGGGATCCAAACCACATCTTCAGGCACCTTTTAGTTATTTCATGATTCTTTCTTTAGGAGTGACCCAAGGCAAACTTACAAAAAGAAGCACATGGCATGTGGAAAGAAGAGAAGATTCAAAATCAGTAGTCAGGATTTGAGCCTCTTCTCTTCTGCTTTCTAGCTGAAAAATGTCGAACAAAGAATTCAACATTACTTTTCTGAGCCTCTCTTTCCTCTTCTATGGAATGGAAGTAATAAAATATCTACCTCCCAGAGTTGTAGTTCAGACCCAACACATATATTTTTAGTGCTCTATCATATGTTAGTTTCTGAACTTTGCTCTTTCTCAGGAAGCATCCCACTGAATTAAAAACATCTGTTGAGTTAAATACTATTGTCTCTTCAATCAAATGGAGAAATTGAGGCTAATGAAGATAAAGAGCCTTGTTCCATTTCATACATCTAGAAGTAGAAGAGCTGGTATTAAAAATCCTACCTGTTGGACTTTATATCAGGTGCTCTTTTCCCAAACTACAGCTGCTTTATAAAGAAGCAAATGATAATTTTTAAAACAACACAATAGCAAAGCCATGGAATCAACTCAGTTTCCCATCAACTGTGGATTGGATAAAGAAAATGTGGTACATGTATATCATGGAATACTATGCAGACATAAAGAAGAACAAAATCGTGGCTTTTGCAGCAACATGGATGCAGCTGGAGGCCATTACTCTGAGTGAACTAACGCAGAAACAGAAAACCAAATACCCTTTGTTCTCCCTAATAAGTGGGAGCAAAACGATGGTACACGTGGACATACAGATGGGAACAGCAGACACTGCGGACAATTAGAGAGGGGAGAGAGGGAGGAGGGCAAGGGTTGAAAAATGACACATTTTATTACCTGGGTGATGGATTCATTTGTACTCCAAACCTCAACATCACTCAGTATACCTTTATAACAAATCTACACATGCACCCTCCGATTCGAAAATAGAAGTTGAAAAAAACTGTATTTTCTCTAAAAAATTTTGCTTATGTACTAGTTGGTGCCCTTCAAGTGGGAAAAATCCATGCCTGCTGAACTGTCACCTCTTTTTTTTTTGGAGGGCTTCTATTTTTCAAGTGCCCTGTGTCTTCTTGGGCTTGTTTTTTATTCTAGACAAAATGCTTCCACACACTGGGGGCTTTACCTGGCCTGCTCATGAAGGCATCATCTGGGTCCAAACTCCTTATTGGCTACTTATCAAAATGGATCTTTCTCTGCTCTTCTTTTGCATTAGATTCTTGCTAAGAACCTAGAATTTGCCTGATAGATTGACTTACCCTAAAGTTAAAAAGGCTTTTATTAGCTTATTTTATGGCTCTATATTGTGTATTTCCTTTTAAACAGAGGTTCCTTAGAGACTCAATTCCTTAATCCAGCATTTCTTAAGTTTGCTTTTGGGAAGGTTAGTACAAGAAGATGGTCTCTTTAAAAATAATTCTTGAGAATCACTATACTGGTTAACATATTAAAAGAACCAAGGAGTCCTACAGATTTTTAAAAAGCCTTTGCTTATTGATACTCTTTGGTTTGACTGCCAATTCTCTTTTTGTGGATCATCTGCTAATATCTAATAAATTTAGCATGACACAGAACAAATGTTGAGAAACAGTCAATAAAAAACTGTCTTTGTGAAAATTTTGGCATTGCACTATCTGGAAAAAGTGATTTTTGTGAGTAGAGCCATGTGAGTATGCTTCTAAAAACACAACATATTGGCATTATTCTCAGGAGTAGATCCAGGTTTTGTGGCACTTGAAGATTATACAGTTGATGGGTGACTAAGAAAAAAATTACTGTGTTAATCAAAATTTAGGTTTTGAAAGGGGCCTGTGTAAGCAAAGAGCCCACAGAGTAAGCTTCATTGTCTGTATTGTCAATCTACAAAAGACTGACCTTTTTCAAGTGAGTATAAACCTGGCCTGGCTTATGTTCATGTGGTGAGTGAAAGAATAGTAAACCAGGAAGAAGAAGGCTTATGTCCTTGGTCAGAATTGTCCATTTTACTTCAATTCCCTAGACTCTGTGACTTTGGATAAGTCACTTTATTTCTCATCATCAGTGACTTTATTTTTAGAAAGGGGTATTAATTGTCCTCTGGATGATAAAGAGTCATTTTGAAATTATAATTAATGGGGAAGCATTTAGCACTATACAAATAGAGGTTATGATTCTTTTCAAAATGCTTATTAATTCTGAGGACTACACATATGTTAACAATCATTATTGCTAACATATCAAATAAAAACAAATCTGGACTTAAGTAAATGGAGATTTTATTTTTAAAATATTGCAATAGAAAAGGTAGACAATTGCAATAGATTAATGACCCTAAGATCTCCATCTCAAATGTCAGGCAGAGGACAGCTTTTTTTGTTCTTTATGGCAAGGAATAAACAAGGCTAGAAAGAACAGGTATGGGGCGTGGAAAGTGGGTAAGTGAGTGGCATGATGAGACAGTTGATATCCCTTCCCCTGTCTCCCCATTTCAGCTGATTTTCAGGAGGGGACAGTAAGGAGAGGTTGCTCCAAGTTCCATTGCTCAGCAGAGGATCAAAGATAAGAGACCTGGGGAGAGGTGAGACACTTGAGTATAGTTTAAGCAAATCAAATTGGTAGGCATTTTGTCCAGGTTGGTGAGTGGAAAGAAACAGTTAAGCTAATCATTTATGAGGCAAAGGGTGGGAATTTGGAGGATCTGTGTCCAGCCTTGTCAAAGGCAAAAAAGGAGTCATTCACAGGTCTTTTTTAAGTTATGTGCAGAAGAGTAGTTCTTTGCAGTAAGCTATTCTTGGGGTACATATTAGGATAAGGGAATGTCTTAACTTTTGCTGTTTTCCAGGAGCACAGGGCTCAGGTAAAGTTCAATATTATCAAATATCAACACCATCATTGCTTTTCTTGTGTCTGGTCAGTCATTCAAAATGCTGTATCTTTGGAAAAATTACTTAACTTTTCAGACCTTCAGTTTTCTCATCAGCAAAATGAGAATAATTATAATAATAACTAGCTCACTAGGATACGGTGATTCTTGAATGACCTAATGACTATGCAAGCACCTCATAAGCTATAAATATTGTGGAAATATTATGCATTTTTTTGTTGTCATTGTTAGTAGCTCTATAGGCTCTGACTTCTTCATTTATTTGATGCAGCAAAAATGGGGAAGGGATGAAACATTGTTTAAATGAATCCTAGATACCAGACACAGGGGTGCCCCATACTCTTTCTCTCACCAGGTGCATACAACCCTGAATTGTCATGTGCATGAAATCATCTACTTTCATCCAAGGAATATGGAAAAGAGATGGGCAAAGAGATAACTCAGCTACATTTGCCTGTTAATAATTGATTTATTTTACTCTGGAAGCAATTAGCTTGTTGTTCCATATAGTTTTTTTGAAAAAGGCAAAGGAAAAGATAAAGAGGAGAAAAAAAATCCCATCAAGCCCATATTGCACGTTGGCTGCCAACAATGTTTCTTTTAAAAATAAAATAAAATGTTCTGTTGTAGATTTTTTTTTTCCTTTTGGAAAGATACAGGAATTGCAAAGAGAGTGCCAGACAGCACTAGCATATGCTTATTTTTCTAACTCAATGTGGGCAGCCTTTCTTAAACATTTTGTATAAATATATTTATTCTCCCACTGAGACCTTGCCTGCCAGGTTCAGGAACAACTGAGTAAGCAGATGAGTTATAAACCAAGGAAAGAAAAGGAAGAATTGCCATGGAAATGCTGATGGCCCCTTTATTCCAGTTGAGTACATTGCCCCAGTATAATAAATTAGTGGTTGATGTGTTGATGATAAATCTATAGCAGTTTTCATATTCAAAGTAAAAGATATTTCACTCTGTCTTTGCTGCAGAAATAATCAGAAAGCAAGGAAATGTTGACATCCGGTGGGCAGGATTGAAAAAAACACACACACAAAAACCCTTTGGTGCACAACCCACATTTGCAAGCTGTCTGCATTTCTTGTATTGGCCTCAGCTTTGACAAATGTAAAAAAGTCACTAATATTTTGACACTCTCCCTGCCCAAGTCTGATACCAGCTGGCTGTGAAGCCACATATTCATTGTTCTGCTGGATTTTAAAGACTGGGTCCCAGCCAAAGGACTGGACTGGATCCATTCATTCATTTTGAAGATTGAAGTTGCAGCTTAACTGTAATGACCATTTCTCAACTCAATCTGGGAACCTCTTCCAAATCCAACAGATGCCTGAGAGGCAAATGTGCATTTGGATTGGAAACCACTCTCTCTGAGAAAGAAACAAAAGGTGATCCTTGAATCTGAAAACAATTCCTTGTTTTAAGAGCAACTATCATTCTTTATATTGATTGTGCCTTATTTTTAAAAAATGCTCATGTTATTAGAACCTTTGTAAAAATGCTTATCTTACTATTTTAAGTGAAAGGGAAAATTTAAATTGCAGATGCAGTATGACAACAATTATGGAAAATTATGCCCAGAAAAAAAAAATTGGCAGAAAACACACAAAATGTCAAAAACTTTAACGGGAAAGATCTTTAAGGTTATGGTGAGCTTTTTCTTTTACTTTCACGTACTTTTCTTCTATATCAAGTTTTACATTTATAATTGGGGAAAAATAAACTGTTTGTTTCTTTGGACATGTGCTCTGTTTCTTTTATTCTTACTGTATTTTGAGCTCTGGTGACCATATTGTTCTAGTAATCACAGGCAACTATTGCTCAAGTGAGCTACAGCCTTGGAAAATAAAACCATTCTATAATCTACAAAAAATTCTTTGCGTTCTACATCTAAAAAATGCTCCCCTGCTGTGTGTTCCTGCTGTACCATTTTTCCAGTCACTTAATAATTGGAGACATTAACCCTGATCACTTGCAAATTTTCCATTTAAATTTATTTTTAGGTAAACAGATGCTTGGGAAAACTGCCACCATAGGGATGTAGGAGAAAGGAAGTTATAACTTGATCCTGAAATCATTTGAGGGAATTATTTCCAAAGCATAATAAGACGCTTATATATTTGAGTGTCAGAGTAATCTGGGAGAATGGATTTATATTAATTTTTTCATGTAAATATAGTGTGTCTTTATTATGTGCAGATCCTATGTGAAGGCTTTGTTTGTACTATTTCATGTAGCCCTCATAAAACTTTATAAAATATGTAATGTCATCACTTTTCAGTTGAGGAAACTGATACTTAGATGGATTAAAAATTTGAAACTCCACCACTCTGATTCCAGCTCATGCTAGAATTTTACGCTTTAGCTATTGGCTTTTGTAATCAGGAAGACTTGCCTTCTGATCTCAGTGCGTCAGAAGGATCACTTAGAAGCTGGTGACTCCAGTTTTCTCATCAGTAAAATGGGGACAAGAAAATCAAAGACAAAGGTAATAAAATCCGTGCAGTTGCAAGGATGAAAGTAGTTAATGCCATCAGCATCAGTTGGAGAAAATCCCTCTGATTCCAGGGCATCTCTTCCAAGTAAAAACTACCAAAATGAGCTTAGAGATAGGCATCTCTGGAAATGTTTCCTTGTCCTGCCTGTAAAAATTTGACAGTATTTCTCCACAGACTGTAGCCATATCCAACCCCCTGGCTCGCACAGCACTGATTAAAAAACGGATTGCCAGCAGTCATCTGTGATTGTCTACCATGAAGTGCTGCTCTTCTCTTCCTCCACCCAATTGCCCCATGCACTATTCATGAGTTCTACAATATTCCAAACTTTAATTTCCACAGATTAATTCTCACTAATTATTCACCATATGAACCTTCGCAGGAGAATTCCACTGGAAGCTCTTCCATCCTGAGGCAGGGAAGGCAATGTCGAATCGTTTTTTGATTTCAAGTGGAAAACAAACTAATTATGTGGAAATATGATAATAGATTGCGCTGCAGGGACCAGTCCTCTGCAGGCTTCAAAATGTTTGCTTATGATCAGCTCTTCATGTTATTTCTTCCAGGAGGAGCTGCCCTTTCATAATACATCAACATTATTGACTGGCCTGTGATTCCTTACTTGGAGTTAAGATAATTTGCATAATTGTATATTACTTCCGTCTGGTAGAAACAAACAAGATGTTTGGGTGCTAATGATCAGGCAAGCAGCGGTGACTGCCGGGAAAAATAGCATTAGTAAAGTCCAAAAACAACGAAGAACAGCTTCTCTCCTTGGCATCTTTCATCACTTTCTTTGACGTAACTCTGTTCCACTTGGCCACAGGCATTGTTTCTTATCTGGTTGTCCAAGCTTAGGAGGTGATCTGGCTAGACATATATTCCAAATCTGCAAAAATATAAAGCACTGTTAGGCTGTGAACTTTCATACTTTGTATTTGCTTAGGTCACTTCTTCTGCCTAAGCATGAATCTCTTCCTTCTTCTCTCTGGCAGAAATGGTCTTATCCTTTGATAAGGTCTTATCAGCATTTGTGCTGATCCTCCTTTTGATACCCCCCAACTTTTCCACCTACTGTGCATCATTCTTGAAAGGAAAACCATATCAAATGAACAGAGTAGATACAGGAGGCACAAAGTAGGTGCTAACCACATACATTCTCACTCATTCAATTAATAGTTTTTGAGCTTTACAATTTGCTAGTTGTATTCTTGTCACTTCGAATAGAGGAGCTAACAAGTAGGACAAAAACAAATCCTCCTTTCTTTTAATTCAACAACACTTCTCTGTTGTAATTCATATCCCTATTTAGCAATTATTCATTTGGACTTGTAGTACATCTGATAGAGTGATAGTTTACTTGTCTCTATAACTCCATGACCAGACACACAGTAAGTGCTAAATAAATGTCTGTTAAATAGACTTGATATTTCAAAAGAGTGGATCATGCAACCTATTTGATGTATTAAATCAAGTATACAGATAGGGGTACATTACTTGCCAGCTCTATATGATTGGTAGTGGCTGCATCAAATGCTGAGAAAAGAATTTTGAGGCTGTATATGTTCAGTGGAAAAGTTTTTTGTGATTGATTAGTAATGTCTGCAATGAAAATATTAATGGAGAATAGCAAACCACATGTCAAGTGATTATTGCATTCTTGCTAAAAAAAATTTAACCTTGGGCATCTTCAAGAGACTTAATAGCTATACATACGTGCTGGAGAGGATGTGGAGAAATAGGAACACTTTTACACTGATTGGTGGGACTGTAAACTAATTCAACCATTGTGGAAGTCAGTGTGGCGATTCCTCAGGGATCTAGAACTAGAAATACCATTTGACCCAGCCATCCCATTACTGGGTATATACCCAAAGGATTATAAATCATGCTGCTATAAAGACACATGCACACGTATGTTTATTGCAGCACTATTCACAATAGCAAAGACTTGGAACCAACCCAAATGTCCAACAGTGATAGACTGGATTAAGAAAATGTGGCACATATACACCATGGAATACTATGCAGCCATAAAAAAGGATGAGTTCATGTCCTTTGTAGGGACATGGATGAAGCTGGAAACCATCATTCTCAGCAAACTATCTCAAGGACAAAAAACCGAACACCGCATGTTCTCACTCATAGGTGGGAACTGAACAATGAGAACATGTGGACACAGGAAGGGGAACATCACACACCGGGGCCTGTTGTGGGGTGGGGGGACGGGGGAAGGATAGCATTAGGAGATATACCTGATGTTAAATGACGAGTTAATGGGTGCAGCACACCAACATGGCACACGTATACATATGTAACCAACCTGCATGTTGTTCACATGTACCCTAATACTTAAAGTATTAAAAAAAAAATGTGTTCAGTGGGTGGAGTTGATGAGTTTTTCAGGTTGCCTACAGTTCAAGTGTTAAACAGGTTATGATCTACCAAGATGGTTGCAATATTATGGTTTTGGACATTAAACCCTTGAAATAAAACATTTTGATTTACTCTCTATGGAAGTAATAAGATCTGCCATTATTGGGCTAGACACCTTCCATGTATTATCCTATTGAATTAGTCCCAGCAACACTGCACATTAGGTAATTTTAATCCCATTTTACTGATGTAGAAACCAAAGCTCAGAAATGTGACCAAGATAAAAAAGATTATGAATGGAAAATAGAAAATTTAAGTCCAGTTTGTCCTGACTCCAAAGTATATGCGTTCCCCGTGTATTCCCAAGGCAAATTGTTATTTAGTTCTTCCAGTCTAACATGTATTGCTATGCATTTCAGAGAAAGTGGCCCTTTGACCTAGTGGACAATGAGACAAACAAATGTGAAGCATTCCAATGATTGTGGTCTTTGTGGGTGCTAGAGGAGCAGGGACCGTCTGTAAGGGTGTATGTGCAGACAGATTGAAGTGGGAAAGTGGCTTCAAATAGAAAAAGGTTGAAAATGGAAAATAACTCCTTTCATTGAGTGTATTTTTCATGCCAGGAGTTGGGTTACTTACTGAATGGTGAAGACTTTTAAGGATGAGCATTATCATCTCCATTTCTCAGAATAAGAAAATACAAGCTCAGATAAATTGAGTAACTAGATTAATGAAAAGAGGGATCTAGTTTATTCTATTTGTCCACTACTGTATCCCTAATTCAGTATCACATCTTCTGCCTGGCACAAATTAGACACTAAACAAACAAATAAATATAGAGAAATATATATATATATATATATATATATGAGATATTTATTTATTTATTTATTTATCTATCTATCTATTTAGAGACAGAGTCTCGCTCTATTGCCCAGGCTGGAGTCAGTGGTGCAATCTCCACTCACTGCAACCTCTGCCTCCCAGGTTCAAGTGATTCTCCTGCCTCAGCCTCCCGAGTAACTGGGACTACAGGTGCACGCCACCATGCCTGGCTAATTTTCGTATTTTTAGTAGAGATGGGGTTTCACCATATTGGCCAGGCTGGTCTCGAACTCCTGACCTCGTGATTCGCCTGCCTCAGCCTCCCAAAATGCTGGGATTACAGGTGTAAGCCACAGTGCCTGGCCAAGAAATATTTTTTTTATGAAAAAGGTTAATGAGAAATAATCCAGGTTTTGGCCAGGCACGGTGGCGCATGCCTGTAATCCCAACACTCTGGGAGGCCGAGGTGGGCAGATCACGAGGTCAGGAGATCGAGACCATCCTGGCTAACATGGTGAAACCTTGCCTCTACTAAAAAATACAAAACAAACAAACAAACAAAAAAGCCAGGCATGGTGGTGGGCGCCTGTAGTCCCAGCTACTCTGGAGGTGGAGCTTGCAGTGAGCAGAGATTGCACCACTGCACTCAGCCTGGGTGACACAGCAAGACTCCATCTCAAAAAAAAAAAAAAAAAAAAAAAAAAAAAAAGAAATAATCCAGGTTTTAAATCCAGGTCTATTCAACTCCAAAGCCTGTGCTATTGCTATCATGCCAGGCACCCCTTGGGGAGTTTAAAATGTGCTTGAGACTTTGAAACAAGTTCCATCTTTCCAGTATAACTTCTTACACAGCTGCATCAATGCAGCTGGATTTTTGGAAAAATGTTTATAAGAAGGCTTGGCAGGTTTCTTGTACATTAACTATCCTTACAAAATAATATTTTGATGGATTACATGTAAATGAATCAGAAACATATGGCTTCCATTTCCTTTAGAATGCTCACACGCAGATCATTTTTATGTGTTTGGTGAAATGGATTTTCCTGTATGCCACTTCCCCGTGCCTCTCTCCTTTCATCCCCCAGTGCATTATATCCAAGAAGACAGGAAGATCTTCTAAGAATTTCACAGAAACTTTGAACCAGAAACAGAGATGGAAGCATCTCTACTTCTGACTACACAACATAGATGAATTTTCCTTTCATTTCCAATAGCAGAGACAACTACAGTAAGGAAAGTTAGGAGATTGTCTAGGACTTCCCTAAACTGTGAACCTCTCATCACAATATACCCTTTTACTCAACTTGGAAATGCTTAACACTCAGTCAATGCAGATGAGGAGATTTCCTCTTCATGTTCACAATGTTAAATGATGTAAACATTACACTGTAAATGTGTACATATTTTGAGCCATTTTTTAAAAAAGAATTTGCTTTGGGGTACTATATCTGAGAAACTGACTGGAATGGGCTTTTCAGATACTTGTTTAGAAAGCGTAATAGCTATTATGCAGTCTGTGAAATATAAAATGCACCCATCATGATGTCATAGCAAATACAGTAACTGCAACATACACACCACTTCACTAGGGCTGCAGAATGAAATGATGACCAAATGGACCACAAGGAAAATTGGTACTATCCAATTAAGCTTTTGCTTTTTGTATTTATTCTCAAAGCCAGTTTCTACATCATAATGGTTGTCCTTAATATTCAACTTAGATCAATTTAGAAGGTAAGGTATCTATGGTTAGTGGTTTATAACAAAAGGGTATTATAATATTCAACTAGATATGTTAGACTTTACAAGGCACTTGTACATTCTATAAGTTGGAAAGAACAGGGTCATGGCAGAAAATATGATCCTATTCCAGTTAGAAAAGAGGTAACTTCAAAAGAAAGTAAAGTGTACAGGTTTCACCTAAGCCCATAAACGTCACAAACTCACATGTCTCAGGATCAAGGTAAATGGGTGAATGTAGTTTTGATGAAATTCAGTCAGGTTTGTTGGGGGCTGTGAAAAGCAGAAGTGAGTTCAATCTGCCTGTAACATATTCAAACCCACAAGTTTTAAATCACTAGAGGCAGATAGATTTCTGAATCACAGAAATAAATATGACTTTGGATATCTGGTTTTTAACCTCTGTGACCAGTCATCACTGTGCAAAACTTTGTCTCTTACATCTGCAAACATTTCCTCTACTTTCCACCCTTGTCTACTTCCTCCAGGCTGTCTTCATCTACAAATGGGATGACTTGACTGGCAGTAGCGAGTTGGCCTGAATTTACTCTTAAGAATAGTGAACAGTAGTGAGGTTCTACCTTTTTCCTTCTCCAATTACCTTCTCTCCTCTCATATAATGTATGTTTTCAGGAAAGGATCTGATCGTGTTCAAAGCAATGTGATTTATATCCAGGAAAAGGAGTTTCATTTGGAGAAAAGAAAGCACCAGAGTCATGTTTTCAGATTGGAAGGGCAAGGCTAGAATATTAAAGAGAGCAAGAAAAAAGGGCAATAATAAAGAAGGTGGATAAAAAGAGCAAGGAAATATCGTTTATCAATAAAGTTAATTTAATATAAACTATGTATTTTTAGTTCTTTGCTTAGGTTTTTCATCATAGTTCCGTATGGGGTCAATTGTCAGATATTCTGTGTGGCGTTCATTTGGAAAAGTATTACATCCTATCTCACAGAATTGCTTCATTGAGATGTGGTGTGATGTAATGGCTGAGATTATAGGCTTTGCAGTAAGAGATCTGTGTTTGAGATCTGGATTCCCAAATTTTCCTAAGGTTATATCATTTTTACATCATAGGATATTATCTGGTATTTATTCAAAATATTTATTGAATAGTTATTTTAGATATGTTAGATTTTACAAAGCACTTTTACATTCTTTGTCTTATGTACCCCAAAAATACCTTTGTTAAAACGGAAGGGAAAAAATAAGTAATACAATTTTTCACATTTGAGAAACACTAAGATAGAGATTCATAGAATTTATATGAGTTTATGAAGACCACAAAGCTAGTAAGTGTCAGAGTTGGGACTAAGAATCTGTATCTTCTAACTGTTAGACTGTATTTTTTCTGTAGTATACTTCAACAAAAGACTGGATAAAAAGTGTGGATGGGTCTGCTTATCCACCCAATAAAATGGAGGCAACTCAAAGGATTTCAGGACACATGAAATAGTGAAAATCATTTTTGTTTGCAAAATGGTTTGTCATTTTTGTTAGAAGAAAAAGATGTTAAAGAAAAGCTTTTTAGAGAACAGCATAGTAAAATCAGCAATCAGAAAGCTAGCTTACTTTTATATATTCGGATTCACTTTCACTTGGAATGAATTAAGTGCATAGCAATGAAACAAACCTCTGACTATAGTAAAATTAAACTCAAAGGGCATTGTTAAGGAATAGATGTTTGTGTTCCTCCAAATTCATTTGTTTGTCCCCCAAGCCCCAATCACATTGGGGGGTAATTAGGTTAAATGAGATCATGAGAGTAGAGCCCCAGAATGGGACTGGTGTTCTTATAAGATGCAGAAGCTGCTTCTCTTGACCATGTGAAGACACAGAGAGAAGGTGTGCAAGCCAGAAGGAGGGTCCTCACAAGGAATTAAATCTGCTGGCACATTAATCTTACACTTCCTAGGTTCCATAACTGTGAGCAATAAATACCTGCTGCTTAAGTCATCCAGTTGATTGTATTTTCTTATATGCATCTTGTAGAATATAAAATTCCTCCAGACATCTAAGATAAAATATTTCATTAGGGAAACAAACCTATAAAAAGAATCAAATAGAAAGTCCAGAAAACCTAAATGCGCATCAATAGTAGACTGCATAAAGAAAATGTGGCACATATATACCATGGAATACTATGCAGCCATAAAAAGGAACAAGATCATGTCCTTTGCAGGGACATGGATAGAGTTGGACATGGATGACATGAATGAGATCATGTCCTTTGCAGAGACATGGATAGAGATGGACAAATCCTCATGGATTAGTCCTCAGCAAACTAATGCAGGAACAGAAAACCAAATACCACCTGTTCTCACTTATAAGTTAGAGGTGAATGATGAGAACATATGGACACATGGGGTGGATACAACACACTCTGGGACCTGTCAGAGGGTGGGGCTGGGAGGAGGGAGAGCATCAGGAAGAATAGCTAATGGACGCTGGGCTTAATATCTAGCTGATGGAATGATCTGTGCAGCAAACCACCATGGCACATGTTTACCTATGTAACAAACCTGCACATCTTGCGCATGTACCCTGAACTTAAAATAAAAGTTAAAAAAGAAAGTCTACAGTGAAAAATGTAATTTATGAAATTAAACAGTTAATAGACTAGGCTTAAAGCAGATTGGACATAGAGGAAAGAAGGTTAAATGTACTGGAAGATAATTTCATAGAAAATATCAGAAATGCAGAGAGGAGAAAAGATGGACAATGTAGAAAAGAGTACAAGAGAATATGGAACATGGATGAAAGGTCTCATGTATGTGTAATTAGAGCCACAGTAGACGAGGAGTGATGGAGGGGAGAAGACAGTGGAAAAACAGTGTTTGAAAAACTACTGTCTTAGAATTTTCCAAAACTTAAAAAAAGACATCAAGCCACAGTAACGGAAGAAATCTGTAAACCTCAAGAAGAATCAATACAAAGAATTGTAGCAGATGTTTTGTGTGTACTTTACAGAAAATTGTTGAACATCTACATACGAAGATGAAGGGAAAACTTGAAAGCAGTCAGAGGAAAAAAAAGGACACATTACCTTCAAATGGACAATAAGATGGATGGCTAATTAAAATATTATTGCAGTATAATTGATGTTTGCTACATTGTACATATTTAAAGTGTACAATGTGATCATTTTCCACGTATGTATATACATGTAAAAGCATCACCGGAATAAAGATTACAAACATTTCTGTTACTCCTCAGAGTTCCTTATGCCACTGTGTAATCCAACCATCCTCTACCCCATCCCCAGAAAACTGATTTGCTTTCTGTTACTGTAATTAGTTTGGATATCCTATAATTTTTCATATGGATGGAAATGCAGTATGTATTTTGCCTGGCTTCTTTTACTCAGCATAGCAATTTTGAGATTTATTCATTTTGTTGCATGTATCAATAGTTCATTCCTTTTTATTAAGTAATGTTTCCTTGCATGATTACACCACAGTTTATCTATTCCTCTGTTGATGGACATTTGGACTATTTCAACTTTTGCCTATGAACATTTGTGTAAAATGAACATTTGTGTGAAAACCTTTGTGTTGACCTGTGTTTTTGATTTTCTGTGGTAAATACCTAGCAATAGAATGGTTGGATTCTTTAGTAGGTATATGTATGACTTTTTAAGAAACTGTCAGTTTTCTAAAGTGGTAGTGCCATTTTGTATTCCCTAAATGGCGAAACAGAATCCACCTGTTCTGCATCCTCATCAACACTTGATATTTTTAATTTTTAAAATTTTAGTCTTCCTAATAGGCTTGTAGCATATTTCATTATGGTTTTAATTTGAATATTATTTATGCCTAATGATGTTGAACATATTTTCAAGTGCCTTTTGACAATTACTATATCTTTATTTTAGAAGTGACTTTTAAAATCTTTGCCCATTTTATTAATGGGTTGTTAATCTTCTTATTTGTAAGAATGTTACATATTTGTGATAGAAGTCCTTTGATATATATGTTGCCGATACATATGTGCAACAGTCTCGCTCTGTTTGGAGAAGATGTACCATATAAACATACTATACACTACACATAATTTTCAAGTGCACAGTCTTGCTCTGTCACCCAGACTAGAGTAGAGTAGCACAATCATGGCTCACTGCAGCATTGACTGCCTAGGCTCAAGCTATCCTCCCACCTCAGCCCCCTCCACCCTCCTGAGTATCTCAGACCACAGGTGTGTGCCAGCATGCCAGGCTAATTTTTTAAAATTTTTTGTAGAGATGGGGTTGCACTATGCTGCCTGAGCTGGTCTGGAACTCCTGGGCTGTAATGATCCTCTGGCCTCCTCAGCCTCCCAAAATGTTGGGATTACAGGTATGAGCCACTGCACCCAGTCTATTTTGGAAATATTTTTTTGTGACTTGCCTTTTGGCATTCTTAATGACATATTTTTAAGTGCAAAACTTAAAATCTTAATGAGGTTCAATATATTATTTCTTTCCTTTATGGCTCATGTTCTTTGTGTTCTATCTAAGAAAACTTTGCCAACCTCCAAGGATAAAAAACATTTTCTCATATGCATTATTTTAGAGGTTTTGTTTTAGGTTTTACATTTAGTTTTGTGATCCATTTAGAGTACATTTTGTTTATGTAAGATCTGGTGTTCACTTTTGTATTGGTATCTAATTGATCCGACACCATTTGTTGAATGACTTTCATTTCCACCTTTAATTGGCTTGGCATCTTTGTCAGAAATCAACTGACCACATTTGTGCGGACCTACTTCTAAATTCGCTATTCTGTTACATATATATGTATATAAATATAATCACCAATAACAATAAAATATGTAACTATATATAAATAATATATATTAGCTAAATATATAAAATAATATTATAATATATAATAAATATAAATTACATATAAACAATATTTATTAGCTAAATATATTAAAATATATAATAAATATAAATTATATATTATATATAAATATAAATATATATATAAATAATATATATATTTTAGCTAATACCAAACTGTTTGGAATACTGAATCTTCCCAGTTAGTCTTGAAATCAGACAGTTTTTAAGTCCTCAAACTTTGTTTTTTTTTTTTGTAATTTTCAAAGTTGTTTAGCTATTCTAGGTCCTTTGCATTTTCACATAAATTTTAGGCTCAGCTTACTGATTCCTACAAAAGAAGGCTTTTGGAATTTTGATTAAAGTTGTGTTGAGTATGCTGATCACTCAGGTGAGAATTAATTGATAGAAGCTAGAAGATCATGGGGTAACAATTTTAAGTGCTAAAAGAAAATAATTAGCAGTGTAGAATTGTAATTACAATGAGAATATCCTCCAGAAGTTTAGGTGAAATTAAGATATTTTCAAACAAATCTATTGCAATTAGCCATTGCAGGTAAATCTACCAAAAGGAAATACCAAAGTGAATTATTCAGGCAAAGGAACATGCTCTAAGACAGAAGTATGAAAATGCAAAATAGAATAAAAAGTAACAAAAAGCGTAAATATATACAGTGGGTTTAAGTAAATATAGATTGTATAAAGCAATAACAGTTGGTTGTTTTATTTAACATAGATGTAGAGTTAAAGTTCATAACAACAGTAGCAAAAAAGATAGGATGAGGGTAAATTAAATATTCTAAAATCCTTGAATTTCCTGTTAAGTGATAACATTATTAACTTTTAGAAGACTCTGACCCGTAAGGATTTGTGTTGTAAACTGTGGGATAACCATAAAGAGAAAAATGAAAGAATTCATTCTTAGCCCACTGATAGAGAGAAAAAGGACTTAAAAGAATGTTCCACAAATTAAAGAAAACAATAAAAAGAGAAAAAGAACAAAAATTACAAAAAACAAAGAAAAATAAATCGTAGAATAGTAGATATTAACCCACACAAATCAGTAAGCACAAATTACATTATCAATATTCCAATAAAAAGTGAAAATATCTCAAGATGGATATTCAAGTGCAGGCTGTTTATAAAAGACTAATTTTAAGTATAAGGTCTCATTAACTATGGAGGTAAAAGTACGAGAGAAGATGTACTATACACATGTGCATACACTACATGTATACATGTGCTATACACTGCACATAATTTTCAAGTACACAGAAACATTTACCAAAGTTAATCCATATGCTATGCTGAAAAGCAAATCTTAACAAATTTTATCTACTTGAAACTATGTATAGGCTATTCACTGTCTGAAGCAGAATTAAGCTAGAAATCAATAGTAACAAAAAATGAAAACTAAACTTAAAAAATTAAAAAAAATTACCAAATATTTGAATTTTTTTTGAAGGACACGTGGGTCAAAGAAGAAATCACAGCCAAAATTAGAAAATATTTTTAACTAAATGGTAGTAAAAATATGACTGTCAAACTTGTAGGATGCAGATAAAGCTAGTAGGGTAAATGTATTCCCTTAAAATTCATATGGCAACATAAAAAAGTCTGAAACTAATGATCTATGTATTTATCTCAAGAAGATAGAAACATAATATCAGACCTCAGAAAGCTACAAGGAAGTAATTAATATGTATAAGCAGCAAAAAATATTGAAATATAAAATAAAACTATATAATACAGAACACCAAACAATCCAAAATATATTTTTTGATAAAACTAGTAAAACTGATTAACTTTCATCAGGATTTATAAAACAAGGAGAGAGAATGAAAGAAAGGTGCATAGCAGCAATAACAATAAAAGGGGACTTTACTACAGATAAATTCATTAGAGCAATCGTAAGTAGCTACTATAAACAACTTGATGCACAAACTTTGAAAATTTAGACAAAATGGATACATTCCTTGAAATATACAACTTAAATATACAACTTAAAGAAATTAGCAATGAAATAAATCAATATAAAATTTACCTGTATTTGTTAAAGAAATTGAATCCATAAATTATAAATCTTCTCACAAAGAAAAGTCTATGTCTAGATAGCTTTATGGGTGAACTCTTTTCAAAAGTCTATAAAAGAATTAACATCATTTCTTTTTTTTTTTAGATTTTTTTCTTTTTTTAAAAATTTTATTTATTATACTTTAAGTTTTAGGGTACATGTGCACATTGTGCAGGTTAGTTACATATGTATACATGTGCCATGCTGGTGCGCTGCACCCACTAACTCGTCATCTAGCATTAGGTATATCTCCCAGTGCTATCCCTCCCCCCCTACCCCCACCCCACCACAGTCCCCAGAGTGTGATATTCCCCTTCCTGTGTCCATGTGATCTCATTCTTCAATTCCCACCTATGAGTGAGAATATGTGGTGTTTGGTTTTTTGTTCTTGCGATAGTTTACTGAGAATGATGATTTCCAATTTCATCCATGTCCCTACAAAGGACATGAACTCATCCTTTTTTATGGCTGCATAGTATTCCATGGTGTATATGTGCCACATTTTCTTAATCCAGTCTATCATTGTTGGACATTTGGGTTGGTTCCAAGTCTTTGCTATTGTGAATAACGCCGCAATAAACATACGTGTGCATGTGTCTTTATAGCAGCATGATTTATAGTCCTTTGGGTATATACCCAGTAATGGGATGGCTGGGTCAAATGGTATTTCTAGTTCTAGATCCCTGAGGAATCGCCACACTGACTTCCACAATGGTTGAACTAGTTTACAGTCCCACCAACAGTGTAAAAGTGTTCCTATTTCTCCACATCCTCTCCAGCACCTGTTGTTTCCTTACTTTTTAATGATTGCCATTCTAACTGGTGTGAGATGGTATCTCATTGTGGTTTTGATTTGCATTTCTCTGATGGCCAGTGATGATGAGCATTTTTTCATGTGTTTTTTGGCTGCATAAATGTCTTCTTTTGAGAAGTGTCTGTTCATGTCCTTCGCCCACTTTTTGATGGGGTTGTTTGTTTTTTTCTTGTAAATTTGTTTGAGTTCATTGTAGATTCTGGATATTAGCCCTTTGTCAGATGAGTAGGTTGCAAAAATTTTCTCCCATTTTGTAGGTTGCCTGTTCACTCTGATGGTAGTTTCTTTTGCTGTGCAGAAGCTCTTTAGTTTAATTAGATCCCATTTGTCAATTTTGTCTTTGGTTGCCATTGCTTTTGGTGTTTTGGACAGAATTAACATCATTTCTACAAGAAACCTTTTCAGAGACTAGAAAAAGGGGAATTGGTTTTAACTTATTTGCAGTGATCAGCATAACCTTGAAACCAAGATACAATAAAGCATATTACAAGAAAGAAAAATTACAGGCCAATCTCTCTTGTAAACCGAGATACAGAAATTGTAGAGAAAAATATTAGAAAACAGACTTCCCAATCATAAAAAAGGATAATACATCACAATCAAGTTGGCTTTATGTAGGAATAAAAGTTTGTTTGACATTTGAAAATCAATCATTGCATTAAGAAAATAAAAGGGAAAAATCACAGTTATCTCAAAAGGTTAAGGAAAAGTCAACACTACCTACGATAAAAAAGAAATTTCTTAGCAAACTGAAAACCAAAGATTTATAACTACGAATAGAAGGATATTACTTAAACTTATAGGTATCTATTAGAAACATACTTATTCATGGAATGTTGAAAGTTTCCCCCTTGAAATTGGAAGCAAGATGATTATTTGTTATTTCAACCACTTTTCAACATTTTCTGAAGTTCCTATCCAATGAAATAAGGTGAGACCAAAGTCAATAAAAGGCTTAAGGACTAAAAAGAAAAAAGAAAACTTTCATTTTTCAGAGAAATAAAGCCCAAACTGTTGAAGTTAATAATTGAATTTAACAATAATGGGAGATTCAAAGTCCATAAACAAAAATTAATTATATTTCTATAAATTGGAAACAATTAAAAAATTAGAGATAAATTTAATGAATTATTTGAGAACTTTACACAGAAAAGTACAAAATATTACTGAGAGAAATTAAAGAAACTTGAAATAAATGGAAAGATTGTGCTCTTGAATTAAACCAGTCAATATTACAAATATCAATTTTCCCCAAATTGAATTCTGGTTTCAATGCAATTTCAATAATTATTCCAGTAAGTAGGGGTAGGATGTGGTGGAAGATGTGACCTCTGGTACAGAGGCCAATAAAGATGTGCTTACAGTCATTAGTAAGGATTTTAGATTTTATGTCCTAAGTCTGCATTTCCGTGAAGCCTGATCATTTATCCTATTACTAAGACTTTGACCCAATTTCTTGAAAAATAACAATTCTGGCCACATATTGATAAGAATTGCTTTGTCTCCTCTATACCTTGGGTTTATATTATAAAGAAAGAATCATCCTATAGATTCAGGCACAAATGGCTTCTCTATAACCAGCATATGTTCTTTTTTCCCTGACCTAGATGGGAAAGGTTAGTAGGTTGAAGGGAAGGTATGTGCAATTCATCATAGTGCAGAAAGCTCTCCTGGACTTGAGTGTGGAAGGGGCATGTGCAAAGCAAGAGTGGAAGCAGGAAGGTCAGTGAAGAGGCCATTTCAGTCAGTGGTCCAATGAGATAATGAAGAACTGAAAGGCAATATGGATTCCTAAGTAGCTCACAAAACAGATATCTAGTCTGATCGAAATGAAAGTCACACAGCATAAAGAGACCTGGTATTCTACATTTCAAATTCATGGCCTCTACAATGTGCCCCTTGCAAGTGACATTTCCAGTGACTCCAACAAAGAGGCCCCAGTACAATCAGCCAGGGATTGACAAGGGAAGTTTGGCCGATTGTTGCACGTTTTCTCTCATTGACATCTCTCCCAGTGGGCAACTGGTGGGGATACTGTACTGTCTTCAATGTGGAATTAAGGCACAGTCCCATAAGCCTTTATAAGAGTTTGAGGATGTATACAAAGGAACTCTGGAAAATCATACAATGGCAATGGATGATAGTATTATGGCCAAATCTCATGTTTCAGTGAGGACCAAAGTGTTAACCAAGGCCACATAATGCAAAAAGCATAGGCTTGGGAGTGGGACAGGTCCCAGCACCACCACAGCCAAACTGCAATTTCAAGTCAACTACATCACCTTGCTGAGACTCTATTTCTTTACCATGAAATAAACATCATAATAGTTTACATGCAGAAGGACAGGTTGATCAGGAAGGGCTGAGTCCTAGGATGCACTAGACCAGCCTGGTAAAGATGCTTAGTAAGACTTACAGAAACATGGTGTTATTGCTGATCTCAAAGACCCAATGCCTTGAGATCAGTAATCTGGCAGTTTCAGCCAATTCACTATAAATGAAGGAGAAATAGCAAATTAGAATATATCTGCGTAGATGCTTAAAATTTTCCAGGGTGTGGAAAGAAATGAAGAGGGAAATTCCTGGCCAGTTACTGAAGTTCTCATTAAAGGTGAATTATCTGGAGGTCAGTTGAAGACAATAATAAGATGAGGTCTGGATGTTACAGCTGCATTACTCTGGAATTCACTCTCCTTTAATAAGCAATGATCTCTTGTACCTCTGTGCTATTGCACATTCATGTTCCTCTACCGAGAACAATTTTTGCTTCTATATTTGATTAACTCTTACTTGTTCTTTAAAAACGGCTGTACACATAGCTACCAGGTGGTTAGTGGTACTGTGTAAAGTGAATTACATATACTTTCCGGAGTGTGTTAGGAGTCATGTGAAAGTGACAGAAACCTAACCAAAATGGCTTAAACAAACAGAGCTTTGAGTGGCTCAGGATGCAGGAGTGGTTCTTGCCAGGGATCTGTTTCTCCTGGTCTCATGGCTCTTCCTGTTTCTCTGTTGGCTTCAGGCTCAAGCTGGCCCTGGCACTAGCAGCTCCAGCCAACTCTACTGAAAAGAACTCTCCTTTCCCATTCATTCTAGCAACAATTCTAGGGTCAGTTTAGGTCATGTGCAGATCGCTGAACCAATCTCTATAGGATGTAGTAATCTAACTGGACAGGCCTGGGTCCTAAACCAGTCCAGGAGCCCAGAAGCCCGGGAAGTGATTTCACGGTTCATGATTACTGTTTTGTTTGATTGTGTTTCTCCGCTATACTGACAGCTCCACAAGGGCTTACTGCACTTCAGAGCTCACAGGACTGTATCAAGGTGGCAGAGGGTTGTGGTTAGGTTAGTAGAGGCAGGAGGCACAGTAGTTGAGAGAATAGACTCCAGAGACAGACGGTCTTGGTCAGAATTCAGGCTCTGGCAGCTTGGAGTAATCACTTATTCTTCTTGTGCCTGTTTCTTCATCTCTAAAATGGGAATAATAATAATAGTACTTAAATCATAGGGTCACAGTGAGTATTAAATGAATTAAGACACACAAAGTGTTTATAATCGTACCTGGAACTTTTTGAGACTATACACACACACACACACACACACACACACACATTTGAGAATGTGTGTGTCTGTGTATGTATTCATATGTTGCTTAATGATGGGGCTATGCTCTGAGAAATGCATCATTAGGCCATTTAATCATTGTGCGAACATATCATAGATCAAGTTTGTCCAACCTGCGGTTTGTAGGCCACATGCAGCAGGACAGCTTTAAATGTGGCCTAACACAAATTTGTAAACTTTCCTAAAACATTGTGAGTTTTTTTGTGATTTTCTTTAGCTTATCAGCTATTATTAGTGTTAGTGTATTTTATGTGTGGCCCAAGACAATTCTTCTTCTTCCAGTGTGCCCAGGGAAGCCAAAAGACTGGACACCCCTGTCATAGAGTGTACTTACACAAACCTAGATGGTATATATACCCCACTATATACCTAGACTATATGACATAGTCTATTGCCCTTAGGTTACAAATCTGTACAGCATGTTACTATACTGAACACTGCAGGCAGTTGTAACACAGTGGTAAGTATTTGTGTATTAAACCTATCTAAACATAGGAAAGGTACACTAAAAATACCGTATTATAATCTTATGGGACTACTTTTGTATATGCAGTCATTGTTGACCAAAATGTCATTATATGATGTATGACTGAATATCATTATATACATTTATAATGTGTTTCTTACTACAACATTCTTGGGATTTAGCATAGTAGTATATACTTTATGTTTTTAGTTAATAAATATTACTCTTCTCCAAAATCCTAAGAATTTAGTAATTTGATTTTCATTTTACAGATGAAGAAAAGTGAGGCATAGAAAGGTCAAGTAACTTGTTCAAGGTCATATAGCTAGTGATTATTTGAGGTGACATTGATCTTAGATCTGTCTGACTGCAGAGTCTGGGCACTTAAACACCTCACTAATCAGCTTTTGAGACTTAGCTTCACTATAAACACTTCTGGAAGAATGTTCTTAGTGCCAGCACCTGCCATGATGAGAGATTTTCTCCTCTCTGTGTTTCTCTTATGTGCCAGTTTGTGTCTCTGATGATAGGGTTTGCACTTTTCTCATCTGAATCTCTAGGTGCCAACACAGAGTCATTGGGCTTGACCTGTTAGGTGTCAGTAATTGTTAGTTAAATAAATGAGTGTCAAATGATGATGTGGAAGGCATCCAGGAGTATGAAGAATAAGTTAATTCCTCCTCTTACCTTTGGAAGACAGCCTGTGGGAGACTTTTCTTTTGGGAAAGAGAGTAATGAAGGAGGTGGCGTGGTGGTGTCTTATTTATTCACAACAGAGAGGGTTTTGCAGATCACCGTGTAGTGAAACTGGCAGACGGATCAGCTGGCAAGGATCTTAGAGACTCTAAAATGCAATTTTCCATTTAACAAACAAGGGCAATAAAGCTCAGTGAGTGAAAGTGACTTGCCCATAGTCGCATCAGTCTGGAAAGGGCCAAAGTGAGAAGCTAGTCTTCTGAAGCCCCGTTACAGATTGTTAATATTATCACATATGATGAACAATGTAGGGAAATAAAACAGCCCAGGGGAAATAAAGAGATACTAGCTGTATGGGAAAGAGTTTGAAAATGAAAAAGAGAACATTAAACGTTTAGCAAATGAAGAAAAATGCACTAAGGACTGCAACAGGAAAAGAGACAGGGAAAAATTTATCAACTTAATGTATATCAGGCAGAAGTCAACCAACCTGGTGCTGGGCTTGGTTTTGGAGCAGGGAAGATACTCTCAGCTGTGTTGGAGTAGAATAGATTACTTGGCTACTCTGAAATAAATTCAGGTAGATGACCAGTCAATGTGAACTGCCCAGGAACACAGCAGATCCCAAGACTTCCTTTATTCTTTCCCTTGGAGAAAAGGTAAATGCTTGCAAAGGGCAGACACACTCTGACCCTGCCTGGTACCATGGAAAGAATGCAGGCGCTGGGTCCTACATCCTGGCTTTAATATTCTCTAGGTCTGCGGCATTGAGCAACCTACTTACCCTCCTTAAACCGGAGTAGTTCTCATTATAAAAAGGGGCTGTTAATTTTTAAATAAGAGGCTTGTGAGGGTTAAATGAGAGAGACTGTAAAATTCCTGTGATAGACGAGGTACTCAGCAAATGGCAGTTATTGCTATTACAGTCATGCATCATGTAATGAAGTGGGTAGGCTCTGACAAATACATCTGGGCAATTTTGATGTTGTGGGAACATCATCTAGTGTACTTAACACAAACCTAGGCTATGGCACAGCCTGTTGCCCTAGGCTACAAACCTGTACAGCACGTTACTGTACTGAATATTGTAGGCAATTGTAACACAATGGTAATAGTTATGTATCTAAACATATCTAAAAATAGAAAAGGTACAGTAAAAATAAAAATATAGTACTACAATCTTCTGGGACCACTGTAGTATATGTGGTCTGTCATTGAGGGAAACGTCGTTATGTGGTCCATGATGATAACTTCAAAGGGGATGGTGCTCATAGACAGAAATAAAACCATGTCCCATATAAGAAAACCAGGAAATGAGACAGAAGAAAATTGACCTTATTGAATACATTCTATAATTCCTTTTATCTTTCTACGAAAGGTTCTATTTTGTAGAAGGAAGAGGAGAAGGCATTGTATTGGAAGATGATTTTATGGTGGCTCTATTTAGAGCATTTTCTTTTCTGTCTCTGATACAAGGAAGACGTGTTTGAGGTCAGAGTGAGATCAACAGTTTCCAGAGGGGATTTATATCGTTTTGGTTATAAGCTTAAAAATGAAGTGTTAATTGGTCTATGCTAATTTATTTACCCTTTGATTTTTCTAAAACATTAAAAATGGCATATTAGAAGCAGCAGGTATATTCAAAGCTACGGATGAGAAAAGAAGAAAATCCATGAACAGCCACAGTAGAATAATAAAAACACAGCATTCTGGCCCACTTCGTGCATGGTAAAATGGCCAAATATATTTCATTAGCACCCAAGTGCGTAGTATGATCACTGATGCTCATACAGATTTTCTTAAATCACCAATTAAAGTTTCTACCTGTCTACACACTGAAAGGACAAAATATACAAATTTTATGAAAAACCAAAGCAAGGAGGAGCCAGTTTCATGTCTTTGAGAGAACCTTCTTAACCACGTGGAGGTTGTCATGCAGAGACCAGGGTTTGCACTTTCATAGGTGCTATGGCTTCATGGAAATCATCTTTCTCTCTTTGCTTCAGTCTCCTCATATTAGGAAATAATGGGAAAGTAAGGATAAGGGGTTAAAACACCTAGACTTTAGTTTGGAATTCTTTTGGTTGCAAATGATAGAAAACCAACTCAAACAAGTTTAAACTAATCATGATAATAATATTAATAATACTAGAAAAAAGAATATATTAATATGGATACTGAAGCAGGTAATAGAACCAAATAACAGAGATCTTACTAAACTTCAAGAAAACTAGAACCAGTGGCTAGAATACCACCAGTTCTCTCTCTCTTTCATATCTCTGTCCCCCTGCCTCTGCCACCAGGGTCTCCTGTAATCCTCTGCTGCTCATGCCAAGAAACAAGGTCAGGAGGATTAGAATGAGGCAAGTAAGACACCTTAGGCCTCAAATTTAATGAGGCTGTCACTCTCAGTGCCTTGCATGTGCCAATCCCTAAGTTTGGTACCCTAGGTCCCTTGCTTGTCTCAGCTCAACCTAGCCCAGCCCTGCTGGTAAACATGGCTTCCAAGAACAACAAAGCAACCAACCAACCAAATAAAAAAACCTGCTTTTGTCCCATTTCTCTCTTTGTCTCAAGCTGAAACTTCTTAGGGAAGGTACATCTTAGATAAGTTTGAGTTAGTATGCACCATGAGTCAACTACTCATAACTAAGGGTTGGGCATGTTTTACATGATGGGAACCAGAGTACCCATGTGGATGAGTCTGGGAAGGGGGAAAGAGGATAAGATTCTAGGAAAAAATGCCAGGCAGAGGATGTATTGATATTACTCCATTTCCTGGATTATAGGTTGCTATTTGTGCAGTAGTGGGCTCGATGGTGGTATCTCAAAAGGTATGTCCACATTCTGCTTTCAGAACTTGTGAATGTGACCTTATTTGGAAAAAAAGTACTATGTGGATGTAATTAAGGTAAAAATCTTCAGGTGAGATTATCCTGGGTTATCTAGGTGGGCTCTAAATCCAATGACAATTATTCTTACATAAGTTACACAGAAGAGAGTCCCAGAGACAGGATAAGGCCATGTATGAACGGAGGTAGACGTCGGAGTGATGCTGCTACAAGCCAAGAGCTCCCTGGAGCCACCAGAAGCTAAAGAGACCAGGGATGGAAGCTATGGGGCCCTGCCAGTCCTTTGATTTTGGACTTCTGGCTTGCATCGCTGGGAGAGAATAAATCTCCATTGTTTTAAGCCACCAAGTTTGTGGTAACTTGTTATGGCAGCCCTAGGGCACTAATACAGCCACCAAATAAGAAAGCTTTGGTAAGCCACAGGACTTTGGTGGCCATCAGGAGAGGATGCATAGCGTCATGGCTAAAATTGTGGGGTCTGGAGCTGGCCTGCCAGGGTTTGAATACTGGCTTTGCCATTTAATAAATGTCATCTTGGGCAATTATTTAACCTCTCTGGGCTTCAATTTCCTCATTAATGAAAGAAGAATAATGATAGTCAATTTATGCAGAGCTTTGAACAAGTGCTTGGCGTATACTATATACTTACTGTGATCCATGATTGTTCATGTGTAAATTTGGGGTGATAATAATAGCTCCCCTGCCCAACTCATGGTGCTGCTAGGATAATTCACTGTGGGAGTAAATGTGAGTCCATTCAAGTCAAATGGCCTACTGTGTATGAGGAAATGGATTAGGAAGTACAGGGGACAAATAAAATAAGCTAACCTTGAGAAACTTACAGCATTATTGTGGACTGAATTATGTCCCCCCCAAATTTTTGTGTTGAGCTCTAACCCCTGATGTGACTGTATTTGGAGATATGGTGTGTAAGGGGTAATTGAGGTTAAAATTAGGTCATTAATATGGGGCCTTAGTCTGATAGGACTGGTGTCCTTACAAGAAAAAGAAGAGCTCTCAGGGATTCCTCTCTCTGTGTGCACACAGCGCAAAGGCCACATAAGGACAGTGAGAAGGCAGCCACCTGCAAGCCAGGAAGAAAGGTCTCACCAGATACCAACCCTGCCAGCATGTTGATCTTGGACTTCCAGCCTCCAAAACTGTGAGAAGTAAATTTCTATTGTCTAAGCCACTCTGCTACAGTATTTTGTTATACCAGCCCAAGCAGCATAATACAAATCTATTAGTGGAAATTATAAAGCAATGCATATTATGATTACTGTATTTTACTATTATTAACACCTATAGCTAATTCTTCCAACCAATAAGCTGCCTGTGGAATGTTAAGGGTGTTTTGGTAGTACAAATTTTCTTTGTTTCACACTCTGACTCTAAGAAGTTTGCTGAAACACACAGTGGAATTCAGGAAATTCAACAATTTTAAATAAAACGCTCCCTTGAGGCATGTCAGCAGGAAAGAGATAAGGATTAAAAAAAAAAAAGCTTTCTACTCAGGGAGATATTTTGCCTTTGTGAAATGTATTTATTCCAACTACTCTCTATTCTATATTTTACCTTCATTTTGGAAGCCTACTGACATTAAATAATAGGTTTCTTTCAATATGGATGAAAATGATTCTGAGATGAAAAATTATTCCTTCCTTGGAAAAGAAAACTATTTTTCTTTTCACATAGTAGACAAATGCTATTCTTCAAATGTCCCTGCCAGTTAAATCCCTGCTCATCCTTCTAGATCCATTTAAATGTCACCTCCTCCATGGAGCCTCTTCTGACACCACCTCTTTCAAATTAGCATTAATTAAACCATCCTCTCTCTGTGTCTGGCATGTGTCATGATCTGATTTAGGGTGGACACATTTGCTAGAATATGAGATCTCCAAAGTCAAGAGCAGTACCTTTAGTCCATTCCCGCTTCTCCCATAGCCAATGGGGTGCCCATGCTTAGAAGAACTTCAATCAATGAATCAATGAGCTGTAAGGAGTCTCACCTATTCCTATTAACACACACACACACACACACACACACACACACACACACACACACACAGAATATTTCTGTTTGGAAGTCCTATCTTTTCGTGTTATCTAAGTTTACTATATGACAAAAGAGTAAAGCAGTTAAGAGGGTAGCATTTGAAAGTAAACATTGACAGCACTGCTCCAGTCTGATGGGCCTGGTATCCAGTTTTCTTCCCTGTCCCTCTTCCCAAGCATGATGACTTTCTTTTCTTTTCTGGTTTTGATTAATAGTACCTTTTAGAGTGCTGCTGTCTGGTGTTTCTGACTTTAGTTTATCAGGGTTTTTGACCTCAGTCATGTGCATTGTGTGTTAAAGAAGTGTTTTTCAAAGTGTGGTTCTTGGACCAGCAGCATCGGTATCAACTAGGAACATGTTTGAAATGCAAATTGTACAGCCCCACTCCAGAACTACTGAATTAGAAACTCGGCGTGGGTTGGGGGAGAGCCATGTCATACCCAGGAGTTTGTGTATTTTTAAAATTTATTTATTTTTATCAATATATAATAGTCATACTTTTTTTGGGTACATGTGATATTTTGATACCTGTATACAGTGTGTAGTGATCAAATAAGGGTAATTGGAATATCCTTCACTCCAAACATGTAACTTTTCTTTGTGTTGGAAACATTACAAATGTTCTCTTCAAGCTCTTTTGAAATATGCAATAAATTATTAACTAAATCATTCCTACTGTACTGGGAGCTTATTTCTTCTATTTAATCTGCATTTTACAGCCTTCTGAGTGATTCTTAAGGTGTTAAAATTTGAGAATCACTACTGTAGAAAGTTCACCTAATCTCTGCATCCTCAGCTCTCAGCTGATGTGGCTATAATTTTTATTCTGTAAGGTGATTTTTTAGGACTTAATAAGATCTAAAGCCCTGTAAGTTCAAACAGAAGGTGCTAAATAAACAGAGTTAACTTGGAACCTTATACTCCCGTGTTAAAGCTGTGGGTCTGAGTAACCACACTTTTCCTTCACAGGGCCTTCTGCTCACATGGGCTTCCGTGCACCTGCTTCAGGAGACAGCAACACTTGCGCCCGCACCGCGGCAGGCTCCCATCACCTGGTGGATATGCCGCGCCGAGTCTCATCACACCTTAGTGAAGGAACACATGGACCCATATGTTAGCGGATGTATTTACATCGTTTTATACAGAAAGGGGAAGTATGTTTCACAATAAATGTTTGCATACTTTGGAGCACATCTTTTTTTTCTTTCAGACAGAAAGAAAGAGACAAAAAGAGCGGGAGAAACTTTGGCTGGAGCCATTGATTCTTTATTCCCTTACAATGTTTTTATCACCCAACCTTGAAAATAGTCTGTGTGTCAGCTGGGCAGGATCTGTGCTGAGGCTTGCGTCCCTGGGGGCAAAAAAAGGGTAGTGACTTTTAGTTGAAAGAGTCAGGAAGGGAAGAGTCAATAGTTCAGCGGTAAGTATTCTGAACCCAGGCAGGGAAACCAAAATTCAGGGATACCTGAAGCCCTCAAGCTAAGGGCCAGGAGCTAGGAGCTGAAAGGATACAGGAGCTATGTCATAAATAATTTAGGAGGTGGCTAGATGATTGCCAGAGTGTCCACAGCATGCTTTACTTGGCTTTTATGGATACAATGTGCATAGGTTGCTTTTAGGAACAATAAAGAAATGTTTATTAAACTAATTATGATTCAATAATATTGACAATAATGACAATGTTGATAGTATGCAATATAATAAACTGGTGTGCTTTTATTTCTCCCTTTTCCTGTGCACATCTGTTTTACTCTGTGACATTTTTCCATTTAGACTCAGAAATAAGAAACCAGTATTGCTGCAAAGGTAGGCTGTCACTGGAGGAAATGAAGATTAAAAATTAAAAAATCAAATTATAATTTTTATATTTTAAAAAAACAGCTTAGGTGTAACAGAGAAATACTTGGAAGACGTTAGAGTATGAGACAAGGAAAAATTTGCTCCAAACCTCCTCCCGCATAATCACCTCTAATAAACAAATATCCTAGACAAATATAATTTTCCAAGCTAGGGGAAAAAAAGAACAGTTGGAGAATATAATGTACAAAAGTTAATCACCAAATAAGGCCTGCCCTATTCCTCTTTCTCCTCCAGCCATTATAAGGAACAGGAACCATAGAATTCTCTGGTAAATATGGAATCTAGGAGTAGAAGAAACCCATGCTTATATCTTGCCCATAACTCAGAAAGAAAGCAGATTCACAGATGGTGCCCACACCCCAAAGTCATGGGGATTGTAGAGTGCAGAATTATTCCCCAAGTTCTGTCCTGGTTCTTTAAATATATTTTCAGGAATCAATCCTGTACTAATAGAGTCCTTTAAAAAAAAAAAGAAGTGAAATTTAAGTGATAAGTCCAAGACTTCCCAGCAAGTACATGGGAGAGGCAGCAAAAAAAATTCAAGGAAAGGAAAAGAAGGAAATGGGGCAAAGAAGTCCCTAGAAGTTTTCAGAGTTCTGCCTTGAGGCCAACTATGTGAATGTGGATGAAACCTACTTAATCCTTCCTCACCTATAAAATATGAATATTCACTTTGCCTACTTTACAAGGTTCTTGAGATAATAAGCCAAATGGAGTATAACATGTAGTATTTATCCTGCTCAAGGTCCTCTGAGGTCCTTAGATTTGTGGTTTGATGTCTTTTGTTATATTTTGCAAAATTCTTGGATGCTATTCTTTCAAAGCTTTTTCTTTCTGCCTCTCTCTCTCCTCCTTTTTGGGCTCCAGTTACACATATGTTAGACCATTTAATATTGTCACATAGCTTTTACATACTCTGTTCTATTTTTCTGTTCATTTCCTTTATTTATTTGTTTTCACTTAAAAAATATTTTCCTTTCCATTCGGGTAATTTCTAAATTTCTAATTGTCTTATCTTCAAATTCACTGATTATTTTATTGGCTGTGTAAAATTAATGATGAGCCTGACAATGGAATTCTTCATCTCAGATGAAGTCCTTTTATATTTCTCCCATTGTTATTTGTCTGCTAAAATTTCCCACTAGTGCTCATATGTTTTCTACCTTTTCCACTAAATTCTTGAACATATCAACCATAATTATTTTAAAGCCCAATATTTTGGTTATTTCTTATTTTTGTATTGTTAAATTTTTTTTCTCGTGACAATGGGTCAATTTCACTTGCATTTTGTGTCTTTGTAATTTTATCTTAAATGTCAGCTATCTCATCCAGAACAGTAGAAACTTGAGTAAATACTATTTACTCCTGGAAATGAATGCACATTTTATCCTTTAGGCAAATAATGTGGAGGTTTGAGAAAATCTGGTTAGGAGTTGAATGGGGCTTAGGTTTCATTGCTATGATTACTTCAATGCACTGTAAGCTTTCATCTAACATGCCTTGAGCTTAGGGTGAGAGTTGTGGTGCTGAAGTGTTTTTCTCAGTGTACTTACTTTAATCTCACATTTAAGGTTTCCCTACGCTGTGTGCCATGTGTTCGTTCAGTATGCCTTTTCACCTCCCTCAATGGTATATTGCCATTGCTTGCTACTTGTTGCATGTTAGGCTGATGGCGGTGTTTTTTTTTTTTTTATTTTGCTAGTCTAGTCTTAGGTAGATGCTGTATATCTGAGCCTCCTTTCCTTTTCTTCCAGGAAAACTGCATACCTCAGAAAGGGGTTGCTCCTCACTCTGAGTACTAGACTAAAGATAAAAAGACTAGATAAAAGTACTAGACTAAAGACAGAGCTGACCCATGACAGGTATGTAATGTGAGTGAGAAATATATCTTTGATGTTGCAAGCCAATACAATTTTAGTGTCTTATATTACTACATAATAGCTTACCTAACGTAACTGATATAATTCTACAACACTATTTTTTTCCATTTAGTTGATTAAAAATATTTGTATACAATAAAAGACTTTTACAGTTCATAGAGATGCTGCATTTTATTACCTGAGTTTTCTAATTACTTGAAGAACAGACCTCGAATGGAGTCTCTTCTGTTTAAATTGAGTAAGCAAGGGAGTGAAGTAGGGTCACAACTGGGCTGGATTTCAAATGAAAGGTTTTGGGTTTCGTTTTTTGTTTCATTTCCTCCATTTGTAAAATGAAGGACATTGGATGAAGTTTAGTAATTTTCAACTTGTGGCCTTCTAGGGAAACCATATGTTCAAATAGGACTGGACATTAATTGTGGCCCAAAAAACTAATAATGTCTTTCACATAGTGTTAGGGGTTGAATTGAGTTCCACAGTGCTGTACCTTTAGATTCAGACGTTGAGATACTATTTCCCAGTTAGACTAACAATGTAACCTTATTTGGGGATATAATCTTTACAGAGGAGTTAAAGTTAAAGTGAGGTCATTACAGTGGGCCCTAATCCAGTATGACTGATGTTCTTCTAATCCAATATGACTGGTGTCCTTAAAATCGAGTATTACTGATATCCTTATAAAATTTGGAAGCTTGGACACAGAGACAGATACACAGGAAAGACAATGTGAAGACACACAGGGAGATGATAGCCGTACCACTGGAGCAATATACCTACAAGTTGAGGAATACCAAGGATTGCCTGCAAGCAATAGAAACTAGAAGAGAGAAGGAATGATTGCATGGTCCTGCTGACAATTTGTTTTTGCACTTCTGGCACCCAGAACTGTGAGACAATACATTTCTGTTGTTTTAAACCACCTATATTTTTGTACTTTGTTGCCTAGGAAACCAATACAGAGTTTTGTACTGGAAAGTGAGGTGCTGCTGTAACAAGTACCTGAGAATGTGGGAGTGGCTTTGGAATTCAGAATTGGGTAATGAGTAGAGGTTTGAAGAATTTTGAAGCCTTTATTGCTTTGAAGAGATTATTTGTGAAAATATGAATGTTACAGGTGCTTCTGGTGAAAACTCACATGGAAATGAGGAACATGTTATTGGAAACTGGAAGGTGATTATTGTTAGAAAGCCACATAAACTTGCTGAATTTTGTTTTGTTGGGTGGAAATGCTGTGGACATTAATATAAAAAAGTACTTAAAAGTGTTATAGTTACTTTTTGTTCCTAACCAACCGGTGAATCTCGTAGTCATGGGTCCAGTCCTGTATCTCTTTCACTGTGAGGTGGCTCCTTTGTCAGATGCTATGCTGTCTGATACTCCATGCTTGTGAATCAGACATCCCCTGTGTCCCCAGATTGTGGTACTGGCTAAATCTCTGTAAGCAGGGAAACCAACCCATAGAGTAGCTTGCCATCTAGGATGGAAGAGACTCAACATGGCCAACTTGCTATGAAATGGCTGGATGCGTTGGACATTCAGACTCAACAGAAGTTTAACCAGCCTTGGTAAGAGAACATCCATGCTGTTTGGCCTGTGCATGGATTTCTACATTTCTGCCTCTGTGGCTTCTCCATTTATGTGTTCATCACACCGGTTTTGGGGTGGCTAATGATGAAGCTGGCTTATGTCAACTTGCTGACTCATTGTGTCTACTTCATTCTTCAGTGTCTTTCCCATGGTAGGTGCTTTCTCATGTACGTTCATGTGTAAAACAAAACTTTTGTTACTTCATGTTCTCTCACTTCCCCTATGGCTCTCTGTCCATCCACATGCCCCTATTCCAGATTGCCATGTCTCTAATCTTGCAGGCTTTTACATCCAGGTGTCTACAATCTGGCCAGGTAATTAACTAATAACTGTTGCCCAAGAAACTCTGAATATTGTCACTCCAGGCTACTTTTCCTTCCACATATTATGGATGAAGAGGTTCACTGCGCATAGCTTAGTGATGATCTTCTCTTTGTGGTGTCTTTTGAGTCCACTCCTGGATTTGACTGTTATGTAGCTACACATTTCCCCAGTAAATTTTTTTGTGCATGGAATCCCATTTTGTGGTCTGCTTCTCTGAGGCTCTAAAAGGAAAACCAGGTGACATCCAGAGTGGTCTGAGAAAACAGAGATTTGGGGACTGGCTCACTCATTAACTGGCTGGCAATGAGGACGCCATCCTGAGTGGAATGTGGGGGACAGATAGTTCCTGGCACAAGACATCCATCTTCAATAGAGAATTAAATGCCGTAAGTTTGATGATTTCACCATTATGGACCTAGGAACAAACCCTAGTCAAAGGGAATCCCCAGGTCACAGTAGGTCTGGTTTCTGGTGTTTCAATATTGTCACCACAAGTCATAGGGACTCCATCATGCCCCGGGTTACTAAGGAGCCCAGCTTTGAGATTTCTTTTCTACCGGTCAGCCCCGGCCTACAGAGGAGTGATGTTGGTACCCCTCTCACTAATGAATTATTGATGGCCTTGGAAAATGGTAGCAGATTCAGCTGTAGTGCAAGCAACCCTGCTGCTTTTGCAGACCCTATGTTACTGGGAGTATCAGTGGTGGAAAAAGATGTTGTATGGAATTTATTATGGTAAGCCCCATTGACAGAATCACAGCAGAGCCCTGTGTGGTTCTGGAGCAAGGCTATGCCATCTGCAATGGAGAATGATATGTCTTTTGAAAAAGAGTTCCTTGTGTGTTACTGGGCCCTAGCAGAGACATAAGGCTTGTCTCTGAGGCACCAAAAGAACATGCCTCTGGAACTACCCATTATGGGCTTAATTATGTCAGAGCCACCAATTTTTAAAGTTAAATTAGGCCAGAGGTAGCCTACTGTAAAGTTAGAATTATACATGTGGATTTGATCTAAAGTGTGTGCATGATAAAGGGAAAGTGAACAGGGGCCTTCAGATCACTACATGGATTTGAAAGCTGTAGGAAGAGAAAGGAAAGGAAGGAGGATAAATGGGAAAAGCCTCACACCACAGTACAATTATGAGAAAATGTTGGCTAGGCTGATGGGAAGTCCCTAAACAAAGATTGCCTGTTAGAGGCATGTCTCATGTCAAGTGGTAATGACCTGGCTCTAGTATCCATGCTGCACTCAGTCATTGGCTGGGAGCAACTTGGCAAAAGATTGGCCTCACTATGAACACTTTGCTGGATCCAGAGTGCTTTGTCTGGATGCTGCCAGTCAGCCATGCTTCTCGGAGAAAGTCTTTTTGAACAGGAATCTGAGTGGCACATGTGTCAGCACATTTACTAAGTTGTAGAGCCATATTTTCTCTTTTTTCTCTTTATCGAAGTTATCCTGCACCCTCCCTATGTAGTGTCCTAACGTATTATGTTCTCCTGCCTGGAAAACTCTTTCCCTTGTGCCTTTTACCCAACTGAATCTTCAGATTGTAGCTCAAATATCACTTCTCCAGGGAAACTTTCTTTGAATCTCCAAAAGGATTAGATTCTTTACTGCATGATTTCATAACTCTCTATATTTTTTATCCATGATGCTTATCAAAGCTAATTACACATTAGTAAAATGATGGTATTTATAACCTTACTAGGTTGTGAGCTCTGTGACATCATAGTCTTCTCTGTCCTGTATTCCCAACACCTGTCACAATGCTTGTCATATAGAATGCATTCAATGAGTGTTTGTTGAATGAATAAATGGCTCACTTTATTAATTTCAACCAGCTTTTAAAATAACTGAGAAACTCTTAGAGCATTAGGCTCATAAATATGGACATGAAATATCATCATCCTATATATAGATGAAAGTACAGAACATTCAAGGAATTGATGCCAGGAAATTATACTTTATTAAATATGATTTTTTGGCTCTTTTTTCTGAACATGGTGTCTAACAATCAGAAAAATATTGATATTTGGAGAATTTTGCATATTTGGCTTCCAGGTCTTCAAGAAATTATAAATGGACATTTAATTAAATCAAATCCTAATAGTTAAAAATAATGATATTATTATAATTTAATTACTCCTTACTATGTACTGTATATTATAGTAAGTCTTCTATATGTGTTATTTGACTACTTATTCTCAATATGATATGCTAGGTGAGGATATTAGCACTTAAATGGGGTTATATATTTATTCAAGGTCTCAGACATTGCATCTTATGCATTTAGGTTTAGATACATCACATCCATCTAACACCAGTGACCATGGCTTTGTTCACAATCTGCTTATATTTTGAATTTCTTGCCAAAATACCGCAAATTTTTATTTCTTTCTGGGAGGCTATCTAAAGAATGAGAACTTTGGAATCTTATCTAGTTTCAGCCTTGACTTAGGTTCACCTTATCTGGTCAAATCTTCCTTATGAGCACCAGACAGCACTAACCACCACCCTTTCTCTCCCAACACCCTTTCTCGCACCAATTTCTGAATAATATTGAATTTCTCCATCTGGATATCTTATTTACTCCTCAATCATAATATGTCCAAGGCTAAACTCAGCACCTGAATTATTAAATCACTCCTTTCCCTTGGTTCTCTTTTTCAATGAATAGCATCACCACTTTCCCAAGCATTCAGGTTTGAAATTTCAGAGCTACTCACTCCTTCTTCACAAAAATACATATTGTGAGTTCCTTTGAGAGGGGGACCTTGTTCTATTACCTCTATTCTTTTAGTATGCTGTACAACATCTGGCATGGAATAGTTGCTCAAGAAGTAATTGTAGAATGTTTCCTCATCTTTTGTCTCAGGCATCCATTGGAGATAAAACAGTGTTAAATGCAACAGAGTTTTCCAGTGAGGACTAAATTCTGTAAACTACAGTGCTTTTAAACTAGATCAATAGTTGTCTCAGTGAATTCTTTGAAAATATTATGAAAAGTTTGTTTGTGTGGGTATATACAGTCATTTTTGTAGGAAAGGGCACATGCTTCAGGAGTCAAAGAATCAGCTAAGAATTTTGCATCATGAAGATCATCAATGAATGGCCTCTTCACAAGTAGTTTCAGTGAGTGGGAGAGGCAGAATAAGATTTCAGAATGTAAAATGAATGAGAAATAAGAAAGTAGGGACACAAAGAAAGTAAGCTTTAAAGAGAAGAAAAACAATACAGGTGGATACAAGATTAAAAGGAGATTTTATTTCCAGACTGGAGAAATTTGGACTGGAGAGGGAATATAAAAGCTATAATCATTGAACATGTACTATATTTTGATTGCTGAATCATGTACTTTACACAAAGTAGGTATTATTGATTACTGACTGGGTCAGATCTGGAAGATAATAGAGTTAGGAGAGAGGGATATGAAAACAGTGAAAGAGTTGGCCTTGTGTAGGATGAGAGGCACCTAATTTTCTTAAACTTGAAAGGAGGAAAATATGGGTCCAGAAGTAAATGAGGGGATGAAGAGGCTACAGTTGGTCCATGCTGTAACCTCCATTTTTCTTTACCAAGTAAAAGGCAAAGCAGTCTGACAAAAATGAGATGGTGCAGTTGGGCATTGACATCTATGAAAGTGGGGAAGATTTTGAAAAATTACTGAGAGGCTTTTCTTACTCATTTAATAAATATTTGTAAAACACCTATCATGTAGGTACTAAGAAAACATAGTCCCCATTCTCTAGGAACTTGCCACATTTAATAAATTATAAGTTTCCAAAGGGTATGGAGCATGTTATAACTATTTGCATATATCCCCAATAGTTCATAGCCTTGTGTTTCCAGCACAGTAGGTAAACATTAGAGTTTAAATTCAACTGAATTAAATCCACAAGAACTCTTTATTTTGAGTAAAGCCTGAGGCTCTTGGGGTCACAGATTATTTTTGTGGAAGTCCTCTACAATCAAACAACAGAGGTCTGCCAGTTGGGAATACATCTTGCAATTATTAGTAACTGAAAAATGCATTTAGAACAGTGATTCTGAACCTCAGCACGACTGACGTTTTGGATTAGGCAATTCTTTGTTTGGGGAGCTGTTGTGCGCATTGTAGGATTTTTAGCAGTATCTTTGGCTTCTGCTGACTATCTGCCAGTGGCACTTCTCCCCTCAAAAAACCCCTACCCAATTGTGACAAAAATATCTCCAGACATTAATGAATGTCCCCTGGGGGGCAAAATAGCTCCAGATTGAGCAGCTTTGATCTAGAATTTTGATGATTAATTTATATAAAAATAGCTTTGTGTAACAAACATTGAAATTCAGAAAATGTGATTATTAGGTAGTGATTAGCAAAGCTGGGATGCTCTTTCCTTATCAACTGACTGGTGTTTGAACAATTCCTACTTCTCCAGCTGGGGGAAGTCAGAGGACCTTCAAGTAATGTTCGTTCTCTCTCCTCTTAACAGCTCTGAATGGGAGGTTACCCATATTTCTCTGATCTTTGTCTTCCTTCCTTTAGGATTAGATGCAGTGGATTGTCCTCCCTGTTGCTGATACTTTTAGTGATTGCACATGTGTTCATGTAACATTGCACAATGTAATGCAGTGAAATAAATGTGGGACTTAGAACCAAAGGTCTTGGGTATCAAACCAGCTTGGTTATATACCTTTGGGCAAATCAATTATTTTGTTCTCTCATTATTATAGGGATGTCTTGATACTGATAAATGAAGGATAGAGCTTTATATAAGTACAGAGGAATATTAATTTCTTCCCCTATACTTATATTTAAGATGATCCCTTTTTTGGAGGTAATGGATCAGGGGGACAACTTGAAGAGAGAACTATAAGTATTTGACAATGTTCTTACATGTTAGGAAGACAGGAAGCCAAAATGTTGCCAAAATTTTAACTGTTAATGAATGCAATAGTGATGGAGTAATGATGTCATACATGGAAATCATAGGAAATCATTTTTTTAAAAAAATTGAGATATAACTTAAATGCCAAAAAACTCACTGTAAAATTCAGTGGTTGTTAATTTAGTCACAGAGCTGTGAATCTATTTAGACTATTTTCATTATCCTCAAAATAAATCTCATACTTATTAGAAGTCATTTCCCATACCCTCCTTCCTTTATCCCTTGGCAACCAATAATCTATTTCTGTCTCTACGGATTAGTATATTCTGGAAATTTAGTATAAGTGGAATAATATAACTTGTGTCTAGCTTCTTTTACTTAGCATGATTTTTTCAAGGTTCATGCACATTATACCGTGTATCAGTATGTCATTCCTTTTCATGGCTGAATATTATCTTAGTGTATGAATATACCACATTTTGTTTATCTACTCATTAGTCGGTGAACATTTGGTTTGTTTCCACCTTTTGGCTATTCCAAATAATAATGTTATGAATTTGTGTGGACATATGCTTTCATTTCTTCTAGGTGTATATCTAGAAGTGTAATTGCTGGATCATATGGTTACTATATGTTTAACATTTTGGGGAACTGCCAAACTATTTTCCAAAGTGGCACAAAGGAGAATATAGGAAAAAATGTAGTTGAAAGGTAAATTGATTTTATTAATGTTGAATTTGGAGTGTTTACAAGACATAAAGAAGGGTATTTTCAGAAGATTGATAGCTATATGGGTCTTATGCTTAGGGGAATAGTATGAGTTTGAGAAACAGGTCTTGGCATCGTCAACATGTACAATTAAAGATGTGAGAAACCAACAGCTCACCCAAAGAAAGTAGACATTACCACAAGGAAGACTTACATATCTAAGGTCAATTCAGATAGCATGCATACACTGTGTGATGGAGGGCAGGAAAGGTGGAGATTAATTAGGACTTGGCAGGCAATTGATCAGAATTTTTTTTCCCATAGCAAGAAGATTTGCTTCGTGGGAGGATTTCACTGGGCAGAGCTGGACATACAGAGAGCAGAGAAGGACATTCCCACATAGAATCTTAAATCTTGAATGCTAGGGAAGAGCCTACTAAGCGGAAAAGTGTGGGAAAGGCTTCCAAACATGGGAAATGGCATATATAAAGGCATAGTTGTTCAAAATGTCTTCATTTGAACTTCAGGATAATTAAACAATTAGCATCCATTTGTTTGTCAGTCTGTGCCAGCATTTTATTAGGTGCTGCACACAAATTATCTCATTTAAACCTTACAACAATCTTCATTCTAGAGATGAGGAAACAGACACAAAGATGTTATATTAACTAGCTATCAAAGATGACATAGCTGGAAAATGGTAAAGTCTTGGTAAAACCCAGGGAGTTTGAGACTAGAGCCTGCACCTGACATGTGAAGCAACTCATCGAAATAATTTTAAGTATTAAAGACCATTAGTCAGCACCAGTGGTGTGCTCCTGGTAGCTGATAAGGCGCTCCCAATCTTGGTACCACTTGATGATCTAGTGGCTTACTTGATATGTTTTTCATTGTTCTTTTTCTTTTCTTTTCTTTTCTTTTCTTAGATGGAGTCTTGCTCTGTCACACATGCTAGAGTCCAGTGGTATGACCTCAGCTCACTGCAATCTCTGCCTCCCGGGTTCAAATGATTCTTCTGCCTTGACCTCCCTGGCAGCTGGGACTACAGGCCTGCACCACCACGCCTGGCAAATTTTTTAATTTTTTTTAGTAGAGATGGGGTTTCACCATGTTGGCCAGGCTAGTCTCGAACTCCTGACCTCAAATGATCTGCCCGCTTTGGCCTTCCAAAGTTCTGGGATTATAGGAGTGAGCCACCATGCCCAGCCTGTTCTTAAGTCTCCTAGAACAGGGATTCTGAAACACAAAACTCATCTGGTAAGTGCTTAAAAATACAGATACTTGGACTTTTCTATAGATTTACTCATGCATAATTTTCAACATGAGGCCCAAGATTTATGACTCTGAGTACCACTGAGGTGATTATGACACACCCAGCCTTGCTGCTGGACTTGGACTAGGTATGTCATAAGGCAGTTACTCTCTTGAGTCTTCAGATGCTCAACCTGGAACATAGTACTTCTTAACTTTCCAAATTTAATTCCAAGTTCAGTTTAGAAAAAAAATCCTAAAGAAAAGATTGCTATACTATACATTCTGGACCTCGTTTATCCTGGTTTTATTCTCCCCATATTTATTGGACACTATACAGGCAACTTTTATATGCTAGGTGATCTCATTAAAATGGACTTATTTTCTTCTCACAACATCCCTATGAGATCCATCATGTTGTATTAGTCCATTCTCGGATTTCTATAAAGAAATACTTGAGACTGAATAATTCATAAAGAAAAGAAGTTTAATTGACTCACAGTTCTGTAGGATGTACAGGATGATTCTGGCATCTGCTCAGCTTCTGGGGAGGCCTCAGGAAACTAAGAATCATGGCAGAAAGTGAAGCGGGAGCAGGCATGTCTTACATGGCAGGAGCAGGAACAAGAGAGAGAGTGAGGGGTGAGGTGCTACACACTTCTAAACAACCAGATTTCATGATAATCCACTTGCTATCATGAGACCATCACCAAGGGGATGGTGTCAAACCATTCATGAGAAACACCTCCATGATCCAGTCACCTCGAACCAGGCGTCACCTCCACCACTGGGAATTACAATTTGACATGAGATTTGGGCAGAGACACAAATCCAAACCATACCACATGTTATTTCAGTTTGATGTAAAAAGACACAGAAACTTATTTGCCTCAGTTTATAGGACTAGTAAGAACTAAGATTTAAGCCTAGGAATTCAAGGGTTCTTTCTGTTACCTCAGCACCCTCTCCTTTGGGAAGTGTTTAATACTGAGATTAATCCATTTGCTGGCTATTAATATACTCTTCATTTCAACAATGTGCAAAGACATGTTCAAGGTTACCTATAATAAACTTCCAAGCTATACTGGTCACATTTTATGATGTGACTCATATGTTTTAGAATGAAATTTAAAGTGTTTGAACTATTCTTTCTGTAATATGCAAATCATAGCCATCATGTGGTCTAAGGCCACACTCAGTTGAAGGATCACTGACCTTGCTGGCATTGGAAAATAAACCCAAACAGTTGGAGCTGGAAACCATCTGTCTTTAGCTATTTCACATTTTGTCAAAGTCATCTGCTTAGTTGGAAAATAGCTGTGACCAACTAACATTATTAAAATATAAAGTATTAAATGGAACACTCAAACTGTTTATTCAGAGATAAATTATTATATGTCTTTTGAAATTTTAGAAGAACACTAAGAGTTATGAAAGATATTCATACTGCAAAGATAATACAGAATACTTCACAGGGTGTTGGAAAAAATGAATTTATGCACACATATTTTATAGGTACAGAATCTTAGTTTCTTACATTAAAATTGTAGTTGAATTTAGAGATCATGTAACCCAACTCTTTTGTTTTATAGGTGAGAAGAATGAGAGCAAGAGAGGTTAAATGGGTCGTTCAAGTTCATAAAGTACTGACAGAAGATGACCCTGAACTGTTCTCACTATATTAAAAGTCAGACAAGTATTATTATTATTATTACTAATATAAGTAGCTCCAATTTATGTGATTCTCATGATTTGGAGGACCTTACCTATATTAGCTTATTTAATCTACACAGCAAACCTAGATGGTAAATATTTTCATTGCCATTTTACAGAGGAGGAACTGAGGTTCCTGAGGGTTAGGAAACTTGTAACATGAACTCCATACAGATATACAGAATGATATAAACAAATAAACAAATACATAAATGTGGAAGAAGTAAAAGCTCTTCCTTGGAGTAAAAGGCCACCTAATAAATGAGGCAGGAATGATAAAATTAGAGAAATCATTTGCAAACATCACAGTATTAATTGCTTAAAGGAAGAATTATAAATAGATAATAAAGCTAGTGGGTGAAACATTAATGGGACTAAGATATTTATCTAGCCCCAAAAGTTTTGCTCCATAAAAATACTTACTTAGGCTGGGCATGGTGGTGCACACCTGTAATTCTAGCACTTTGGGAGGCCGAGGTGGAAGGATTACTTGAGCTTAAGAGTTCAATGGCAGCCTGGACAACATAGTGAGACCGCATCTCTAAAAAAAAAATTAGCCAGGTGTGGTAGTGCGTGTATGTATTCTCAGCTACTCAGGAGGCTGAGGTAGAAGGGATCGCTTGAGCCCCAAGTTGAGGCCACAGTGAGCTGAGATTGCACCACTGCACTCCAGCCTGGGTTACAGAGAGTGATCCTGTCTCAACAATAAAATAAAATAAAATGAAAAAAATATTTATTACAAATGAAAAAAATGACATGTTTACACTGGAGAGGCCTACAGGCATCATCTTAACCAATGATCAAAGTTAATATCTACACGAATAGGACAAATAATATCATTTCCCTCCTGACCTCATGCATGTTTAAAACACAACATAACTTCTTGGTTATTTCTGTCAAGAGTGCATAACCTGAAACTAATCATAAGAAACCACCAGATGACCCCACGATGAGAGGTATACTAAAAAATAACTAAGCTATTATTTTATTTTATTTATTTTTTGAGACAGAGTCTTGCTCTGTTGCCCAGGCTGGAGTGCAGTGGCGCAATCTCAGCTCACTGCAACCTCAGCCTCCTGGGTTCAAGAGATTCTCCTGCCTCAGCCTCCCAAGTAGCTGGGATTACAGGCTTCTTTTTGTATTTTTAGTAGAGAGGGGGTTTCACCATGTTGGCCAGGCTGGTCTCAAACTCCTGACCTCAGGTGGTCCACCCACCTCGGCCTCCCAGTTTTGGGATTATATGCGTGAGCCACTGCACTCAGCCACCAGACTTTTTTTTTTTTCTTTTTACTTTTTTTGAGACAGCATCTCCCTCTGTCGCCCAGGCTGGAGTGCAATGGCACAATCTTGGCTCACTGCGACCTCCGCCTCCCAGGTTCAAGTGATTCTCCTGTCTCAGCCTCCTGAGTAGCTGGAACTACAGGCGCCCGCCACCACGCCCGGCCAGTTTTTGTGTTTTTAGTGGATATGGGGGTTTCACCATGTCGGTCAGGCTGGTCTCGAACTCCTCACCTCAGGTGATCTGCCCGACTCAGCCTCCCAAAGTGCTGGGATTATAGATGTGAGCCATCGTGCCTGGCCTATTTTGAAAGCAACATATAATCCAACTTTTTCTTTTGTTATAAAGAGCAATATAGGAACAAGGAGTGAAACACCAAGGCAATTTGACAGTTAAATGGTAGAAGTAGATCAGTGTTAATTTCCTGATTTTGTAATTATACTGTGGTTATGTAACAGAATGTTCTTGTTTTAGAAAGTACACATTGAATAATCAATGGTCATCTTGTCTGTAACTTAATTTCAAATGTTTCAATAAAAATATGTGTATGTTTGTGAGTGATAAAACAAATGTAGTAATGTGTTAACACTGAAAAACTCTGTGAGAAGATATACTGGAATTCTTTCTATTATTATTTTTAAATTTTCTTTAAATCTAAAATTATGTCAGAAAGAAAGCTAAGGGCTGAGTACACTAGCTGATGCCTGTAATTCCAGCAGTTTGGGAGGCTGAAGCAGGAGGATTGTTTGAGGCCAGGAGTTTGAGATCAGCCTGGGTAACATAGTGAAACTTCATCTCCATAAAATATTTTAAAAATTAGCTGGGTGCAGTGGCATGAACCTGTAGTCCTAGCTAGTTGGGAGGCTGGGGCAAGAGGATTGCTTAAGCCCAGAAGTTCAAGGCTGCAGTGAGCTATGATTGTGCCGCTATACTCCAGCCTGGGCCACAGAGCAAGACTCTATCTCAAATAAATAAATAAATAAAGTTAAAGAAAATAAAAAGAAATCTACTACAGCCTCAGCTCTGGGAATTAAACCAATCCAGTCTTCCTGAGCTCAGAGGCCATGCTCTCTATCCTCATGCATCAGCGGGTATGTGAATGCCTGTGTTTCCTCATCTTGACGGAGTTGTTCTTGCCTTATACCTGAGTCTTCTACTTATTACCATGAGGCAGGGGGTTCTATTTACTTAGATTTATATCTCTCATGTAATTTCAGTAACACTGATGAGCTTTGGTAGACAGTGCAGTACAAATGTGAAGTCTTGAATCTCTTAATTATCCTTTGTGAACTCAGTTTTCACATCCAAAAGGAGGTATAACAATATCTACCTCAAGGATTGTTGTGAGAAATAAATGTAATCATTAGGGGAAAATACATATATTTTGAAAGACATGGTGGTTTTTTAAAACAATGTTAATTGTTGCTCCAGACTAAATGTGTTTCATCTGCTATTCCTCACCTCCCCACAAAATTCATACAGTAAAACCTTAGTCCTCGATGTGATGGTATTTGCAGGTGGGGCCTTTGGGAAGTAATTAGGATTAGATTAGGTCATTGGGATGAGGCCTTCATAATGAGATGAATGCCCTTATAAAAAGAGGAAGAAACACGGGATCCCTCCCTCAGCAATGTGAGGATACAGCAAGAAGGTAGCTGTCTGCAAACAAGGAAGTGAGCCCTCACCAGATACTGGAACTGTGAGAAATAAATGTAATTGTTTAAACCACCCAGTCTACCAGTCTATGGCATTTTTGTTGTAGCATCTCAAACTGACCATGACAATTGTGTTTTTCTCTTCCCTTTTGTATGTACCATGACATGTAGTTTACGCACTGAGAGCATCTAAAGAATTTGAATGAGGAGCAAAGCTTTTTCAAAGGTTGGATTAAACTACAATTGTCCTCTCCAAAGAATGTTCAGCTATCCTTTATGTACTCTGTTGCAAGTATTTCAAGAAGGAGGTGAGAATATATGAGGTTCACGTAGCAGCAAAGGAACTACATGGTAGAAGAGGGCACCTTTTTTCCAACATCTCTTTATGCTAATGTTGTACATCTGCAAGATGCAAGAAGAGGACAAGAGCCTATTTTTGTAGCATTCTTGAGTCAAGAGCTTCCATGAAAAGCTTTAAGTAGCAACAAGCCTGCCATTGAAAAAGAAATATTTGGTTTGGAATTTGAGATTGTTAAAAATCATTATAGAATGCATGTTCTACTGTGAAATAAACTGATAAATGAATAGTATGTTGGGGCAGCCCCTGAAAGGTCATTTACACTACCTAGATGCTTTATAGTTAAGGAAAGTAGGTCCAGAGAGGGGAAATGATCTGACCATGGTTTCAAAGTTATTTAGTAAGAAATAGAATGAGGAGTAGTTCTCCTGACATTTAGATAATAGGACCACCATAGAAAGGTGGTTTTATGATTCCATTAAGATTTGGATCATTTTTTTCAAGGCTTTGAAAGTGAGTGGTAAAATTTCTATTTTCATTATCTCTGGAGCAGTATACTAGAGTATACCAGATATATAAAAAAGCCTTTCATCTAAAAGGTAAATGAACAAATTCCCCCCAAACCAATGAATAATATATAAAATGAAACTTCAGAATACACCATCAAAGTGGCAAGAAAATAAGAAATCTTAAGAGGAATAAAAAACTTAAAAAGTTAAAGCAAGAATCTAGGAAATTAAGCTAGTATAATTTTAAGGCAAAAATGAAAGAAAATTATAAAGGATGGTATACTATTTATTTATGCTGATCACTGAATAGTCTCAACTCTCTGACTTCTTGGCCCATAGTAAGATTGTACTGCCTGGATTCCCATGTGACCAATTCTGGCCAGTGTCTTGTGAGAGAAACTAATGTGTCTCTCTGGCTTTGGGCTAAGCATTTAATTGTCAGTGAGATCCTCCAGTGCTTGTTTTCTCTCTAGTAGGATGATTGACAATATTCCACATAGCATTTTCTTCCACATTTTCTGGTATATCATACCACGTGTGATATGATTTGGCTGTGTCCCAACCCAAATATCATCTTAAATTCCCACCTGTTGTGGGAGGGATCTGTTGGGGGGTAATTGAATCATGGGGGCATGACTTTCCTGTGCTGTTCTTATGATAGTGAATAAGTGTCATAAGATCTGATGGTTTTATAAGGGGGAGTTTCTTTGTACAAGCTCTCTTCCCTTGTCTGCCACCATGTGAGATGTGCCTTTTACCTTCTGCCATGATTGTAAGGCCTCCCCAGCCATGTGGGACAGTAAGTCATTAAATCTCTTTCTTTTGTAAATTGCCCAGTCTTGGGTATGTTTTTATCAGCAGTGTGAAAGTGGACTAATACAACATGGGAATTATGGGAGCTACAAGATGAGATTTGGGTGGGTACACAGAGCCAAACCATATAAATAATCTTCTCAGTAGATGTGAAATAAATACTATTATTATTTCCACTTCATGAAAAAACTGAAGAAGCGCAAAAGCTTTAAGTAATTTGCTTCAAGGTCACAAAGTTACTAAATTACAGAACTAGCATTATTGTCAGTAAGAAGGAAAATTACCCCTATTGTAAAGTCTAATATGCAATGGCATGACATATGAAGATACTAATATATATGAGGATATACCTAAATTTCAGAATGACGACACAAAACTACCAAATAATAATGATTAGAGAAGTTATGAAAATGAAATAGAACTAAAACCCTCAGCAAAAATAGTATATAGTTTGGAAAAGGATGGAGATTAGATGTTCAAGTGTTGTAAGCTTCTCCCAGTGTTCAAAAGTAGAGCAAATATATAAATTTTTATTTTATTTTGTTTTATTTCATTTTAAGACAGCATCACAGTGGTGCAATCATGGATTAGTGCAGCCTCAACTTCCCAGGCTCAAGCAATCCTCCTGCCTCAGCCTCCTTCGATAATTTTAAACTTTGTAAAATATTTGGCAAAATATTTATAAGTGGCCACTACAAAGTCAGCTAAAAAGTGTATACTCTCCAACTGGAGAAGATTAGAGAATTAATAATAGAGAAAAGACTGAATCAATTTAAAGGGAGACAAGAACGTGGGAAAAAATGGAAAAAGCAAGACAAATAAAAATTAGGTGGTAGAAAGTAGAATTAGTAATTTCCATTGATGTAAGTGGACTTACTCTTTATTTACAACACAGAAATTTTGAATGAGTAACTTGATATCAAAATTAAAAATAGTGGAAGTAATAAGAAATACATATTATTTCTATTCATGTTAAAATTTTTAACATGGTATTAGCAAAAATAAATGAACAATCTAAAAATGTATAATACATTATGAATGTTTAGATTCTCCAGGACTGCAAGGTAGGTTTAATATTAAAAAACCAATTAGTATAAATTAATTTTATTAGCATATGATTACAAAAGAAAAATGCATGACCTTCTCAACGGGTATAAAAGAAGCATTCACTGACATTCAATATCCATGCTTGATAAAATTTACGGTAAACTAGAATCAGAAGTGATATTTAATAAGTACATGTTGAAATACATAGAAGATGCCATGTCCTGAATGTTTGTGTCTTCCCAAAATTCTATGTTGAAAACATAGTCACCTGTATGATTGTGTAAGAAGGTGGGTTCTTTTGAGAGGTGATTAGGTCATGAGGGTAGAATCCTCATGGAAAAGACTAGTGCCATTATAAAAGAGGCCCCAGAGACCTGCCTTTCCCCTTTCACCATCTGAAGACACAGTTAGAAGGCATCTTCTATGACCCAGAAAATTGGTCTTCATGAGACATTGACTCTGCTGGCACCTTGATCTTGGACTCTCCAGCCTCCAGAACTGGGAGAAATAAATTTCTGTTGTTTACATGCTACCCAGTATATAGTTTTTTGTTATAGTAGCCTGAATGGACTAAGACAAAAGACAAAAATGCTCACCATAACTACTTATTTTCAATAATTTTCTGGAAGTCCAAAGCAAGAAGAAGATATAAAAGTTAGAAATACTTTTATAGAAGATAGAAAAGTTAGAAAAGGACAGCATAATGTTGCTGTTATTATTCACATATACATTGTTTCCATATAAAATGTAAAGCATGTACTGATAAACTACTAGACTTGAACAGGAAACTTTGCAATGTTGATCAAAACAATAGCTCTATATAAAATTCAATTTGCATTCCCATGCCTAATCAATGAGAATTAGAAAATTTAATGCAAAAATGATATTATTTACAATAACAGCAAAAATACAATGTATTCACCTCTCCATTCACATGTATACTTATAAGAAGAAATAAAAGAAAGATTTTTATGACATAAAGAAAAATTATAAAACTTAATAACATTAAAAGAGATTTAAACCAATGGGAAGGTAAGGTATACCACGTTCATAAACAGAAAGAGTCCAGTAGTTTAAAGCTACCAAGTTCTCTCTTAAAACTTAAGTCAAAAACTTACCAAGACTTTTGTACAACTTGACAAATTAATTCTAAAATTCTAAATTGATTCTAAAATTTTTGTGAAGGAGGAAGAGCTAACAACAGCCAAAACACCCCTGAAGGAATGGGAGGAGAAAGCAGAAAACATGTCCTATTGGATGTCAAGATCTTTGCATAAAGCACTTTAGTTAGAAATGCAATTTTGACTTAAAGATAGAAAAATAAATCAATTAAATCAGAAGAGAATTAGCAAAAACAGACCCACAAATATATGGAAATGATATATAATAAAACTTACAGTACAAATAATTGTGTAAAGGAAAGACAACTTAATGATACTAGAAAAATAGTTATTTATATAAAAAATTAAATTAGATTTCTCTCTGTGTATAAAAATCTATTCCAGTTAAAGTCTTAAATTTGAAAGTGAGTCATTTTAGATTTTATTTTAATTTTAGAAGACAATATAGGAGAATATCTATATGACCTTTGGGTGGAAGAAAATTTTATAACCAAGACACAGAAGTGCTTTCATAACATAAATTTGTATCTATTTAACATTTCATAAAATATACTATTTTGCATTTGCTAGAATGACAATAATTTAAAAGCCTGCTGATATCAAGTTTTGCTAAGAATGTAGAATAAAACAACTCACATGTCTGTTGGTGACTATTTACGTTTTATAATCAATAGAATTTTCTTTTAAATTGTCCATGTGCCTGCCTTACAATTAAATAATTCCTTTCCTGGATTCAAACTTAAAAAATAAATTTATACATGTGCATGAAGAGTCAAGTACAAACGTGTTCATAATTTGTAATATTTAAGAGAGAATCAAAAACAAAAAAAGACAATAAATATCACCAAAGAGGGAATAACTCAAATATCCATTGGCAAGAGTGAATTAATACACAGCAGTACAAATGAACAAATGAATCAGATAGAGTTATATAAGTCAGCATGATTGAATAGCACAACTCGTACAATATCATCCCACCTATACACAATACTAAAAATATATTATTTAGAAATATGTAGATTATTTAAAAAAACTATCAAGGAAAGAAAGGGAATAATAAATACCAGACTCAGGGTAGTGATCACAGTTAGGAAATAGGGTAGGGAATGGGATCAGAAAAGCAAGGGCATTCTTAAGGTATTGGTAATGTAATTTTTTTTAAAGCTAAATGGTGGTTGTGTGGATGTTTATTTTATTTACTTTTTACACTTACTCATTTGTTATAAATCATTTGTTATAAATATTCAGATTGGAGCACCTGTATTTTAGTTTCATCCCATATATTTCATTAAAGTGTTGATTTTCACCAAAAACCTGAGCAAAGTTTTGTCCTGTTAAAAATCATGCTAAAATATTTCTTATTCAGTATTTATTTAATATTTTAGATGAACAATGATCTGTCTTAGATTTAGCAACTTTATCTTTTAGTCAAAGTTATCTATTATGGACAACTTAAAAACAGTAAATTTTCTTTCCTTGTGGATTGAAAACAATTTAGTATCATCACACTGGAAATGGAATCTAAAATTGGAGGGGCTTCTAGTGCAGCCTTTGGGTCAAATTTCTTCTCTCTCACATTGGCTCATTCTTGTAGCCCTGAATCACACATGCCCTTGTGCTAGCAAAAGTACTACCAACCCTGTCCTTTACCACGCCCACCAATGAGATTTTGACTCTAAAATCCCCCAAATCAATGGATTTGCAACCACATCATATGGATTTGTGGCTTTGCCTGTCCAATTACTAGCTATGTGAATTATCAGAATTTATGTCAGGTGGTGATATGGTTTGGCTGTGTCCCCATCCAAATCTCAACTTGAATTGTATCTCCCAGAATTCCCATGTGTTGTGGGAGGGACCTAGGGGGAGGTAACTGAATCATAGGGGCTGTCTTCCCCAGGCTATTTTCGTGATAGTGAATAAGGCTCACGAGATCTGATAGGTTTATCAGGGGTTTCCACTTTTGCTTCTTCCTCATTTTTCTCTTGCCATCCATGTAAGAAGTACCTTTCGCCTCCCACCATGATTCTGAGGCCTCCACAGCCATGTGGAGCTAGCTGTAAGTCCAATTAAACCTCTTTTTGTTGCCAGTTTCGAGTGTGTCTTCATCAGCAGCATGAAAATGAACTAATACAGGTTGCATGATAGTGAATTATATGTGTAAATTTGACTAAAAAGATGTCCAGATACCTGATTAAAACATTATTTTGGGGTGTATCTATGAGAGTGTTTCCAGAGGAGATTAACATGCAAATCAATAGGTTGTGTCAAATGAATAGTCCTTCTTAATGTAGGTGGACTCAATAGAACAAAAAAGTGGAGGAAGAGAGAACTTGCTGGCTCTCTGCCTGACTGCTTGAGCTGGAACATTGATCTTTTCCTACTCTCATTGTTTCTGTTCTCAGGCCTTAGTCTCAAACTGGAATCTATGCCACTGGGTCTCTGGCTCTCAGGCCTTTGAACTACACATTTGTAGTTCCCTTCTACTACATTTCTGGGTCTCCACCTTGCAGACAGCAGACTGTGTAATTTCTCAGACTCCGCAATTGCATGAGCCAATACCCTATATTAAATCTCATTATGTATTGATACATCCTATTGATTCTGTTTTGGTGGAGAACCTTAATTAATACAGTTGGGGTTGAGGAGGATGGAAACTCAGCAAGCAGTAGGAGAAGGGAACCTTAACAAATGTGTGCTAGAAGCCTACACTGACCCTGTGGTAGGCGGAACAATGACTCCCAAAGATGTCCCTGTGCTGATCCATGAAACCTGTGAATATGTCACCTAACATGCCAAAATAGATTTAGTAGATGTGATTAAGGGTCTTGAATTGGGAAGATTATCATGAATTATCAGCTGGGTTTAACATAATCACAATAGTTCACATAAAAGTGAGTGTCAGGATTAGAGAAAGAGGTATGATGACAGAGGTGAGGCCAGAGTGACACCACTGTTGGAAGGGAGCCTGAGCCAAGGAATAAAGACAGCCTCTAGAAGCTGGCAAAAGCAAGAAACAGATTTTCCTCTAGAGCCATAAAAAGGAATGCAGTCCTGCCAACATCATGGTTTTAGCCACGTAAGAGACACTTTTTGAACTTCCAACCTCCAGCACTGTGAAATAATAAATTTATGTTGCATTAAGCCACTAAGTTCGTGATAATTTGTTATAACAGCAATAGGAAATACAGACACCCCTTGTGTGTCCCTGAAAATCCTCATAGACTCCACCTTTTGCCCCAGCTGCTATGGTAGTGACCCGTTCTGACTAGTTTTGTGCAAATGCAACCAGCTGTGCCTTGCCCCTCATCTGTCTTGCAGCAGGCTTCTTTGCATAACTCGACAGATACACACAACCTGGAAATGCAGGGGAGGTAATGCCCTGGGATTATTCTTAACCTATGGGGGATGGTTGCTGAAGAATAAATATTTTTCTCCTTTTTTTCCTTAGGCAAAGAGTTCTAAGATGCATTTCACAGCACTCCACAGAAGGAAGGTTCAGAGCCAATCATCTGCACCAGTGCCCAACTTAAAAACATCCTTGTATCAGTTTTCCCTTATTTCCTGTTCTCCTCCCTAAACCTTCAGTCCTGTTCCTGGCAATCACTTCCAGAATAAACCATATACATGCCTCAGATTCTGATCTCAGAGGATCCCAGACTAATACAGAGATACACTATGCTGATTGCTTAACCCGCATTTTCTCATTTAATTGAAACATATACGTGGTAAGGTATTTATTCATACCTGCATGATTTTGTAGATAAACCTTAGAGAAATTAATACTTTTCAGAAGGCAATTAAAGTAACACAGCAAGCAATTGATAAAACCTGGATTCGCCAAGTTAAACTGGTCTGGTTTCAAAACCTGTATTGTTTCCTAACATACCACCTAAATTCTCAAATGGTATTGGAAGGGGTTAAATGAGATTATAAATGTAAAATTCTTGGTATAGTTAATTCTCAAAAATAGGCCTTCAATCTATAGAATCCATTTGTAGAACTATCTTCAGGAAGGAAAAATACATCACCCTCCACCCCACCCTCAAAGAAACATGGAAAATTTAAACTAAGACTTCAAATCTTGAGCTCTGCACATCTTAGAATATTTTGTTTCTATGAAAAAGAAGCTTTGGAGAATGTGTATCAGTCTGAAACACTGTAGTGTGAGCACAGAAATCAGCCCATCACATTATGCCCCAAATGCTGAAGTACGGCTGAATCTGATTGCCCTGCATTTTTAAGTACTGCAAAATTCTGGGACTTGGGATCATCTGTTACTACAGACTTGTCATATTCCACTGAAATAAAACATATAGTCTAATTTGCAAAGTTCTCGTGTGGAAAGAGTCCTAAAATGTATATAACCTCTGTCCCAGCAATTCCATTAGGAATTTATCCAATCCAAAATCTAAAATGCAGAAGATCTACATATTGAATGCTTATGGCAGCATTCTTTAAAATTATGAAAATTGAAAGCAACCAAAATCCTCAAAAACAGACTAATGGCTAAGTAGTATAACCATACTATGAAATGTGGTAATTGAATATTCAAATTTGTGTTGTATAAAAAATTAATAATGGTATAACATTTGGCTATAAAATAGAATGAATTCAATTGTATTTTTTAAACCAGTACATCTGCATATTTGTGAACCTAAAAGATAAGACGGTAAATATTTAACTGTATTTTTCTTTAATTGTTGGGGCTGTGAATTATTTTAATTTTCTTAATGCTTTTTAATCTTCTCTGAAAATTTTATAATAATCTCTAATAATAATTTATAGCAAAAAAACCCAAAATTTTAAAGGGTATTCTTTTTGTATTTTTATCAAGAATAAAAATATATATCAATGTCATTTCTTCAAGAATCCTAAAAAGTGTTATTACACCATTTAACACAGGTACCTGAGTCATGTGTATTGTTAAAGGAGAGTGGAAGGGAAGGGAGGTGATATGAGTAGGCCTAGTGCTTGGCATGATCAAGCAAATATAGACCCTGCAGGGGTATGTAACTTCCATATGCTAATCCTACAGGAGGACTCCGATCGGACCTGTTTGCAGCACATGCCCACTTTTAAACTCTATTAGTCTGTTTTCTGTTTTAAAGGACCTGAAACTGGGCAGTTTATAAAGAAAAGAAATTTATTTCCTACAGTTATGGAGGCTGGGAAGTCCAAGTTTGAGGGTATGCATCTGTCGAGAGCCTTCTTGCTCGTGGGAACTCTGTGGCATCCTGATGCAGCACAGGGCATCACATGGAGATGGGGCTAAGAATGCTAATGTGCTAGCTCAGGTCTCTTTTATTTTTATGAAGCTACCAGTTTCCTTTCCATGATAACCCATTCATCTATTAACCCATTAATCCATTCACCCATGAATGATTAATTCATTCATGAAGACAGAGCCCTCATCATTTAATCATGTCTTAAAGCCTTCCCTCCAATACTGTAGTATTGGGTATTAAGTTTCAACGTGAATTTTGGAGGGGATATTTAAACCAAAGCATAGACCAATGTCCATGTCCAAAACACTAGGCTATTTCGGCTCTCTATGGGTTACATTACTCTCTCCAAGGCAGTGGCAAGAGTGGAGGCCACCTGTTGAGAGAAGATGGTTGTGCTGGGAGTTACAATCAAAGTTCCACTAAGAAAAAAAGCCCTTTATAAGTCGACTCCTGCCTATTTCTAAAATTTTTTCTGGTACACACCTTTTTTTTTCTGTACACACATTTTGTGTCACATAGAACTATAGGCAATATTCTGAAATAATATACGCTGGTTTACAATCAGCGCTTTCTTCAAATTGGAAACACCAAGAAATATCCACCTCTCTAAAATATAAAATTTCTGTTTTTTCATTCCGCTACCTCTAAGAAGTTTTTCCTGACTCCTCCTGCTGATAGATGGCACACACTTTCCCACTATACTTTCCCACTATATATATACTTTCCCACTATAGTGTGAGCCCCTGACAGCAGGGGGAGTTGTATCATTTTATGTTTATATCCCCAGCTCCATGCAAGGCCTTTCATGTATAAAAAGCATTTATTTGAGTTCATTGTAGATTCTGGATATTAGCCCTTTGTCAGATAAGTAGGTTGCAAAAATTTTCTCCCATTATGTATGTAGCCTGTTCACTCTGTTGGTGGTTTCTTTTGCTGTGCAGAAGCTCTTTAGTTTAAGTAGATCCCATTTGTCAATTTTGGCTTTTGTTGCCATTGCTTTTGGTGTTTTAGACATGAAGTCCTTGCCCATGCCTATGTCCTGAATGGTATTGCCTAGGATTTCTTCTAGGGTTTTTATGGTTTTAGGCCTAACCTGTAAATCTCTAATCCATCTTAAATTAATTTTTGTATAAAGTGTAAGGAAGGGATCCAGTTTCAGTTTTCTACATATGGCTAACCAGTTTCCCCAGCATCATTTATTAAATAGGGAATCCTTTCCCCATTCCTTGTTTTTGTCAGGTTTGTCAAAGATCAGATAGTGGTAGATATGCGACATTATTTCTGAGGGCTCTGTTCTGTTCCATCGATCTATATCTCTGTTTTGGTACCAGTACCATGATGTTTTGGTTCCTGTAGCCTTGTAGTATAGTTTGAAGTCATGTAGCGTGATGCCTCCAGCTTTGTTCTTTTGGCTTAGGATTGACTTGGCGATGCGGGCTCTTTTTTGGTTCCATATGAACTTTAAAGTAGTTTTTTCCAATTCTGTGAAGAAAGTCATTGGTGGCTTGATGGGGATGGCATTGAATCTATAAATCACCTTGGGCAGTATGGCCATTTTCACGGTATTGATTCTTCCTACCCATGAGCATGGAATGTTCTTCCATTTGTTTGTATCCTCTTTTACTTCATTGAGCAGTGGTTTGTAGTTCTCCTTGAAGAGGTCCTTCATGTCCCTTGTAAGTTTGATTCCTAGGTATTTTATTCTCTTTGAAGCAATTGTGAATGGGAGTTCACTCATGATTTGGCTCTCTGTTCATCTGTTATTGGTGTATAAGAATGCTTGTGATTTTTGCACATTGATTTTGTATCCTGAGATTTGCTGAAGTTGCTTATCAGCTTAAGGAGATTTTGGGCTGACACAATGGGGTTTTCTAGATATACAATGATGTCATCTGCAAACAGGGACAATTTGACTTCCTCTTTTCCTAATTGAATGCCCTTTATTTCCTTCTCCTGCCTGATTGCCCTGGCCAGAACTTCCAACACTATGTTGAATAGGAGTGGTGAGAGAGGGCATCCCTGTCTTGTGCCAGTTTTCAAAGGGAATACTTCCAGTTTTTGTCCATTCAGTATGATATTGGCTGTGGGTTTGTCATAGATAGCTCTTATTATTTTGAGATATGTCCCAACGATACCTAATTTATTGAGAGTTTTCAGCATGAAGCGTTGTTGAATTTTGTCAAAGGGCTTTTCTACACATATTGTGATAATCATGTGGTTTTTGTCTTTTGTTCTATTTATATGCTGGATTACGTTTGCCGATTTTTGTATGTTGAACCAGCCTTGCATCCCTGGGATGAAGCCCACTTGATCATGGTGGATAAGCTTTTTGATGTGTTGCTGGATTTGGTTTGCCAGTATTTTATTGAGGATTTTTGCATCAATGTTCATCAAGGATATTGGTCTAAAATTCTCTTTTTTTGTTGTGTCTCTGCCAGGCTTTGGTATCAGGATGATGCTGGCCTCATGAAATGAGTTAGGGAGGATTCCCTCTTTTTCTATTGATTGGAATAGTTTCAGAAGGAATGGTACCAGCTCCTCCTTGTACCTCTGGCAGAATTCGGCTATGAATCCATCTGGTCCTGGACTTTTTTTGGTTGGTAAGCTATTAATTATTGCCTCAATTTCAGAGCCTGTTATTGGTCTATTCAGAGATTCAACTTCTTCCTGGTTTAGTCTTGGGAGAGTGTATGTGTTGAGGAATTTATCCACTACTTCTGGATTTTCTAGTTTATTTGCGTAGAGGTGTTTATAGTATTCTCTGATGGTAGTTTGTATTTCTGTGGGATTGCTGGTGATATCCCCTTTGTCATTTTTTATTGCGTCTATTTGATTCTTCTCTCTTTTCTTCTTTATTAGCCTTGCTAGCTGTCTATCAATTTTGTTGATCTTTTCAAAGAACCAGCTCCTGGATTCATTGATTTTTTTGAAGGGTTTTTTGTGTCTCTATTTCCTTCAGTTCTGCTCTGATCTTAGTTATTTCTTGCCTTCTGCTAGCTTTTGAATGTGTTTGCTCTTGCTTCTCTAGTTCTTTTAATTGTGATGTTAGGGTGTCAATTTTAGATCTTTCCTGCTTTCTCTTGTGGGCATGTAGTGCTATAAATTTCCCGCTACACACTGCTTTGAATGTGTCCCAGAGATTCTGGTATGTTGTGTCTTTGTTCTCTTGGTTTCAAAGAACATCTTTATTTCTGCCTTCATTTCGTTATGTACCCAGTAGTCATTCAGCAGCAGGTTGTTCAGTTTCCATGTATTTGAGCAGTTTTGAGTGAGTTTCTTAATCCTGAGTTCTAGTTTGATTGCACTGTGGTCTGAGAGACAGTTTGTTATAATTTCTGTTCTTTTACATTTGCTGAGGAGTGCTTTACTTCCAACTATGTGGTCAATTTTGGAATAAGTGCGATGTGGTGCTGAGGAGAATGTGTATTCTGTTGATTTGGGGTGGAGAGTTCTGTAGATGTCTATTAGGTCCCACATAACAATAATGGGTGACTTAAACACCCCACTGTCAACATTAGACAGATCAATGAGACAGAAAGTTAACAAGGATATCCAGGAATTGAACTCAGCTCTGCACCAAGCAGACCTAACAGACATCTACAGAACTCAAGCACTGATCTTAAGAGCAGTTTATGATGAGTTCGTGTCCTTTGTAGGGACATGGATGAAATTGGAAATCATCATTCTTAGTAAACTATCACAAGAACAAAAAACCAAACACCACATATTCTCACTCATAGGTGGGAATTGAACAATGAGATCACATGGACACAGGAAGGGGAACATCACACTCTGGGGACTGTTGTGGGGTGGGGGGAGGGGGGAGGGATAGCATTGGGAGATACACCTAATGCTAGATGACAAGTTAGTGGGTGCAGCACACCAGCATGGCACATGTATACGTATGTAACTAACCTGCACAATGTGCACATGTACCCTAAAACTTAAAGTATAATAATAAAAAAATAAAAAATAAAAAATTAAAAAAATAAAAAAAAAGAAAATGTGGCACATATACACCATGGAATACTATGCAGCCATAAAAAATGATGAGTTCATGTCCTTTGTAGGGACATGGATGAAGCTGGAAACCATCATTCTCAGCAAACTATCGCAAGGACAAAAAACCAAACACTGCATGTTCTCACTCATAGGTGGGAATTGAACAATGAGAACACTGGGACACAGGAAGGGGAACATCACACACGGGGGACTGTTGTGGGGTGGGGGGAGGGGCGAGATATACCTAATGCTGAATGACGAGTTAATGGGTGCAGCACACCAACATGGCACATGTATACATATGTAACAAACCTGCACGTTGTGCACATGTACCCTAAAACTTAAAGTATAATAATAATAAAAAAATAAAAATAAAAAGCATTTAAAAAGTGTGGAATAAATGTTGACTAAACTATCAGTGTTCTAAAAAGATACATGATAGGGAAAAGAAGAAATTTTCAATAAATTAACCTGGACAAAATAGTTACTGACATATAGAGACATTGAATTTCTACCTCATACTTTACAAAACAATCAACTCCAAAATAAATAAAGACTCAAATGTCAAAGCAAACCTTTCAATTTTTTACAGGAAATAACAGATAATGATAGCTTTCTGATCTTGGAGTAAGGAAGGATTTGTAAATAGAGATTCTTAAAAAAGAAAATCCATAAAATAAAAAATTTGATACATTTCATTATAATCAGAACTGTTCATCAAAAGACACCTCAAAGAAAGTATCTGAAGTTGGATTTCCTAGAAGCAGAACCTGAGATGGAGATTTTTGTGCAAGTGATTTATTGAGGAAATGCCCTCAGGAAGAACCTATAGGGAAATGAAAGAAGCAAAACAGGGAGGGGAAGGAGTTGACTAAGGATGTGGTTTCAGCTGGAGACTAGTGTCAGCCAAATCCCATGGAAAACTGTGGGCACATGAATTATACCACAGAGGAAGTATTTCCTGGAGGGAAAGGAGTCAGCCTCTTGTATCTGTGTATTCATCAATTATTGGTTGCAGGCTGAACCCAGGGTAGGACACAAAAACTTTTGGGTGAGGCATGTCCATTTGCCAGGCACAGTTCTTTTGAGAAGGATGTAGTTGTGAATTGGTAACAGTTAACATTCATTTGAAAACAGCATCTACCAGGAGACTCAAAAGACAAGATTCCAACCAGGAAAAGATACTGACAATATATATGACTGACAGAGAGTTTGTATCAAAAATAAAAAGAAGTTCTACAAATAATTTTTAAAAATACATAAGGACGATATCTGAAGATATTCTCAATCTTATTAACAATTGAAGAAATGCAAATCAACACTAAAATGAGATACCATTTTACATCTACATGCTTGATAAAATATTACAATTCTGGCAATAATAATTATTGCAGAGAATGTGGATCATCAGGATCTCTCATACTTTGTTGGTGGGTTTATAAATTGTTATAACCACTTTGTAAAAGCAACTTGGCATTCTCCTGTAAAGTTATACATTCATATAATTTACAACCTGGCAATTACGCTCCCTCAAAATGTTAAATCATTCATGGCAGCATTATTCATAGCAGCAAAAACAAACAGAAAAAACTGAAATGACTCAAATTTGTATAAATAAAACAATGATTAAATAAATACTGGTATATTCATATAATGGAATATTACTCAGGAGTGAAAATCAAGAAACTGCAACTATATCAAAACAGTATGGATACATATCAGTAATATAAAGTTGAATTAAGAAAATCTAGTTCCAGAAGACTCTATGGAATATAATTTTAATACAACATTCAAAACAGGCAAAAATGAACCAAAACTAAACTAACTGTAAAAACAAACAAACAAACAAAGAAATGGTAAACATGCAATTCAAAATACGGATACTTTAGGGTTGGGCAGTAAACCAAGGGTTGGTGAGATGGGAAAAGAGTAGTATAGAGATATAGATAGCTAATGACAATATGTTAGGTATAAGGTTGAATGATGGATTCATGTGTATTAGTCATATCATTCAAATATGAATCCATGCATACACACATAAAATTAGGGATATGCATAAACTATCGATGACTGTGATAAACCTAAGAATAATATTAATCCAATTTCATACACCTGAGCTCTATTTAAGTAAAAGAATAGCTCCAAGGAATAAATTTATGAATGCATGGATGGTCTAAAAATTCCACTTAATTTAATATAGTCCACTAGATTTAAAGTCAAAAAAGGAGAGTTGATTTCCTGTCTTCCATTCATTTCTCATGGATATGGGGCAAGACTTTCTGAGTCTCAGGCTTCTCACCTTCCCTATTTGAAAAATGGCACTAAATACAGCTACTCTTACAATCCTGTGTGGTAATCTTGAAGTTCAAAAGGAGATCACATATGTAAGCTCGCTGTGTAAATTACAGATAGACGTATAGCTAGATATAAATATGTACATATCTTTAGATAAGAGAGATAATGATTGAGGATTGAATAGGTAATAATCGGTAGTCATAACAAAAAATGTTCCTGAATGTGTGCTGTGTGCCAGGCATGGAGCTAGGCACTGTCCAGCTGTGGAAATATATGTGTAGGCTGCTAACTGTAATGAAAATTGATAACATTCATATAGGGATATGATGTCAAAGTGTTGTTGGAACAGTAGTGTGAACTGGAGAAGACTTCACTGGAGATAAAATTGTGATGGTTCTTTAAGGATGAGCAATTTGCCAAGAAAGAAAAGAGGGAGGCTTCCAAGGTAGTTTGAACAGCATGTGACTTAGACAAGTTTAGGAAATGATGAGATTTCGGCATGACAGGCAGAAGACTGCAACCAAATTGATATTCAACTGGCACCAGAGTAGAGAACAGACCTCAAATTCTTGAAAGTAAAGAAATATATTATGCTTGTTATGACTTTTTTAAAAAAAGAATCCATTACATCTAATTTATCCTCAACCAAATCTTTCCCCAAATATTCATAAAGTCCCTTCCTAGAGAATAAGTCAATTACTAAAATGTATTATGCTTTCTGAATCTAACGAGCTATGAAGTTCATTCATAATTAACTTTTGTAAAAAGAAAAATATTTCATGAATACCATTTGTATTATTACTGTGAGATCATTTCCTTTGTACAAAGGAGAATAAACTTCAGAGCTCTATCAGCTCCACCCAATTCATTAAAACTTGTCTTTGATCCATAAGAAACATCCTAAGGTTTTTCCTCACTCAAAATTCTCTACTAAGCTTACTCGTTAAATTATCCCTGGGTCCTATCTTATATTTATTGAACTGTCTGAGAAAAACCACAGTGCCCACATCACTTGGAGACCCTTTATTCATGGCCTTAAAAAATGCCCCAACCACCAACAACGAAGAGATGATTGTATTACTCATTACTACTGTATAAATAGGGCCTTTTAATGTCTCATTTTATTGTAGTCTGGACAATTTTTTAAATATAATAGAATCCTGGTTTTGGGTTGTTACTTTACTTTAAAAGGAAAGTGAAGTGTCCCACTGTCTTTTAGAGAACAGACTAGAATACCATTCAAAGCAATAGTTGCCAAATTTTTAATTCTTCTATTGAAAATTAGGATTAATTTATTTTTTCTCTACTGGCTCAAGATTGCTATTTCCTCTAGATTCAGATAGGTCTACATTGGCAGAGAAAGTAAACAGCTTCTGCAAGAGCACCATATATCATACAGCTAATTTAGGGTCTTTCAGTAAATCGAGGGATTCATTTGGTATCTTGAAAGATCAATGCTACTTAAATGGTAAATAGTAGATGACAGACATCATTCTTTGTACATATTGCCATTACCTTTGGTTCCTCCTTTGTCCATATTCTCATTTCACTTGAAAGTTTTTTGTGGATTATCTCATCTACTCTCATAACTATACTTACCATTTCTAATTCTTTCTGAATACCTGTCAATACCTCTAGCCCCTACCTCTCCATTTGGCTCCAAATCGATTTATCCTAATTTGTATTGTATCTATTTGAATGCCTCCAAAGCATTTAAGTCTTATCATTTTCAAAACTAGACTCATCTATCCTATCCTTCCTCAACTTGCTCTCCAACCCGTATTCCAATATTTACTTATTTGTAACCTCCAAACAAGAAATCTGGGACTATCCTTGACCCAGTCCTTTTAAAATCCAATTTCCAAGTTCAGGGGATGGTTATTCCCTAAATATTTCTAAAATATACTCAATTGTATTTATTCCCATTACCACTTCCTTAATTCTAACCTTTATTATTCCATATCCCTATTACTATATTGCCCTCTTAAATAATTCCCTGCCTGTGTTATTTCCCTCTTCTCATTTTTGCGTCATATGTCTACAAGAATGCACTATCTAAAATGAAAATATAAATAAGTCCTTCACCTGCTTAGAACTTTTTGATGGTGTCACATTGACACTAAGAAAAAGAAATCCAAGAGGTTAGCATGACATAGGCCATCATGGTCTGGGTAGCTACTTCCATAGTCTTAGCTCTTGTTATTCCTCTCTTTATGTCTTAAGATCCAGGCACACTAAACTAGTGGCAAATTTGCTATATTCCTTTGCCTCATGAATGTTCCTCTTACTTGAAACACCCTTCCCCCTCTTTCCATTTGCTATAATTGCCTTTTTTTTTTAAGAGACAGCTCAAGCTTTATCTTATTTTAGATGATTTCCCTTATTCCTGGAAAGAATTTATGATTTCTTCCTTCTCTGTGTTCATCCTCTTTCTTGCACTCTGCCATAGCATCCATCAAACTGATTGTTTTTATTTGTTTACACGTTTATATCCCTCATTTAAGTATCAGCATTTTAAGGACAGAGGCCATGTCTTGTACATCCTGTTCCTACCACTCCAATTAGTGTCCAATCCAGAATAAGAATCTAGTAAATATTAGTTTCACAGTTAAATGGATTTCTTAAAGAAACAAATCAAGAGCCATAGAATATGTAATTTTCTACCCTGTTCTCATTTCAAACCAAGTATTAAATTTTTCCCAGGATGATTGTGTAAATGTCCGCATTCTTTATAGAAAACTCCACCTTTCATCAGCAGAGGTACTGTGTGGCCCTGTGGCCACCACAAGACCATGATGCAACAGGGTAACAGTCCAACATCAATACTGTTTGAAAGACTCAGGCATTTATCTCTGAATTCACTACTTGACCAAGGTCACATCACTAGGAAAGGAAGGAGCGAAGCATCAAATCCAGTCCCATTTGACTTGTGCCAAGCTCACTCAACCCTTTTGTCCAATTTGTCCCCCAACTTGAGTTAAACGGTGGGGCTGCATTTCTTTTCCTGCAGTCATGAAGTCTCTGTTACTAATCTCTTTTGATCATGCATCTTGGTCAAAACAAGCAATAATCTGCAGCCTAAATTCCTTAATAAAGAAATATTTCTCTCAAAGTAGCAGCAAAGTATGCAAGGAAATAGCTTTGCTAAAGCATACATCTAATTTGCATTGCCAAATAGCACATTTCTTCATTTAGTCTAAAACATATGCATTCAGGTTATCCAACAAGGTGGATGGCGATGAGGTGGGGTGGGATGGAGAGTAGTTACATTAACATTTGCATAGCTGAATACATATATCCAGATGATTCTTTTCAAAACAAAGATATAATGTGCTTCAAAATTTAATCAAAATATCTACCACTTGCAAAACAGAAACTCTACAAGCTCTGATATTACTTTTTAAAAATTGCCTTTCATTGAGGTTTTAAGCAAAAAACCCTTAAAGTCAAAGTGATTCAGAACAAATAAATGCATGAAAAAATAACAATAACACAAATAGTCATAATAACAATAGCAATTATTAAAATAATATAAAATAGAGTTTCTTATTGGCCAAGGTTTGTTTAAACATTTTCATATATGTTAATCTATTTAATCCTCACAACAATCTTTGTGGTAGGTACAATTATTATCTCCATTTTACAGAGAAATTCACTGAGATGCAGAGATTAAATAACTTGGCTATACTCACATAGCAGTAACTGATAGAGCTGAAATTCAAATTCAGGTCTATTTCAGAGTCTATACATCTATGCTCTTAACCACTACAATAAATGATAAATATGGGTGTCATATTATAAAACACATGCATATGTATATGCATACACTCCATTCTCAAATCATAATGAACATAAATTTCTATACACATAGATGCAGATTTAAATGCATACACTATATATAGACACATATGCTCATATGTGTTATATGCATATACATAGAAAATGGAGACATACATATTTATACATACACACAAATATGAAAATATACAATATGTAATAAATATAAAATATAAATATAGCAACAGTTTTAGTAACTTTTCCTACAAAATCCCAATTGGGACCCTCAAATTCAACAATATGAAAATGAGAAAAAAACTTCTCCTTAAAATTATATTTAGCAAATGTTTTCCAAGAAATATTATTTAATCACTTCAGGGAAGCGGAACTTTCTAAGGCTGTAGCCAAGTAAAACTTTTGAAAATTGTTTTGTAATGTTTACCCAGTGAGATCATATTTTCATTGCCCTGATGAAATACAGGTGCAAAATCTAAATACATTAGCCCCCATAGTGCAGTGTTTCCTGCTGAGTTCCTTTCTTAGCAAGGCTGAAATCCTTCCACCTCTTTTTCTTCTACCTCTGTCCTTCACCCCAGAATTTGCTGGACTCATGTGATTCTAATAATATCCACTAAAAAAGAAAACATCAGGGAAATACTGTTTACTGAATGTCTACTATGTGTCAGTAGCTTTAACAAGCATTATTTCATTAAACTTACTCAACAATGTTATGTGGGGTATATTGTTTTTACAGAAGGAGAAACACGGGCTCAGATAAGTTAAGCAACATACTCAAGAAAACAAAGCTATTATGAAGCCAGAAGCTCGTGGTGTTCCCATGTTGTCATAGCAGAAAGAAAGAAGGAATAGAATTATAGAATATCATTGTTGGAATGAACCTTATTTATCAAATTGTAATTATCTGTTTACTATGTACTCCTGGAGGGAAGTGAATAATTTTTTGTTCATATTTGAATCTCCAACCATGTGCAAAGTGCTGGCACAGAGAAGGCACTGTATAGCTTTTTATTTTTTTATGGTATAAAAATATATTAAAATATCCAAGAGCTCATATGTGTCAGACATTTTGTTATCCTTGTCATATACTTTCTCTCATTTAATAGACTCTAGCATTACCTCCTAACATTGCATTCGAGAAACTGAGGGCCATGAAGGTGAAGCAGTTTATTCAAAGATACCCAGTGAGTTTGAAAGTGACAGTTTGAAATTAGTACTTTTTGTACACCACAGGAAATAATTCTTCTTTACTGTTACATTTTTGTTTAGATTATTTGAACTAAATAGATTTGAATCAAACGGAAAACTATAGATTCCTTGCTCAAATAAACTGCCAGTGCCAGTTCACAGAGCAGATGGAAAGAATGTTTACTCCTAATAGTGCTAGGAGGTTAAGGCGTCGGTTGTTTCCATAAGCAGGGGGGCAGCACCCTCTAGCCTAGAGCCCATGCTCCCATGCTGATGGCCAGAGCTGCCAACCATAAATCAAAAGGGTAACAGCTTCTGCTGGGGATTCAGATCCGCATATCCCCGCATGGAAACTAAAATCTTTCTTGCTTCTTAATTCAATCACATACCCAACCGGCAATCTTGCATATCAAAATGGGAATCCTGGGAGGCTGTTGGAATATGCAGATCAACAGAAGCTAATTAGCATTAACTTGCAGCCATCCTGAACTGATTGGCAGCACAGCTGTGGGGACCCAACAAAACATGCTGAGTCGCATGTTTGTCAGGCCACCTGCCACTTGGCAGAATCCAAAATAGTGCAAACCACCAGGCCATAATAACTCAGTGACCTTAGTTTGGGAGGAGTAGGGAACAGACATATTTGGATCACGCAGTAATTAGTATGGCCTTCACCTGACACGCATGCAACAATAGGCTTCATGGCAGTACCTTCCTCATCTGATACGTTGACGTCTTAATTCGGGTTGACAGCTTCTTCCTGAGGCTACCAGTCTTCCATGAAGTTTGTAATGTTACTCATGATCACTGCAGCTTGCTGGGGCTATAGGCACTGAGACTCTCGATGTATTTGAGATGTAGAATTTCATCTCCTGGAGCTTGGCTCTCATTTTTTAAGAATGGTACATTTTAGGAAAAAAACACAAAAGACATTAGCGAGGGTACATGCCAGGGAGCTTGGGGGCCTGAGATGTTCTGAGATATTGTGGGCTTTGTTTTTATTGGACTTTCAGGTATTATTGAAAACCTGAATTCCCTCTGACTATCCGTAGTGAACCTTTCGCAATTTCCTGCTAGGGTAAGTTCACTGTTTCAAAAATCCTCTTAGTAACTTTTACACTATCCCTCCCTACCACTGGTGGTAACCCCTCCTCCCTTTACACATGGTTTGTGAAATGTCTTAAAAATATATTTCACTTGGAGTGGGTGCAACTCCAACCCTGAGATAGCCAAATAGGTTTCAGCTTGTATCTCGGCTCTGGTCAATTGATAATGACAGCTGGAACACTGGATGGGGAAGGCTTTGAAGTCATATTCTTGCTCACAAGGAAAGGATGATGTGATGGGTGGAGATGGGATCAATGGACCATGAACCAAGTAAATGTCATCTTTACTCTAAATTACTCTTCAATCACTATTTTTTTCTTAAAGTTTTATTGTATTTTTAATTGACAAATAAGAATTGTATATAATTATGGGCTACAATGGGATGTTTCAATACATTTATACACTGTGGAATGATAAAATTAGGCTAATTAGCATATCCATCACCTCAAATATTTATAATTTCTTTGTGGTGAGAGCATTTAAAATCTTTTCTTTTTGCTGTTTTGAAATATACAATACGTTATTGTTAACTATAGTCACTGTGCTGTGCAATAGAATATCAGAACTTATTCCTCTTATCTCACTGATGTTGATCAATGTCTCCCCTTTCCCATCCACTCCTCCCTCAATCCCAATCTCTAGTAACCACCATCATTCTACACTCTACCTCTGTAAGTTCAACATTTTTAGATACCACATGTACGTGAGATCATACAGTATTTGTCTCTTTGTACCTGGCTTATTTCATGTAACATAATGTGTTCTAGGCTTATCCATATTGTCAAAAATGAAAGAATTTCCTGGGTTTTTAAAAGGCTGAATAGTATCACATTGTGTACGTATACCACACTTAAAAAAATCCATTCATCCATTGATGGACATTTAGGTTATTTCCATAGCTGGGCCATTGTGAATAATGCTACATTAAACATAGGAGAGTAGGTAACTCTTCTACATACTTATTTCAATTCCTTTGGGTATATACTCAGTAGTGGGATGGTTGGATCATGTTGGAATTTTATTTTTAATTTTTTGCAGACCCTTTATGTTGTTTTCCAAAATGGCTGTACTAATTTACAATACTATCAGCAGTGTATAAGAGTTCCCTTTTCTTCACATCTTTGCCAAGACTTGTCATCTTTCGTCTTTTTAATGATGGTCAATCTCTCATTGTGGTTTTAATTTGCATTTCTCTGATGATTGAAGATGTTTAGCAATTTTTTTGTTTGTCTGTTGGTCATTTATATGTCTTCTTTTAGAAAGATCTATTCAAGTCCTTCGCCCTTTTGAATAGGGTTGTTTGTTTTCTTGTTATTTTGTAGTTTGAGTTCTTTGTATATTTAAGATATTAGCCTCTTATCGAATGTATGATTTGCAAATATTTTCTCCCAATTGGTGAGTTGTCTCTTCACTCTATTAATTGTTTACTGTGCAGAAGCATTTTATTTTGATGAAATCCCGTTTGTCTATTCTTGCTTTTGTTGCCCACGCTTTTGAGGTCATATCCAAGAAATCACTGCCCAGATCAATGTCATATAGCTTTCTCCTATAATTTTTCTGATTGCAGACCTTATGTTCAAGTGTTTAATCCATTCTGAGCTGATAATTGTATAAGGAGTGAGACAAGGGTCTATTTTAAATCTCTGTATGAAAATATTCAGTTTTCCCACCAACATTTATTGAAGAGACTATTCTTTACCCATTGTGTATTCTAGGCACCCTTGTTGAAAATCAATTGGCTGTAGATGTGTGGGTTTATTTCTGAACACTCCGTACTACTCCATTGGTTGATGTGTCTGTTTTTAATAGTAGTATCATGCTGTTCTGATTTCTATAACTTTGTAAAGTATTTTTATCCAGTAGTCTGTTGCTTCAAGCTTTGCTCTATTTGGTCAAGACCTTCTTAGCTTCTTAGGTCCTTTTGTGGTTCCATATAAATTTTAGAAATTTTTTTCTATTTCTGCAAAGAATGACATTTGAATTTTGATAGGGATTGCATTGAATTGGTAGATCACGTTGTGTAGCATGGTTATTTTAACAGAATTAATTCTTCAGTCCATCAACATGAAATATCTTTACATTTATTTGTGTAATCTTTAGTTTCTTTTGTCAATGTTTTACAGTTTTCAGTATACAGATATTTTGATGCCTTGGTTAAATTTACTCAAACATTTTATTTTTTGATACTATTATGAGAGAAATTTTCTGAATTTATTTTCAGACAGTTCATTGTTAGTGTATAGTAATGCTACTGATTTTTGATTTTGCAGTCTGTAACTGCACCCTGCAACTTTATTCAATTTGTTCATCAGTTTCAACAATTTTTTGGTGGGGTCTTCAGGATTTTCTGTGTACAAGATCATGTTGTCAGCAAACACATAATTTCACTTTATCTTTTCCAGATAGCTGCTGGAATTGAGCCTGTTGTATGAGAGACTTAGTTACTAATTCAATTTCCTTACTTGTTCTTGATCGGTTTAGATTTCAAATTTCTTTATAATTTAGTGTTGGTAAGTTATATATTTTAGAAATTTATTCATTTCTCTAGGTTGTGCAATTTGTTGGTGTATAGTTATTCTTAGCAGTCTTTTGTGATCATTTGTATTTTTGTGTTACCATTTGTAATGTTTCCTCTTTCATTTCTGACTCTCTTAATTTGATTCTTCGCTCTTTGTTCTTGGTCTAACTAAGATTTCGTTAGTTTTGTTTAGTTTTCCAAAAATCCAACGCTTACGTTAGTTTATCTTTTCTATTGTTTTTCTAGTCTCTATTTCATTTATTTCTGCTGTGGTCCTTGTTATTTCCTTTCTTGTGCTAACTTTGGGCTTAGTTGGTTCTTCTAATTTCTTGAACTGTAATGTTAGGTTGTTTATTTGAGATCTTTCTTCTTTGTTGATGTAGGCATTTATTGCTATAAACTTCCCTCCTCTAAGTGCTTTATTTATCTCCAAGGTTTTCATAACTCGTGTTTCCATTTTTTGTCTTGATATTTTAATTTTTTTTAAAAAAATTTCTTCTTTGACTCAATAGTTGTTCAGGATTATATTGTTTAATTTCTACAACTTTTTTATTTTCTATGATTTTCTCCTGTTATTTATTTCTAGTTTCACACTTCTGTGATTAGAAAAGATGCTTGATAAGATTTTGATATTTTAAAATTTGTTAAGACTTGTTTTGTGGTCTAGCATAGTATCTATGTTGGAGAATATTTTGTATGCACTTGAAAACAATGTATATTCCACTCAACAGCAACAAATGTACATTTATACATTTATATATACATTATAATGTATATATAGATATAATGGATATACAGAATATAAATGTAATACATATATATTCTGTTGCTGTAGAGAGAAATGTTCTGTACATGTCTGTTAGGTCTATTTGGTCTAAAGTGTAGTTCAAGTCCAATCATTTAAAAAAATCAATTTTCTGTGTGATCTGCCCAATGTTGAAAGTGGGATATTGCATCTTCTACTATTATTGTGTTGCAGTGTTGTCTCCCTTCAGACCTCTTAATGTTTGCTTTACATATGTAGATGCTCTGATATTGGGTGCATATACATATTTACAGTTGTCATATCATCTTGATGAATTGGCCTCTTTATTGACTATATAATGATCTTGTTTCTTTTGACAATTTTTGACCTAAAATCTACTTTGCCTTAAAAGAGTATAGCTACCCCTGTCTCTATTTGTTTACATCTGCATGGAGTTATTTTTTCTATCTCTTCACTTTTGGTCTGAGTGTCATTTAATGTGAAGTGAGTCTCTTGTAGGCAGCACATATTGGGTCTTGTTATGGTCTTAAAAATATCCATTTAGCCACTCTATGCCTTTTGATTGGAGAATTAATATATTTACATTCAAAGTAGTTATGGATATGTAAGAACTTATTTGTACCATTTTGTTAGTTGTTTTCTGATTGTTTTGTACACCCTGTGCTTCTTTCTTCCTCTAGTACTTTATTTTGTGTTTGATGGCTTTCTGTAGTGGTATGTTTTGTATCTTCTCTTTTTGTCTTCTGTATTTCTATTATAGGATTTTTCTTTATGGTTACCCTGATGCTTACAAAAAACATCTTATACTTACAATAGGCTATTTTAATGTAATAACAACTTAGCCTTGATTGCAAACACAAACTTTTTGCTTTTACTATTCCTCCTCCCACATTAAGCTGCAGTGAGTATCTGTGGCAAATTCCTGTATTCCTGTTTTTGTTGCACTCTCTGTTTTTGGGAAGATAGCTGCTGGAAGTGGACCTATTGTAGGTCCACCTGTTTGTTTTCTGAGGTTTAAGGCCACTCAGGAAGGCAAAAATCCATCAACTCCCAGGGCTGAGTTGTTAAGTAGACAGTCCTTTGTGTTTTTGATGTTACAGTTTACATTTTAAAATAATTTTTATCCATAACGAGTCATTGTAGTTTTAGTTGTATTTTGATAGTTTTGCCTTTTAACCTTTATACTAGAGACATAACTGATTTACCCACTGCCATTACAATATAAGAGTATCTTGGATTTGACAGTATACTTATTTTTATCAGTGATTTTATACTTTCATATATTTTCATGTTACTAATTAGAATTCTCTTTCTTTAGCTTGACTAACTCCCTTTAGCATTTCCTGTAAGGCAGGTCGAGTAGTGGTAAACTCAGCTTTTGTTGTTTCAGAAAGTTTTTATCATCCAACATGTTTGAAAGAGGGATGCTGGGTATAGTATTCTTGGTTAACATTTGTTCTTTTCTTTCAGGTTTTTGACATATCATCCCACTCCCTTCTGGACTGCAAGTTTTTTTCTAAAAAATCCTCTAATAATATTATGAAGGTTCTCTTGTATATAACAATTCACTTTTACCCTGCCACTTTGAAAACTCTCTCTTAGCCTTTAATTTTTGACAGTTTGATTGTAATGTGTTTTGATATGGATCTTTTTAAATTCATCTTATCTGGTGTCCTTTAAGCTTCCTGGATCTGGATTTCTATTTCCTCCTTCACACTTGTGAAACTTGCTGACATTAATTCTTTTAACATATTTTCTGTCCCTTTCTCTTTCTTCTCCTTTGGTATTCTGGTAACGCAAATGTTGGTATGCTTGATATTGTTCCATAAATTTCTTAAATTTTCCTCATTTATTCTTTTGTTTCTTTTCGCTCCTTAGATTATATGATTTCCAATCACCTATCTTCAAGGTCACTGATCCTTTCTTCTGCTTGATTTAGTCTGCTGATGAGCCTCTCTATTCTTTGTTGAAATTCTCAGTTTGTGGCCAGGTGTGGTTGCTCACACCTGTAATCCCAGCACTTTGGAAGGCCGAGTCAGGTGGATCACCTGAGGTGAGAAGTTTGAGACCAGCCTGGCCAACATGGTGAAACCCTGTCTTTACTAAAAATACAAAAATCAGCTGAGTATAGTGGCATGTGCCTGTAATCCCAGCTACTTGGGAGGTTGAGGCAGGAGAATCACTTGAACCCAGGAGGCAGAGGTTGCAGTTAGCCAAGATCATGCCACCGCACTCCAGCCTGGGCAACACAGCAAGACCCTGTCTCAAAAAAAAAAAAAAAAAGAAATTCTCAGTTTGTTCTTGCATTCCTCTTCTGACCTCACTGAACATAAATAAAGTAAATCACATATCTTCGTTTTACTCAAGTTGGTTTGTAGAAATTCTTTTTAAATTTGGAATATTTTAAAATGGTTTCTTCATTTTCTTTGACTCTCTGTATTGGTTTCTACACATTAGATAAGACCATAACCTCTACCAGTCTTGTCACACTGGCCTCCTGTAGGACAAGAATCTCACCAATTCATCTGTTCTGAGATCTTAAGGTACATCTCGAATCTTTGAATTTGGAAATTTTCTTTCTGTTTTTGGTGGCTCACTGGAGCTTAGAATGTACAATAGCCTGTCAGTAGCCCAGGACTGGTAAGGTAGGAGTCAGATTTTCTAGATGTAGCTGATAATTTAAGATGTTGGATGTTTATTCTACTTCCTTCTATCTTCCTGGTAAAGCTGAGCAGAGGCATATATCTTTCACCCTGCATTAAGCTGTAGTGAGGATCTGTGGCAAATTCCTGTATTCATGTTTATGTTGCACCCTCTGTTCTTGGGAAGATAGTTGCTAGAAGTGGACCTATTGTATGTCCACCTGTTTGTTTCCTGTGGTTTAAGGCCACCCAGAAAGGCAAAACCCATCAACTCCCAGGGCTGAATTGTTAAGTAGACAGTCCTTTGGCTTGGGGCTTATGGAAGTTGTGGCTCTGAACCAAATTCCTTCCAGGAAGAATGGGCATACCTGGATTTATCACTGGGCTGAGCTGGAGGAAAGGCTCATGAAGAGGCAAGCTCTGGCTTTGGCTGCTGGAGGGCTATTGTTTGTTTGCTCTTTTAGCTACTGATGCAAGTTTGTTAGAAGCCAGACCAGCAAGTAGTCACTGGAAAGCCCTTTCCAAAGAGAAAATGGGAGCTGAATGTCTGTGCCCCTTTACTGCATTGCTCCAATGGGGTGTAGCCTCTGGAAATGTTTGCACCACATTTAATATTACCTCTTTTTTTCTGTAGTCTAGAGAGACTCACATAGGTCTAGTCCCTTCTGCTCCCAAAGCCAAGAAGTTTAACATGGAATCTTTTGTGAGGTAGCTGTAAAATTGAGGCACTTGATATGTGGTATAAACCCTTCTAAGGAGAAACAGGAAGGTACATTTTTTTTTGAGTTGATAATTCTTTTTTTTAATTATTATTATTATACTTTTAAGTTTTAGGGTACATGTGCACATTGTGCAGGTTACATATGTATACATGTGACATGCTGGTGTGCTGCACCCACTAACTCGTCATCTACCATTAGGTATATCTCCCAATGCTATCCCTCCACCCTCCCCCCACCCCCACAGCAGTCCCCAGAGTGTGATATTCCCCTTCCTGTGTCCATGTGATCTCATTGTTCAATTCCCACCTATGAGTGAGAATATGCGGTGTTTGGTTTTTTGTTCTTGCGATAGTTTACTGAGAATGATGATTTCCAATTTCATCCATGTCCCTACAAAGGACATGAACTCATCCTTTTTTATGGCTGCATAGTATTCCATGGTGTATATGTGCCACATTTTCTTAATCCAGTCTATAATTGTTGGACATTTGGGTTGGTTCCAAGTCTTTGCTATTGTGAATAATGCCGCAATAAACATACGTGTGCATGTGTCTTTATAGCAGCATGATTTATAGTCCTTTGGGTATATACCCAGTAATGGGATGACTGGGTCAAATGGTATTTCTAGTTCTAGATCCCTTAGGAATCGCCACATTGACTTCCACAATGGTTGAACTAGTTTACAGTCCCACCAACAGTGTAAAAACGTTCCTATTTCTCCACATCCTCTCCAGCACCTGTTGTTTCCTGACTTTTTAATGATTGCCATTCTAACTGGTGTGAGATGGTATCTCATTGTGGTTTTGATTTGCATTTCTCTGATGGCCGGTGATGATGAGCATTTTTTCATGTGTTTTTTGGCTGCATAAATGTCTTCTTTTGAGAAGTGTCTGTTCATGTCCTTCGCCCACTTTTTGATGGGGTTGTTTGTTTTTTTCTTGTAAATTTATTTGAGTTCATTGTGGACTCTGGATATTAGCCCTTTGTCAGATGAGTAGGTTGCAAAAATTTTCTCCCATTTTGTAGGTTGCCTGTTCACTCTGATGGTAGTTTCTTTTGCTGTGCAGAAGCTGTTTAGTTTAATTAGATCCCATTTGTCAATTTTGTCTTTTGTTGCCATTGCTTTTGGTGTTTTAGACGTGAAGTCCTTGCCCATGCCTATGCCCTGAATGGTAATGCCTAGGTTTTCTTCTAGGGTTTTTGTGGTTTTAGGTCTAACGTTTAAGTCTTTAATCTATCTTGAATTGATTTTTGTATAAGGTGTAAGGAAGGGATCCAGTTTCAGCTTTCTACATATGGCTAGCCAGTTTTCCCAGCACCATTTATTAAATAGGGAATCCTTTCCCCATTCCTTGTTTTTCTCAGGTTTGTCAAAGATCAGATAGTTGTAGATATGCGGCGTTATTTCTGAGGGCTCTGTTCTGTTCCATTGATCTATATCTCTGTTTTGGTACCAGTACCATGCTGTTTTGGTTACTGTAGCCTTGTAGTATAGTTTGAAGTCAGGTAGTGTGATGCCCCCAGCTTTGTTCTTTTGGCTTAGGATTGACTTGGCGATGCGGGCTCTTTTTTGGTTCCATATGAACTTTAAAGTAGTTTTTTCCAATTCTGTGAAGAAAGGCATTGGTAGCTTGATGGGGATGGCATTGAATCTGTAAATTACCTTGGGCAGTATGGCCATTTTCACGATATTGATTCTTCCTATCCATGAGCATGGAATGTTCTTCCATTTGTTTGTATCCTCTTTTATTTCATTGAGCAGTGGTTTGTAGTTCTCCTTGAAGAGGTCCTTCACATCCCTTGTAAGTTGGATTCCTAGGTATTTTATTCTCTTTGAAGCAATTGTGAATGGGAGTTCACTCATGATTTGGCTCTCTGTTTGTCTGTTGTTGGTGTATAAGAATGCTTGTGATTTTTGTACATTGATTTTGTATCCTGAGACTTTGCTGAAGTTGCTTATCGGCTTAAGGAAATTTTGGGCTGAGACAATGGGGTTTTCTAGATATACAATCATGTCATCTGCAAACAGGGACAATTTGACTTCCTCTTTTCCTAATTGAATACCCTTTATTTCCTTCTCCTGCCTAATTGCCCTGGCCAGAACTTCCAACACTATGTTGAATAGGAGTGGTGAGAGAGGGCATCCCTGTCTTGTGCCAGTTTTCAAAGGGAATGCTTCCAGTTTTTGCCCATTCAGTATGATATTGGCTGTGGGTTTGTCATAGATAGCTCTTATTATTTTGAAATACATCCCATCAATACCTAATTTATTGAGAGTTTTTAGCATGAAGGTTGTTGAATTTTGTCAAAGGCTTTTTCTGCATCTATTGAGATAATCATGTGGTTTTTGTCTTTGGTTCTGTTTATATGCTGGATTACATTTATTGATTTGCGTATATTGAACCAGCCTTGCATCCCAGGGATGAAGCCCACTTGATCATGGTGGATAAGCTTTTGGATGTGCTGCTGGATTCGTTTTGCCAGTATTTTATTGAGGATTTTTGCATCAATGTTCATCAAGGATATTGGTCTAAAATTCTCTTTTTTGGTTGTGTCTCTGCCAGGTTTTGGTATCAGAATGATGCTGGCCTCATGAAATGAGTTAGGGAGGATTCCCTCTTTTTCTATTGATTGGAATAGTTTCAGAAGGAATGGTACCAGTTCCTCCTTGTACCTCTGGTAGAATTCGGCTGTGAATCCATCTGGTCCTGGACTCTTTTTGGTTGGTAAGCTATTGATTATTGCCACAATTTCAGATCCTGTTATTGGTCTATTCAGAGAGTCAACTTCTTCCTGGTTTAGTCTTGGGAGGGTATATGTGTTGAGGAATTTATCCATTTCTTCTAAATTTTCTAGTTTATTTGAATAGAGGTGTTTGTAGTATTCTCTGATGGGAGTTTGTATTTCTGTGGGATCAGTGGTGATATCCCCTTTATCATTTTTTATTGCGTCTATTTGATTCTTCTCTCTTTTTTTCTTTATTAGTCTTGCTAGCAGTCTATCAATTTTGTTGATCCTTTCAAAAAACCAGCTCCTGGATTCATTAATTTTTTGAAGGGTTTTTTGTGTCTCTATTTCTTTCAGTTCTGCTCTGATCTTAGTTATTTCTTGCCTTCTGCTAGCTTTTGAATGTGTTTGCTCTTGCTTTTCTAGTTCTTTTAATTGTGATGTTAGGGTGTCAATTTTGGATCTTTCCTGCTTTCCCTTGTGGGCATTTAGTGCTATAAATTTCCCTCTACACACTGCTTTGAATGCATCCCAGAGATTCTGGTATGTTGTGTCTTTGTTCTCGTTGGTTTCAAAGAACATCTTTATTTCTGCCTTCATTTCGTTATGTACCCAGTAGTCATTCAGGAGCAGGTTGTTCAGTTTCCATGTAGTTGAGCGGTTTTGAGTGAGATTCTTAATCCTGAGTTCTAGTTTGATTGCACTGTGGTCTGAGAGATAGTTTGTTATAATTTCTGTTCTTTTACATTTGCTGAGGAGAGCTTTACTTCCAAGTATGTGGTCAGTTTTGGAATAAGTGTGGTGTGGTGCTGAAGAAAATGTATATTCTGTTGATTTGGGGTGGAGAGTTCTGTAGATGTCTATTAGGTCTGCTTGGTGCAGAGCTGAGTTCAATTCCTGGGTATCCTTGTTGACTTTCTGTCTCGTTGATCTGTCTAATGTTGACAGTGGGGTATTAAAGTCTCCCATTATTAATGTGTGGGAGTCTAAGTCTCTTTGTAGGTCACTCAGGACTTGCTTTATGAATCTGGGTCCTCCTGTATTGGGTGCATATATATTTAGGATAGTTAGCTCTTCTTGTTGAATTGATCCCTTTATCATTATGTAATGGCCTTCTTTGTCTCTTTTGATCTTTGTTGGTTTAAAGTCTGTTTTATCCGAGACTAGGATTGCAACCCCTGCCTTTTTTTGCTTTCCATTTGCTTGGTAGATGTTCCTCCATCTTTTTATTTTGAGCCTATGTGTGTCTCTGCACGTGAATGGGTTTCCTGAATACAGCACACTGATGGGTCTTGACTCTTTATCCAATTTGCCAGTCTGTGTCTTTTAATTGGAGCATTCAGTCCATTTACATTTAAAGTTAATATTGTTATGTGTGAATTTAATCCTGTCATTATGATGTTAGCTTGTTATTTTGCGTGTTAGTTGATGCAGTTTCTTCCTAGTCTCGATGGTCTTTACATTTTGGCATGATTTTGCAGCGGCTGGTACCGGTTGTTCCTTTCCATATTTAGCGCTTCCTTCAGGAGCTCTTTTAGGGCAGGGATGGTGGTGACAAAATCTCTCAGCATTTGCTTGTCTGTAAAGTATTTTATTTCTCCTTCGCTTACGAAGCTTAGTTTGGCTGGATATGAAATTCTGGGTTGAAAATTCTTTTCTTTAAGAATGTTGAATATTGGCCCCCACTCTCTTCTGGCTTGTAGGGTTTGTGCCGAGAGATCCGCTGTTAGTCTGATGGGATTCCCTTTGAGGGTAACCCGACCTTTCTCTCTGGCTGCCCTTAACATTTATTCCTTCATTTCAACTTTGGTGAATCTGACAATTGTGTGTCTTGGAGTTGCTCTTCTCGAGGAGTATCTTTGTGGCGTTCTCTGTATTTCCTGAATCTGAACGTTGGCCTGCCTTGCTAGATTGGGGAAGTTCTCCTGGATAATATCCTGCAGTGTGTTTTCCAACTTGGTTCCATTCTCCCCATCACTTTCAGGTACACCAATCAGACGTAGATTTGGTCTTTTCACATAGTCCCATATATCTTGGAGGCTTTGCTCATTTCTTTTTATTCTTTTTTCTCTAAACTTCCCTTCTCGCTTCATTTCATTCATTTCATCTTCCATTGCTGATACCCTTTCTTCCAGTTGATCGCATCGGCTCCTGAGGCTTCTGTATTCTTCACGTAGTTCTCGAGCCTTGGTTTTCAGCTCCATCAGCTCCTTTAAGCACTTCTCTGTATTGGTTATTCTAGTTATACATTCTTCTAAATTTTTTTCAAAGTTTTCAACTTCTTTGCCTTTGGTTTGAATGTCCTCCCATAGCTCAGAGTAATTTGATCATCTGAAGCCTTCTTCTCTCAGCTCATCAAAGTCATTCTCCATCCAGCTTTGTTCCATCGCTGGTGAGGAGCTGCGTTCCTTTGGAGGAGGAGAGGCGCTCTGCGTTTTACAGTTTCCAGTTTTTCTGTTCTGTTTTTTCCCCATCTTTGTGGTTTTATCTACTTTTGATCTCTGATGATGGTGATGTACAGATGGGTTTTTGGTGTGGATGTCCTTTCTGTTTGTTAGTTTTCCTTCTAACAGACAGGACCTTCAGTTGGAATACCCTGCCGTGTGAGGTGTCAGTGTGCCCCTGCTGGGGGTGCCTCCCAGTTAGGCTGCTCGGTGGTCAGGGGTCAGGGACCCACTTGAGGAGGCAGTCTGCCAGTTCTCAGATCTCCAGCTGCGTGCTGGGAGAACCACTGCTCTCTTCAAAGCTGTCAGACAGGGACATTTAAGTCTGCAGAAGTTACTGCTGTCTTTTTGTTTGTCTGTGCCCTGCCCCCAGAGGTGGAGCCTACAGAGGCAGGCAGGCCTCCTTGAGCTGTGGTGGGCTCCACCCAGTTCGAGCTTCCAGGCTGCTTTGTTTACCTAAGCAATCCTGGGCAATGGCGGGCGCCCCTCCCCCAGCCTCGCTGCCTCCTTGCAGTTTGATCTCAGACTGCCCTGCTAGCAATCAGCGAGACTCCGTGGGTGTAGGACCCTCCAAGCCAGGTGCCGGAGATAATCTCGTGGTGCGCCGTTTTTTAAGCCCGTTGGAGAAGCGCAGTATTCGGGTGGGAGTGACCCGATTTTCCAGGTGCTGTCTGTCACCCCTTTCTTTGACTTGGAAAGGGAACTCCCTGACCCCTTGCGCTTCCCAAGTGAGGCAATGCCTCGCCCTGCTTCGGCTCGCGCACAGTGCGCGCACCCACTGACCTGAGCCCACTCTCTGGCACTCCCTAGTGAGATGAACCTGGTACCTCAGATGGAAATGCAGAAATCACCTGTCTTCTGCCTCGCTCACACTGGGAGCTGTAGACCGGAGCTGTTCCTGTTCGGCCATCTTGGCTCCTCCCGGAAGGTACATTTTTAAAGCCCCTTTTCTGCACTACTCCTGGGGAATGAAGCCTCTGAAAGTGCTTATGCATCCACATAAAATGGTCAGTTTTTTTCTGTCGTCTAAATAGAGTCACATTTCTAATTGTCCTCTGCTTCCAGGGCTAGGAGGTTTAGGATGCTGTCCCTTGATAGAAGCTATAAAAGTTAGGGTGCTCTATCTGTGAAAAAACTTCTTCCAAGGATTAAGAGACCTGGAATCGTCACTGGGAGGAGTCAGAGAAGGCTCAAGAAGTGCCCATCTTCTCAGCTTGCCAGCAAGTTAATACTTGTCTGCTCCTCCTACTCGCCTACACAAGTTAGTTAGAACCCAGGTCACCAAGTGGCCACTGGAACACTATGTCCTTTCCAGGGAGAAATAGGGGGTTGAAGTTTTTATAGCTCTCTCTCTGCACTGTTCCTGGAAGAAAAAGCCCCTGGAAGTACTTGCAGCTTGTATAAAGAAAAAATGTGGGGCACATTTATGTAATCCTGTGTAACAAATATTTCTTAGATATGGTATCAAAAGTTCAATGAATAAATGATAAAAATAATAAATCGGACTTCATCAAAATTAGGAACTTTTTTTTTTTTTTTTTGAGACAGAGTCTCACTCTGTTGCCCAGGCTGGAGTGCAGTGGCACGATCTCGGCTCACTGCAACCTCTGCCTCCCGGGTTCAAGCAATTCTCCTGCTTCAGTCTCCCAAGTAGCTGGGATTACAGGTGCCCACGCCTGGGTAATTTTTTAAAAATTATTTTTAATAGAGACTGGGTTTTGCCATGTTGGCCAGGCTGGTCTCGAACTCCTGACTTCAGGTGATTCACCCACCTCGGCCTCCCAAAGTGATGGGATTATAGGTGTGAGCCACCACACCTGGCCCAGGAACTTTTGTACTTAATAAAACACCACTAGAAAAACTCACTTGTGAGTAATCCCTTCCCTGCATTCCCAGAGTTGGTGAATTAAGGGCCAAATCATGGGAACTTTAGAGTTAGGGCAGTCTATGTGAGGTCCAACTCCTTCTCTCCACAGGGAGATGTTGTGTGTTGGGGATTTCTTTCCCAATCTTATGGCATGGTGCCTAGAGGGAGGTCCATGCCTGAATGTGCCTCAGCATTTTCTGCCTGTTTAATGTGAATGTTTCTGACTTCTCCAGAGGGTAGGAGTCTCTCAACTGGTCTCTGGCTTCCCCTCAGAGGGAATTGATCCATGAATAAATGTTTATTTGATGCATCCATGGGTGGAAAGAGAGTCAAGAGCTGCCTATTCCACCATGTTGTTGATGTCAGCTTTTCTTTTTTTAAGTAGGTTTGGATTGGAGGGTGGCTGGCAGAGAGCATGAGGGCACTGTATATAAGAAAGGGAAAAATAGGCTCCTGCAGATAAATAGGGTAATTTGAGCTGCAATGCATAAGCAACTAACATTTATAAATCATCTACAATATTTCTATTACATACAATCACAGTCAGTAATTTGATAGACAAATCTGAAGACTCAGAATGTTGAACAGGGTGACAGAGCTAGCAAATTATGATGACAATATTAGAGCCTAGTCTTCGCTTATGCTTATGTTTAGGCTTTTCTTGCTAAACACTCCTTTCATTTAGCCTACAATGCAAGTTGTGTCAGGTAAAGAAAACGGGCAGCATGGAACAGTACAATATGATACAAAGGGATCTAATCCCCTCACTATTATCAGTGAACCTGGACAAGTCATTTATTCTAATAATACTAAAAGCTCTATTTTATTGGACCAGGGCATGCAATAAGCATTCAACGTAATTGCTTGTTTAATTTTTACACTGCTCTACGAAGGAAATGAAATTAACTCTATTTTATAGGTTAAGTTCTGAGAGGTTAAATAATTTTTCTAAGAAACATCTGGTTAGTATCTAGGATACAAGTTCATGTATCTCAGGCTCCAAGCCTCCAGCTATTAACTAATATATCATGAAAGCACAATTATAAAAGAAGAGATTGCACAATAGAGGAATTCTTTGGCAAAATCATTGCTATGAGAGATGAACTGAAATAGAGGAGATAGGGATTTGGGGGCTGATAAGAAAGGTATTGAGTTGATAAGTAAGAGAATGGATGGCAGTGGAAGGGAGGTAAATGCTGTAATGTATCTAAAGTGTGGCCTCCAAAAAAAATTCAACTCTCATTTCTTGTCATTTTCTACAAATGTAATTATCCAATATGTGACTTTTTTTTCTGGCTTCTTTCACTTACCATAGGTTTATTTTGAGGTTTATTCATGTTGTAGAACATTTCAATACTTTATTCCTTTACATTGCCAAGTAGTGTTCCATTGTATGGATATGCCACACCTTGTTTATGCATTGCTTAGTTGGATTATTTCTACTGTTGACTATTATGAGTAATGCTGTTCATGTACAAGTCTTTGGGTGGATATACGCTTTCATTTATCTTGCATGCTGAGGAGTGGAATTGCTTGGTCATATGGTAAATCTATGTTTAATACTTAAAAAAACTGAAACTGTTTTCCAATGTGACTGCTTCATTTGGCATTGCAATGTCCAATTTCCCTACATCCATATCAGTACTTGTTTTTGGCTATTTATGACTACAACCATTCTAGTGGGTGCAAAACGTTATCTTACTATGATTTTAATTTTTCTTTCCCTAATGCCCAATGTTATTGGGCATCTTTTCACGGGCTTATTTGCCATTTATATAGCTTCTTTGGTGAAATGTTTATGAAACACTTCACATTTTAAAATTGGTTTGTTTTCTTATTGAGTTAAAAGAATTATTTTATTCTGGATACAAGTTCCTTATTGGATATACAATTTAGAAATATTTTTGTAATCCATGACTTGTCTTTTTTTATTGTCTTGGTAGTGTTTTATTAAGGGCAAAGTTTCTAATTTTAATGAAGTCCAATGTATTATTTTTATCTTTTCTTCATTAAATTTTAGATACCATATCTAAGAAATATTTGTTACACAGGATTACATAAATGTGCCCCTATATTTTCTTTAAGTAGGTTTATAGTTTTAGCTCATATATTTAGGTCTAGGAGCTATTTTGAGTTAATTTTTGTGCATGGTATGAGGTAAAGGGACAAATGTATTTCTTGCAATGTAGATATCCAATTGTCCAAGCATCATTTGTTCAAAAAACTATCCTTTCCACATTGAATTGTCTTAACACCTTTGTTAAAAAGCAATATGCCATAAATATGAGGGCTTACTTCTGGACTCTCAGTTCTATTCTATTGATCTATATATGATCTCTTTAAGTTGGTACCATACTGCCTTGATTGTTGTAGCTTTGTAGTAAGTTTGGAAATCAAGAAGTGTAAAATCTCCAACTTAGTTTCTATTTCCAGTTTGTTTTGGTTATTCTGGATCCTTTGCATTTCCATGTGAAATTTAAGATTAACTTTTCAATTTCTGCAAAAATAACAGCTGGGATTTTGACAGAGGTTTATCTGAATCTTTGAAATACAGAATTTTAAACCTTTGGAACTTGAAATGGAATGCTTTCAGAAGACACAGTTGCTTTCCAACTTGCCCAGATCTCTACTGCTTATTATTGCTTTATTACAGATTGTTTCACATGCTTCCATGACCTGCCTGGTCCCTGGAGCATTTACATTTTCAACTCTAGATCTCCACTTATCGCTAAAACAATGTGAAATGCAATAAAAATTGTAAAGACCGGGGCACTCTAAGCTTATTATTAACAAACCATTATCATCAGGAAGCACTGATTTTTAAGGATAAAAGTAAACTAATATTTCTAAAGATTTTTAGTAAGGGTACAAACAAAAACTGGCAATGAATCTTCAAAAGTTACACAGTATTTTAGCTCATTTATTAGACATCAGTTACATGCTTGATGACATTTGAAACCTTTTACATATGTACTCTTTTATTTTATTTTTTATTTTTTATTTTTTTAGAATTTGACTCTTGTTGCCCAGGCTGGAGTGCAGTGGCACAATCTCAGCTCACTGCAACCTCCACCTCCCGGGTTCAAGCGATTCTCCTGTCTCAGCCTCCTGAGTAGCTGGGATTATAGGCGCCCATCACCATGCCCAGCTAATTTTTTGTATTTTTAGTAGAGATAGGGTTTCATCATGTTGGCCAGGCAGGTCTTGAACTCCTGACCTCAGGTGATCCACCCGCCACAGCCTCCCAAAGTGTGGGGATTACAGGCGTGAGCCACCGCACCCACTTTACATATGCACTCTTTTATGCATATAACACATCTGGAATATAGGCATTATTCTTTTTTTGTTTGTTTTTTTGTGTTTTTTTGAGACAGAGTCTTGCTGTGTCACCCAGACTTGAGTGCAATGGTGCAATCTTGGCTCACTGCAACCACTGCTTCCTGGGTTCAAGTGGTTCTCCTGCCTCAGCCTCCTGAGTAGCGGGGATTACAGGAACACATCAAGATGCCCGGATATTCTTTGTATTTTTAGTAGAGAGGAGTTTCACCATGTTGGCCAGGCCAGTCGCGAACTCCTGACCTCAAGTGATCCACCTGCCTTGGCCTCCCAAAGTGCTGGGATTACAGGTGTGAGCCACCATGCTCAGCTGGCATTATTCTTACTAATAAACTGTTCCTATGTCACAGTCACTAAACAGACTGTTTATTCCCACCGCCCCTGACCCCACCCCCCGCCCCCAGTAATTCTGATTCATTTTTTGGCCTTTACCTGGATACATTGTTTTTATCCCCTGATGTCCCATGGCATTTTCTCTGGATCTCTCTTAGAATTTGTAAAAATATTTTACCTCTTATTTTACTTGTTTGAGCACACATCTTATTACCTTACTCAACTGGAGATTTCTGAAGGGATAGACCCTGTCAGAGTCATCAGTGTCCCACACTGAAAAGATTCATCATTGCAACGCATCCATATTTGCTGCAAGAATGAATATCCCAAATGATAATTAATTGAAGTTTTAATGTGAAGTTCTGTTTCTGAAAAGGAAGTACTTTGGGCCCATTTTATATTTATTCCCAATACAAATTCTAGAAAATTTAAAATAAAACATTGTGGAGCGTTTGAACTACTAGAAAATTTCCTTTGAAAATCTCACAAAAAGTCACATTCAAATAAGTTTTAATATACAGGGTTTCAAAAATAATCTAGATACTATAATTACATTGGTAAATGTCCTCCTTAATTGGCATATTAAAATTTTTTTCAGAATTGTTTTAGAGTTTCCTGAACCCTCCTTCCACTGGCACGGCCCTGTGTATGACCCTCCTTGTCTTGATACCCTGGTCTCATTATGGGTTCATGAGAATAGTCTATAGGTCTATTAATTGCTTAGTAATTGCACTAATATAACTCTGCTGTGATCACGTCTTGATCTCATCATCCAAAACCCCAATGCAGGACTTGCTCTGCTGGCTGCCAAGGCTCTTCAGTGTGTTTTGTCATTGAATGGGTAGGGTGGAGCAGTTTTGTCTCTGAGGCTGCTGAGTCTGACTTTGACACTGAAGAGCAGTTTGGGAGTGAAATCATAACTATGACATTTTGTTTTAGTGACTTGTTTGTTCTATTGGTAAATGAAGAGTACATTTTATTATATTAAAGCCAAATGAACACCAAAATGGAACACCACCAAATTGCTGTAGACTCAATGATCATATATATATATATATATATATTTTTTTTTTTTCCTCTGGGGAACATTTTGAGATGGTAGCAGGAGGCACTTTAAGATTCCACAGGCCCCAGAAATATGTGAACCAGGCCTTGGAGCACATCTTATTTCAACACTGAATCCTGAGCACCTCACATAGTACCTGGCATATGTTGTATTTAAATAGAAAACAATTTGTCTTTCCATTTCTATCATTTTGTTTGTTCTTCTTTTTGCTTTTTTACTGGTTCTCCAAATATCTCTGAGCTTATCAAGTTTCACATGAAAAATACAATTACTACTAAATATTGCTACAGATTAAAGGGTTGCCCTCCTCACACAGGGTGATCAGATTGTTCCTAGGATACTGAGAATGATTTAAGGCCCCTTTCTGGTTGTCATGTTGCCACTGCAGGATCAGGAGTCAACTCTTAACAAAGACTTTTATTGGCTCCTTATTTTGGAGATGCTTTTAAAGTTGGACTCCAGACAGCTAGATTGACAGGACTTTTAGGACCTATTCAAATAAAAGTACTACAAGATGTTTTCTTATTCATTTAATCACTCAAGAAATGAGTATGGAACACCTACCACGTGCCAGTTTCTGTGTTAGGAACTGGGGATAACAAGATAAAAACACAGTCTCTGTCCTCAAGAAGCTTACAATACAACTGGGCAGGGAAAGCCTAACAGACTCTGACAGACTGCACTGAATGCTGTATTAGAGAAATGAATAATGTGCTCTGGGAATCAGAGAAGGGAGTGAATAGTGTTGCCTGGGGGTTGCGGAAGCATGTTTATTTTGTTGGTGTGCAAACTCTTTCATCACTGGAAGCCCTGAGGACAATTTTTACACATACTCATTTGGCAAGATAATATTTGTAAAATATTTTGCAGTCCTCAGATCATAAGGGAAACAATTCATATGGCATAGCAGGACACGAAGCACCAGTCTAACACTGGATTAATACTTTCAAAGTATTTACAGTCAGTGCTGTGAAACGACCTAGAGAGAGTCTAATTATTTTGTGACAATGGATGCAAATTTAAGCTTGCTGGACAAACAACTGTTTTATCCAACCAAGAATATCTTCCCTTTCATTTACTAGTGTTAAGCAAATCCTTTCTTTTTTTTTCCATCCCATTTACCTCCCCCATCCTGGGCCCCCATCCTCTCTCCCCAACTTTGAAACAATTTTTGAGCACTTGTCATGGATTAGACCCTATACTGGGTGCTGAACATACAAAGATGGCTAAAACAGTCTCGTCAGGGAAGCAGAGAAATAAACAAATCAGCTCTTTTCACTAGGACATGTGCTTTAATAGAAGATGCACAATATGTTGATGCTTCAAGAAACGGTAATTAATTCTGCCTCATTGGAATCCAGCAAGGCTTCAGAGAGGAGGTGATGCTTGAACAGGATCTTGACAGACACATATTATCTGTTTCATAGGTAAGGTTTTACTTACGACCTCATTAGTTTTGGGGCAATTGTAGCAATGTACGCAATTGTGAGCTGAATTGGTTTAGAATAGTGTTATAAATTATAAACTAAAATTCTATACCTGAAATCCTATACCATAAAATATGTAAATGGTCATGAAAAGAAGGGAAAAGCAAACAAATTTACAAAACATAAAGTATTAAATCATACATTTAATAGAAAACATTATTTCATCAGTGTTTTCTTTTTTTTTTTCTTTTTTTTTTTTTTTTTTTGAGATGGAGTCTTACTCTGTCACCCAGGCCGGAGTGCAGTGGCGTAATCTCGGCTCACTGCAACCTCCGCCTCCTGAGTTCAAGCGATTCTTCTGCCTCAGCCTCCCAAGTAGCTGGGATCACAGGTGTGTGCCACCATGCCTGGCTAATTTTTGTATTTTTAGTAGAGACAGGGTTTCACCATGTTGGTCAGGCTGGTCTCAAACTCCTGACCTCGTGATCTGCCCTCCTTGGCCTCCCTAAGTGCTGGGACCACAGGTGTGAGCCACCTTGCCCAGCTGTGAGTGTTTTCTTGAAGAGGTTTTATAGAAAAACTCAGCTCCCTGAGGCTCCTTAAAAATAAATTTGATTGGCCGGGCACAGTGGCTCACCCCTGTAATCCCAGCACTTTGAGAAGCTGAGGTAGGTGGATTACCTGAGGTTAGGAGTTCAAGTGAAACCCCATCTCTATTAAAAATACAAAAATTAGTCAGGCAAGGAGGTGGGTGCCTGACTATTTTCTCAAAAACAAAATGGATAAAGTTTGGATTAACATTCCTTGGCTTGTTCTTTGATGTATAACGGACCACTAAAAGCTTTTGAAAAGTAATTCTAATAGAGTAGTAGTTTCCACAGTAATCAGATAAAGCCATGCAATTTTGTTCAGGTAGAACTCCAAGGGGTGCTATTTATAGAGAAAGACTGGGACATGAGTTGTGCATCTGTGAGTTAGGTGGGCAATGTGATAGTCCTGATATTTTCTGAGATGATCTGTTATTTGTCTCCCTTTGCCTTATGTACATATAAGTATGTATGTATGCACACACAAATGCACACACACATGAGGAATCTTTAAAACACTTATGGAAAATGCATATTATAAAAAACTTGATGCATGGATTTTGATTTTTTTTTTGCACCAAAATAAACTCATACTAGCTCATTAACATGTCTAGACAGGATCTAGTTTGAGATGCTAAGAAGGATAAGACACCTTTTGAAAGAGCCCCTATCAGAGCAACATGAATTCTGCTAAAATTGAAGCAAGAGCAAATATCAAATATAGGGTGAGGTTTGGGTGTAAGAATGGTGAAATTGTTGATACTTAACAAAAAGTTTATGGAGACAATGTCCCAAAGAAATCAGCAATTTACAAATGGATAATTCATTTTAAGAAGGGAAGAGACAATGTTGCAGACAAAGCCCATAGCAGCAGACTATCCACATCAACTTGCAAGGAAAAAATTTATCTCGTTCATGCCCTAACTGAAGAATTAAATGTGCAAACAGTAGCCAACACCATACACATCTCAACTGGTTCAGCTTACACAATTCTGGCTGAAAAATTAAAGTTTAACAAAACTTCCACTCGATGGGTGCCAAAACCATTGCACCCTGATCTGCTGCAGACAAGAGCAGAGACTTTAATGGAAATTTTAGACAATTAGGATCAAGACTCTGAAGGGTGTTTTCAAAGAACTGTAACAGAAGATGAAACATGGCTTTACCAGTATGATCCCTAAGACAAAGCACAATCAAAGCAATGGCTACCAAGAAATGGAAGTGGTCCAGTCCAAGCAAAAGCAGACCAGTCAAGAACACAGGTCATGGCAACAGTTTTTCAGGTTGTTCAAAGCATTTTGCTTGTTAACTTTCTGGAGGGCCAAAGAACGATAACATCTGCTTATTATGAGAGTTCTTTGAGAAAGTTAGCCAAAGCTTTAGCAGAAAATTGCCCAGGAAAGATTCACCAGAGAGTCTCCTTCCACCATAACAATGCTCTTGCTCATTCCTCTCATCAAACAAAGGCAATTTTGTGAGTTTCAATGGGAAATCATTAGGCATCCACCTTACAGACTTGTTTTGTCTCCTTTTGACTTTTTTTGTTTCGTCATCTTAAACAATCTGTTAAGGAGACATATTTTTCTTCAGTTAATAATGTAAAAAAACTGCATTGACATGATTATATTTCCAGGATGTTCAGCTCTTTAGGTATGGACTAAATGGCTGATATCATTGCTTACAAAAGTGTCTTAAACTTAAGATGACAGCAAGAATGAAGAAAACAAAAGTGTTTTGAACTTGATGAAACTTATCCTGAAAAATGAAGTTTGTATTTTTTATCATTATTATTATTATTAGAGATGGGGTCTTGCTGTGTCACCCAGGCTGTAGTAGTGCAATCATAGCTCACAGCAGCCTCAAACACCTGAGCTCAAGCAATTATCCCACCTGTAGATAGGATTATAGGAACGAGCCATTGCAGTCAGCTCCATATTTTCATCTTTTAATTCAATTTTTCCACCAACCCGTTCAAGCCCCCTTGTGTACATATATTTATATACACACATACATATATGCTTATGTAAATGTGGAAAACTGCATATCTTAACTGTACAACTCAGTTATCACTAAGTGAAGACACCCAGATAGCAAATATGCAGATAAGAAGCATAACATAACCGGAGCATTACCTTGAAGTTCCCCTTGTGCCCTCTTCTAGTCACTATTCCTACAAAGTTAACTATTTTGACTTTGAAAAACACTGATTTGCTTTGCCTGTGTGTGTGTGTGTTTGTGTGTGTTTTAATTAGCTTTACAGATTTGATGAATTCTTTAATGACTGCTTTAAGGTTTACAATTTGCACCTTTAACTTTACCTTAGTCTACATTTAAATGATATTATATCATTTATTATAATATTAAAATCTTACAGTAGTATACTTCTATTTTTTTCTGTCCTTTGTGCTATTATTGTTGAAACTTTTATGTATATGTATGTTTTAAACTTCCACATATGTATTATTTATTTTTGGTTTAAAAAAGAAATTTTAATGAAATTTTAAAATGAGAAAAATAATGTCTTTGGAATTTATTCTACATTTACCCCTCTAGCTCACTTTATTCTTTTGTACAAATCTATATTTCCAGTTTGTATCATTTCCCTTCAGCTTAAAAATTTCCTTTAATTTTTTTTTTTTTTTTTTTGCAGTGTAGGGGTGCAGGTGATGAATCTTTTCAGCTTCTGACTATCATTGTATTTATTTTGCTTTTATTGTTGGAAGATAATTTTTTCTGGGTATGAATTCTAACTTAATTGTTTTTATTTTTATTGTCTTATAGCACCTTAAATATTATTCCATTGCCTTTGGCTTTCATTATTTCAATATGAAGTTTGTATTGATTCTTACCTTCATTTCTTTGTAGGTCTTGTGAGTTTTTTTCCTCACATTTAAGATTTTCTTCTTATAGCTCACATCAAGCAATTGGATTATTATGTGCCTTGATGTGTGTTTATTTTTTTTGGTATTTATCTTTCTTAGGGTTTGTTGAATCTCTTGGAATTGTGGGTTTATATATTATAAAATTTAGGAACATTTTGGTCATTACCTCTTTAAAGAATTTTTTCTGTCTCACCTATCCTAAATGCCAATTATATGTATCTTAGACCACTTGACATTTTCCCACAGGTCACAGTGGCTTTGTTCATTTCTTGTAGCTTTGTATATATGACTGAAAGCATGTGCTTTATGCTGGTTAGTTTCTATTGCCCTTTCTTCAGATTTACTGATCTTTTCTTTTCTGATGTTTGATTTGCTATCAAGACCATCAATGATTTTTCATTTTAGGTATTGTCAATTTCACATCAGAAGTTTTACATTTTTTTCACAATTTTAAGTTTCTCCCCTCATTATTTTAATGCTTTCCTTAATATCCATTTACATATTTATATAAGATGTTTTAAAGCCTTATCTATGGTTGGGTGCGGTGGCTCATGCTTGTAATCCAGAACTTTGGGCGGCTGAAGTGGGCAGATCACTAGAGGTCAGGAGTTTGAGACTACCTTGGCCAAAATGGAGAGACTCTGTCTCTACTAAAAATACAAAAATTAGCTGGGTGTGGCAGTGGGCATCTGTAATCCCAGCTACTTGGGAGGCTGAGGCAGGAGAATAGCTTGAACCGGGGAGGCAGAGGTAGCAGTGAGCCGGGATAATGCCACTGCCCTCTAGCTTGGTTGACAGAGAGACTCTGTCTAAAAAAAAAAAAAAAAAAAAGAAAGAAAGAAAGAAAAAATAACCTTATCTACTAATACCATCTTTTCTATCATTTATGTGTCTGTTTTTATAGACTTATTTTTCTCTTGGCTGTGGGTTTCATCTCTTTGCTTCTTGGCATATCTAGTAATTTTTGGTTGGGAACTTGACATTGTATTTTTTATGTTGTTTGGATTTTGTTATTTTCTTTTAAACAATGTGTCAATTTATTTCAGAAGATAGGCAATTCATTTGCAGATTATCTCAATATTTTTGGCGTTTGTTTTTTAATTTTCTTTGTGCTAGTTTTAACAGGTCTTTACTCTGGGGCTGGATTAGTCCTATTCCTAAAAAGTAAACTTCATTGGTTTCTACTGTATGATGTGGATTGTTAATAAACTCTCTTCATACAAAGTGATAAGAATTAGAACATCTACCAACCCTGTGTGAGCTCTTGTAGTTCAATTTATAGCTTTCTGGTAGCTGTTCTTTTTTAGTAGTTGTTCTTCACCCTGGCTCATGGGATCTTGCTTATGTTTTACAAGCTTAAAATTCAGCCAATGGCTCAAGTGGAAGTCTATGTAAATTTCTTGAAGTTTTTCTCTGCACAGCTTCCTCTTCCCATTCACTCTGATCCCAGCTACCTGTGCCTCCTTGAACTCCAGTTTCTGCATCGTTAGCTTAGTGATATTGTCAAACACTTTTTGAGCTCTCCTCCTCTAAACCAGGGTCTGAAAAGTGCCCAGAGCTAGAAATATGGGCTAAACTTAAGGCTTACCTTCTCTTAGGGTACAAAGTCTAGGCAATAGTCTGCCCAATATGTGAAAACAGTTGTTCTGTATTTTTTGCAAGTGTTCATTATTTTTGTGGCAGGGCTGGTTCAGCACCAGTTACAGGCAAAGTCTAGGCAATAGTCTGCCTGATATGTGAAAACAGTTGTTCTGTATTTTTTGCAAGTGTTCATTATTTTTGTGGCAGGGCTGGTTCAGCACCAGTTACAGCAACATGGTCAGAAGCAAAAGTCTTATTTCACCTATTTATTACTTTATGGAATTGCAATCATACATCAAGCAACTCCTGGGTGGATGACTTCTTTCACTTGCTATTATGTTTGTGAGATTCATCCAAAATTTTACATGTAGTGGAAATTGTTCATTCATTACTTCATAGTATACATTGTGTCAGCATATCACAATTCTTTTACTCATACTACTCTGATGGCTGCCTACGGGCTTTAACTCAGAATTAGAAAAGAAAAACAAAAAGACTAACATTTATTAAGCTATGTGCCAAGTGATTTCTTAACAATATAGCCAACACTCATGCGGTATTGCTAAGTACCAGGCACTGTTCTAAGTGCCTTAAATATATTAACCAACTTAATTATCACAAATACTTTATAAAATAAGTGATGTTATTATCATCTCATCCTAATTTTCAGGTTAAGCTACTGAGGCAAGATCAAATTCCTGGGCCAAAGACACACATAGAAATTGCATGAACTGGATTTAAATGCAGGCAGTCTGGCATTATAGGATCTTAATTATAATGCCATATTGCCTCTCCATGAACAAGCCATTACACTTAATCTCATTTAATTGTTACTACTGCCAGATGCATTCTCCATTTTATAGTTTAACAAACATACAAAACAGAGGTTGTGTATCCAATGGACAAGAGTCAGGTTTGTCACTCAAATGTTTGTCTCCTGCTTCTACTCCTCTAATTCCAGATCTCTTCTTTACTTTCACTGTTCATTTCAAAATAATTCGAGGGTCACAGAAAGTTTCAAAGATTTAAAGCTAGAACAGATAGGTCCCGCTGCACCCTTTGCCTAGTCTCCCTGCGGTAACGTCTTAGATAACCAAAGAACCACCCTCAAAACCAGGATATTGACATTGGTACAATCCACAAACCAAGGCTGATTTTATAACGGCTTCTAAATACTCTAAAAGTTATGACATACAAGAGTGAGACAGTTCTCTTTTCTGCAGATAAAGAAAACATTTGTTAAAAAGGACCAACAGAGTACTATCATTCTAGGAATCAAACTCTTAGACTTAAATGGCTAGGAAGGGGTAAAATATGGATTAATGATAGAACTTGCTAGCAAAATGTTATAATACAGTATAATACTATTACATATTAAAATCCTAATTCCAAAGAAGGAGTTGAGTTAAATTGGGAATATAAGAATGCAGACTTAAGTCACATTCAATACAGGAAAGCAATATCACTGTGAGAAATTATGGACTGGAATACTAGATGCTGAAACATATTTCAAGAGTAATGTCCATCCAGTATCCCTCAGAAAATCGATGGCTGGCCTCTTTCTAAGTTTTCCATTCAGCCTATGGTGGAAATTTTTGCTCTGCAGCATTATAGCTCTAAAAATCTTTTCATGAAATTCACTAGAAAACTGAGATTCATTGCTCAGAAGTGAGTGTGAAACCACTTAGCCAGTAAGGCAAGAGAGACCTATATTTGCTCTTGTTAGGCCATAAAACAATCTCACCTCAGGTATTTCGATAGCAATAGCTGCATGAGAATGAGAATTGTGATAGGTTCACAAAAATAAATCTTCATGGCTCTTCCCAAGGTAGAAGACTGAGACTAGTCCACATTCATTTCAAATTTAAAAACCAAATGTTTGCTTCTATTTAATCCAGAGCCTATGCTGTTCTGCCTAGTCCATGCATTTATTTATTTATTACATTTCTAGAGCACCTTTCTTTCAAAGCAACATCTTTGTCACAGTTGGCTTCTGGAGGAGCAATTGATCACAGGGATGTTGGGAGCCTGCAAGGTAAGTAGAATATCACACATTCTTTCGTATTAGAAACAGAAATGGCTTTCTAGGATCTTAACTGTGGAGATGTTTGTGTGCTTTAAAACTTTGTCACAAGAGGTTGAAGGGACAGGTGAAGAAATGACAGGTGAAAGAGCATTAGGCCAAGAGATAGAAAACTTGAATTCTGGCCTAGGTCCTTCATTACTGGCTGAGTGAGTTTGGCTAATTCATTTGCTGTCTCTGGCCTTCGGATTCCTCATTTTTGAAATAAAGTGGATCCGAGATAATCTCTTAGGTCATTACCCCTCCCAGGACAGTCTTCTATGAAATTCAGATCAGATTTCTGGAAACCCTGGTGAAGTCAAATTTTCATACTTCATTTATATGTGAAGTGAAATTCAGTCAACATAATTTTTTGCGTGTATTTACTGCATATTTACCATATAGCAGATGCTATGCTAGGCAACTCAAAAATGGAGCTTAAAAAGAAAGAAACACAGACCGCTCAGAAACAGAAAGCTTACAATCTAGGAGAACTGATAGAAATTGAATAATAAATTAAATACATGCCTAATTAATTACAATTGTGATTAAAACTACAAGGGTAAGATACAAAATGTTATTGAGAGCTCATAATAGAATTTGGCTATCTAGGTCAAGTAAGTTTTGTTGGCTTTTATTAAAAATTATCTTATATATTCCCAAGGAGTATATTTCTTTCACATACATTTGTTTTAGGAAGAGTCAGGGAGGACACAAGACTGCAATTTATAAAGCGTCCTTCATTGCATTATTTTATCCTAAAAGATTGCATGCAGGCAGTAAATTATCTCATAATAAGAGCCACCTGAAATCATGCTGCGTCTCTTCTTGGCAAAACATGGAGCATCACCCTAGTTTTATGGCTTATTTGGGTGCTTTTTGTTCTGGACTATATTTTCAAGGATGTTTGTTTAGAGAAAATTTTAGAAAATAAAGTTTGTATTATTTCCAGAGCAAAGTACAGTTCTGATCACAGCTTTGGAGGATAGAAATAGCATCTTCCTCTGGAGTAAAGGGCAGAGGTGCTCACTGTCCAGTATAATAAAGGAAATGCTTCCTGCTCCCCTGGAGAAAGGGCAAGTACATTTAACACCCATTTAAAAATATTTGGGTTCTCTCAGCTACGTTTTCCTCTCCTGTCACACAATCCACCACATGTACAGGTGACTTTTGGCCCTCTTGTCACATTGTGGGAACGGAGGCTCGAGGAACCCACGGAAAAATTGCTGGTACTCTGGCTACTGATATCGCTTGAGTAACAAACTGTTCTTTGTCTCATGTCTTCTACCAGCATCCATGAAATTGTGGCAGGCTAACTTAATAGTTTGCAAGTGAAGTAAAATCTTAGACCATTCAAAGTTCTTAATAGCAGCTAATAGAAAAGTGGGAACAAGAGTTCTTATTTTTCTTTTTGTTTTAGAATGGCAAATACTACATCATAAATAGACCTATTATTTCAGTCTCACTTGAGACTATTGTGACTTGGAAGAGCTCATGATTCTTGTTTTAAAAAGAAGTTCATTTTGCAGACAGAATGTTTTCTTTATTTCAGTAATAATAATCTTAATAATAATTAAAATACACACTATTCGTTGAGCATGTAGTGTACACGAGCACCATGTGAACCATTTTATGTACATCCTTTCTTTTAATCCTCTACACAACTAATGAAGCAGGACACTCGAAGCCTCCTGCTTTTGACACCACACCTATTATCTCCTCTCATTCTTTCTGTAGGTAGACCCTTTGGTCATGCCACTCCTTGTCCATACAGTCATTCATAGCTCTCACCTTTTCCATGGAGAGTAGCTATGGCCGTTGGGATCTCAGAGTCACTTAGGAGTCAAAATAATACTCCATGGTATCACTTTTTGTCCATTGACTGTGGCATCTGTGGAGGCATACTGCTTTCTTCTGTCATAGAGACCAGAAAGTCAACTCCCTGACAAGATACACATTATTTAACTTTAACTCCATCCTTAATGACCTCAGGCCAAAACATAAGTCTGTAATCCCAGATAAACCAGAGCTCTTGTTTCCTAAAACTCATTACTTAGAGTGGAAGTATTGTTCTGAAGTGAAGTATGTTTTTAGGTCAGTTTTCTTGATTATGAGTATAAATATTATTATTAATAAGTATACATTTTTATGTGTTTACGAGTGGTCACAAACTGGGTTAGGTCAGTACATAATCTCAGTTAATCTTCACAAAAACTGAAAAGAAACCAGGATTCACAAGGTTTAAACAAATTGAAGTATAAGAGAGGCCATAAAATGCAGTCATTAAAAAAGCTTTGATTCTGCGGTCAGATTTGTTATCAGTATCTTTGGTTTGTCCCTGCTTTGGAATTTGATATGTATTTAAATTCTGGCTCTACCTTCTACTAGCTTTGATTACCCAACCACTAAGCCCCAGTTTCCTTATGTGTTTAAGGAGACTAATAATAATACCTAATTGATAAGTGTATTGTGAGGATTTAACAAGATAATGCTATCATATGCTTTTGATAATACCTGGTAAACAGGAAGTGCTTAATAAATATCTTCTGTTATTGTTATTAATTCCAATTTAAAGTAAAACATGAATAGTGGTTCCTGACTTGAATCCAGGATAGGGTTACCAGATAAAATATAAAACACCCAGTTTTGAATTTCAGGTAAAAAAAAAGAATAATTTTTTAGTATAAGTAAATCCAAATTATTGCATGGCACATATTTATACTAAAAACTATTCATTTTTTCCTGACATCTAGATGTAACTGGACATGTACATGTTATGTTTTTATTTTCCATATCTGACAAGTTTAACTCAGGGTTAATTGGTCCCAAAGCCTAAGCTTTTTGCATTTGTGGCATTAAAGAAACATTGGTTATTCCAATACGGTCTACATCAGCTCCATTTTTCTCTTTTTTTTTTTTTTTTTTGCTACTAAATTCATGTTTCCTGTGTTTCAAATTATTCTTAAAGCCACCAGAAAGTAGTCAAGAGAAGCAACTTATGAAGAAACTCAAATCACATAGTATTATTGCTAGCAAACCTGGCAGAATTTAAGGGACTAGAAGAAGGTGAATTCAATGATAAAAATTGTCAGGTGCTAACCTTTCCTGTGAAGCCTGCCTTGAGTTCTCAGTGCTGGGTTAATTGCCCCTCCTGGGCTCCATACAGTGCTCTGAAATGTCCCTCTACCAAAACATTTCTCAAACCTTATCACAAGGGTTCTCAAACATGGCTATTATCAGAATAACTTGGAGGACATTTGTTAAACCAGAGATTGTTGGACCCTGTTTTCAGAGTTGCTGATTCAATAGATCTGAGGTGGGCCTTTAGAATTTGCACTCTGCCCAAGAATGCTAATACTGTTAGTTAGGGGACCACACTTTTTTTAAATTAAAAAATCTAAAATTATTTTTATTTTGTTCAGCTTTATTAAAGTATGATTGACAAATAAAAGTTGCATATATTTAAGGTGTACAAAGTGAGGCTTTGATGTAAATACACATTGTGAAATGATCATCATAATCAAGCTAATTAATACATCTATTACTTCACAGTTACATTTGTGTATGTATATGTGTGGTGAGAACACTTAAGATCCACTTTCTTAGCAAATTGCAAGGGTACAAGACAATGTTATTAACTATAGTCACCATGTTATATATGTAAAGTTTGTATCCTTTCACCAATATCTCTCCTGTTTCCCCACCCTGTGACCCTAGGTAATCACACTTCTACTCTCTAAGTTCAAATTTCTTAGATTCCACATATAAGTAAGATCATGCAGTGTTTATAGTCCTGTGTTTGGCTTATTTCACTTAGTATAATGTCCTCCAGATTCAGCCATGTTTTCACAAATGGTAGGAATTTATTTCATTTTTAAGGCTGAATAATATTTCTCTCTCTCTCTGTGTGTGTGTGTGTGTGTGTACGTGTGTGTCTGTCTGTTGCATTTTCTTTATCCATTCATCTGTTCACAGACACAGACACTTAATTTCCATATCTTGGCTATTGTGAATAATGATGCAGGGATGGCACTTTGAGGAACATGCTTCTGTTGTTCTTATTGGTTTATTCCTTTGTTTCTTTTGACTAAATGGTGAGATCCTTGATGATAGCTATAATGTTAACTTCTTAAAATTCAATTTTCCAAAACTCACCAAAAATTAACTCACCAAATTATTGCAGTATGTTTGGTTTGCCCCTGGTCTAGCATTTGCCCTGGAGAAAACATGTCTGTGGTAAACTCTCCTAGACTCCATTTAAAGTAATTGTCAAAAGATCTCTGTGGCTAATCCGGAGATGAAGGTATAGGGAGGGCAGTTATACACCATGATATGATTTGGCTGTGTCCCCACCCAAATCTCATCTTGAATTGTAGCTCCCATAATCCCCAGGTGTCATGGGAGGGACCTGGTGGGAGGTAATTGAATTGTGGGGGCGGGTTTTGCCCATACTGTTTTTGTAATAGTGAATAAGTCTCACTAGATATGATGGTTTTATAAACGGGAGTTCCTCTGCACATGCGCTCTTGCCTGCTGCCATGTAAGATGTGTCTTGCTTCTCCTTCACCTTCTGCTATGATTGTGAGGCCTCCCCAGCCACATGGAACTGTGAGTCCATTAAACCTCTTTTTCTTTATAAATTACCCTGTCTGAGGTATGTCTTTATTAGCAGCATGGGAACTGACTAATACACACTACTAGACAGAGGTTAAAATAACATACACACAGACACACAATAAAGGGAAAGCACATTCAATCATCTAAATGATCAAGGACAAAAGTAAAATAAAAAAAAATTAATGTGGTGAAAGAGCCTTTCATTGATTTAGTCTCTTAGTGAACTAGTATAAGAAGACTTTGTAGTTGTCCCTGAGTTGCCATTTAACAAACTGGCTTTGATCTCTTCTTGGCAAGACTTGTGTCTTGTTTGTATATCCTCATGATGTACATCAAACAATAAGTAAAATTTTTAAGTACTTAATTTTTTGGTATAATTGTTGAATAAATAAATTGAGAGAGTTCAGTTAGCCATGATGTTTTTAAACCTAATGACTGATGAATAATTATTCAAATATCAAATTGGAAGGAAATCTGCAGTTTTTCCTATGAAGAAGAGCCTAAAAGTGGTCATTATAATAGATTTAATGTCATAACCCAAATTAAAAAAGTGTCTCTTGAGAGTATCTTCTGTTCTTTGAGACTGTGATTTCATAAATTCTGTTTTTCCTTCTGGCAACAACTTCTTAGCTGTTTTGAAGAGTAAAGATTCTTACAAAACTTACAGAATAGAATTGATGAGAAAAGTAAAAATCAAGTCCACATCACCCTGCCTCCTGAAACTACAGGAATGTGGGTCTTTCTGCTGAGCTGGAAAACTTTTGTTTTAGTGGAAGATATGTCAGGGAAATGTTGATAATTGAAATTTGTTTCAAGGAACTTTAAATAACATACAGTTGAAAATACGGGAGATAGAACTGCTATCTCTCTATGTGTCACAAATCTGGAATTTCCTCTAGTCCTTCCTATAATAGTTTAGAAGGAAATTATTACATGGTCTAGAAATCATTCAAAAATGAACATCCTTCTCAAATTCATCTTACATCATATAATCTCATAATTGGAAGGAAGTTGAAAAGTTATATAGTTAAAATATACATTCAAATTAGAATTTCCTTTTATATGATGACTGCCTATTTTTCCCTTGGCAGGGAAGCACATTACTGCACAAAGAACACAAAAGATTTAGTTGCAATAAAATTCCTTTTTGTGTTGGACTAAAATCTAACTTTACTGATATTATCAAATGTTGATGTATGTTTATTCACTTATTTAATTTACTTATTACTATGTACAATCATAATCATTTTTGAGTTGGGGCTAGTCATCAGGAATACAAAGTTGGGAAGTTGTGGTTTGCTCTCAAAGGTCATATGGCTTAGTGGGAAAAGAAACATGGAAACAAACAACAACCAAGAAAGATTGCTTTTAGTGATGGTACTTACAAAGTGCAATGAGCATTTAGGAGAAAGAGTTCTTAACTTATCCCTGGGGGTCAGAGAAGACATCCTGAAGTAGAGAATATTTTAATTGATATTTAAAGGATGAGTTGCGTTATAGGTAGGGAAATAGCATGTAGCAAGGCCAGGATATTAGGAAAGATCACTCTGTGTTCTGTGGCACAGACTGTGTGTGTGTTGTGTGCACATGTGCTGGGGGTGGGGGAAAGGGGAAGTTAAAGTGAAGTGTTGCAGGAGTGGCAGGGCACAAGGCTGAGCACAAAAGTAGGGGCACGATATTCAGATGAGTTTATTTCTTACTCTGCAGGATGCATGGGAAAATGTGAAGCAGAGACAATTAGTAGCATAATCATATTTTCGCATGAGAAAGATAGTCTTGAAAACACTCTATAGGATACATTATAGATGAGATGGGGCCAGATAGCTAAGTGAGGAGCTCGCTGCAATTGCTCAGACCAGACTAGATAAAAGAGATTAGAGAAGTCAGGAAGGAATAGATTTGAGATAAATTTAGAAGGAATAATTGACAAGATTTGGTGACTGATGGTGTTTGAAAGAAAAGGGAGATGCAACAATGTTTTACATAAACTCAAATTCTGTGACTTTGACATTTACACCTCATGGACAAGCAGCATTGACATGATCTGGAAACCTGTTAAAATGTAGAATCCCGGGCCTCACTCCAGAAGTACCAAATCAGAATTTGCACTTTAAGTGGATTCTTAGGTGATCGCTTTGCACATTAAAGTTTGAGAAGCACTGACTCAGACAGAAGGGTGAACAGAAGCACCATGCATGAAGGCAAAAAACCCAGGAGGAAAACATAGTGGATTCTTTCAGGGGTGGGTTGTTCAGAATGGAAGAGGAGGAGGAGGATAACTTTGGTTTAGGCATATTGAAGAGTTTGATCTGTCTGTGGAAGATCCAGTTGAAAGAGCCATTGTGTATAAGAGTCTAGATCTCAGGAGAAAATACTATTTCAGCAATGACCAGAGCATTGGAAATAGTGGATACATGGGACTAGAGGAGATTGCCCAAGAATATAAGTGGATAATGACCAATTATATTTTGATGTGGACTTTGGATCCCTAGTCATTAGAAAGGGAGAATATTTTCAAGCCAGTTTCTTCAATTTGAATCATTTGAGAACCAATCTCTGTCCCCAAAGATGGCCCCAAACAATCTTTCCCTCCTTATGTGTGTGTGTGCTGCTCTTCACATCAAGAGGTGGTACTTATTTACCTTCTCCTTGAATCTTGACTATGCTTGAAACTGGCCATGCCAAAGAGAAGGTATTTAGAGTGGTAACCAAGGAAGTCCAAGCCCAGGACTTAAGAGGTCTAGCATATTCTACTTCCTTTCTTGTGGTAGCTCAAACAACATGGGGAAGCCATGTGAAAGAAAATGAGGTGCTGCCTTCAACATCTCCAGCTGAGCTCCCAGCTCACAGCCAGCAGCAGTACCAGACATGAGTGACCCATCTTGGATGTTGCAGCCCAGTCAAGACCCAGATAACTACAGCTCAAGCCGACATCTTGTGATTAGAGCTGTCTAGCTGAACTGAGTTCAGTCAACCCACAGAATAATGAGATATGATAAAATGGTTGTAGTTTTAGGCAATTAAGTATTGGAGCTGGTTTGTTATTTAGCAGTAATCTAATATTTGGGTAGTTGATTGGACACAGGATGTATTTTTAATAAAAAATATGCTTATATACATGTCCATAAATGATAGATTAAGAAAAATAATAATTTAATTGGCAATAATTATTTCTTATATTTAAATACCCAGGCACCAATTTTGAGGAATCTCTTTATACTGTTAGTTCCTTCACCCCCAGTTATCTCTTCTTCTGTCCCCACGTCTGCATTCCTGTTGTCATTACTTTAGTTCAGTCTCTCATTATCTATTACCTGGAATAATGTAAGGTTCTTTATACCTTCAGTTGTGCTTCCTGGGTTAGCCATACCCTCTTAATGCCATCAGAATAATCTTTCTAAAAATGTATTTGAACAAAGATTTTAATGTTGCATCATTAACTGTAGCATAAATTAATTAATTCAGTCATTCAGTTATGCTTGTTATCAAGGCATGGAGGTTGCTTATGATTTTAGTTGAGTCTTATTCCAGTTCCACCTCCCTTCAATAACTTTCTATTCCTCATACAGTGATGTTTTTTGGCTCTATCTATACTGGTTTATATTCTATTCCCCACATCTTTGACATGTACTTGTACCTCTCCAGGCATTTTTCTAGGCCTTACTGCCTTTCTCCCTTCCCACTTTATTCTTCTAAGGTAATTGTCCTCATCCTTCAAGGTTCAGGTCAAATACTACCTCCTTGGCTAAGATTTCTCTATGCTACTACTCAGAAAAAAATGGCCTACTCCTCTTGAACCTCCTGTGTTTTTTAGCCATTTTAACCAGTTGGAAGTATCTTACTAAGCACACACTGTGTTAAATACTTCACATACAGTGTGTCTTTAAATCCACAGAACAAACAAATTTTTTTTTTTTTGCTTTTTTTTTTTCTTTTTCTTTTTTTTTTATTATACTTTAAGTTTTAGGGTACATGTGCACATTGTGCAGGTTAGTTACATATGTATACATGTGCCATGCTGGTGCGCTGCATCCACTAACTCATCATCTAGCATTAGGTATATCTCACAATGCTATCCCTCCCCCTTCCCCCCACCCCACAACACTCCCCAGAGTGTGATATTCCCCTTCCTGTGTCCATGTGATCTCATTGTTCAATTCCCACCTATGAGTGAGAATATGCGGTGTTTGGTTTTTTGTTCTGGCGATAGTTTACTGAGAATGATGATTTCCAATTTCATCCATGTCCCTACAAAGGAGGTGAACTCATCATTTTTTATGGCTGCATAGTATTCCATGGTGTATATGTGCCACATTTTCTTAATCCAGTCTATCATTGTTGGACATTTGGGTTGGTTCCAAGTCTTTGCTATTGTGAATAATGCCGCAATAAACATACGTGTGCATGTGTCTTTATAGCAGCATGATTTATAGTCCTTTGGGTATATACCCAGTAATGGGATGGCTGGGTCAAATGGTATTTCTAGTTCTAGATCCCCGAGGAATCGCCACACTGACTTCCACAATGGTTGAACTAGTTTACAGTCCCACGAACAGTGTAAAAGTGTTCCTATTTCTCCACATCCTCTCCAGCACCTGTTGTTTCCTGACTTTTTAATGATTGCCATTCTAACTGGTGTGAGATGGTATCTCATAGTGGTTTGAAAACTGGCACAAGACAGGGATGCCCTCTCTCACCACTCCTATTCAACATAGTGTTGGAAGTTCTGGCCAGGGCAATTAGGCAGGAGAAGGAAATGAAGGGTATTCAATTAGGAAAAGAGGAAGTCAAATTGTCCCTGTTTGCAGACGACATGATTGTATATCTAGAAAACCCCATTGTCTCAGCCCAAAATCTCCTTAAGCTGATAAGCAACTTTAGCAAAGTCTCAGGATACAAAATCAATGTACAAAAAATCACAAGCATTCTTATACACCAACAACAGACAAACAGAGAGCCAAATCATGAGTGAACTCCCATTCACAATTGCTTCAAAGAGAATAAAATACCTAGGAATCAAACTTACAAGGGATGTGAAGGACCTCTTCAAGGAGAACTACAAACCACTGCTCAAGGAAATAAAAGAGGATACAAACAAATGGAAGAACATTCCATGCTCATGGGTAGGAAGAATCAATATCATGAAAATGGCCATACTGCCCAAGGTAATTTACAGATTCAATGCCATCCCCATCAAGCTACCAATGACTTTCTTCACAGAACTGGAAAAAACTACTTTAAAGTTCATATGGAACCAAAAAAGAGCCCGCATCGCCAAGTCAATCCTAAGCCAAAAGAACAAAGCTGGAGGCATCATGTTACCTGACTTCAAACTATACTACAAGGCTACAGTAACCAAAACAGCATGGTACTGGTACCAAAACAGAGATATAGATCAATGGAACAGAACAGAGCCCTCAGAAATAACGCCGCATACCTACAACTATCTGATCTTTGACAAACCTGAGAAAAGCAAGCAATGGGGAAAGGATTCCCCATATTTAATAAATGGTGCTGGGAAAACTGGCTAGCCATATGTCGAAAGCTGAAACTGGATCCCTTCCTTACACCTTATACAAAAATCAATTCAAGATGGATTAAAGATTTAAACATTAGACCTAAAACCATAAAAACCCTGGAAGAAAACCTAGGCATTACCATTCAGGACATAGGCATGGGCAAGGACTTCATGTCCAAAACACCAAAAGCAATGGCAACAAAAGACAAAATTGACAAATGGGATCTAATTAAACTAAAGAGCTTCTGCGCAGCAAAAGAAACTACCATCAGAGTGAACAGGCAACCTACAAAATGGGAGAGAATTTTCGCAACCTACTCATCTGACAAAGGGCTAATATCCAGAATCTACAATGAACTCAAACAAATTTACAAGAAAAAAACAAACAACCCCATCAAAAAGTGGGCGAAGGACATGAACAGACACTTCTCAAAAGAAGACATTTATGCAGCCAAAAAACACATGAAAAAATGCTCATCAGAACAAACAAATTTTTAAAAAGCGTAGAATTACTATTTCCATTTCATAGATAAGAAAACTGAGATCCGGGGGATTGTATAACTTGCCCAAGGTCATGAAGTTATTAAGGTTCAGGGCCAGAATTCTAGACCAGGCTTATCTAACTCAAACAGCTGAAATCTTAAACACCAAATTATGTTGTCTTTTTCTATGAAGTATATTTTATTCTTATTTGTACTATTATCAATTATGAAAGATTCATCTCACTTTAGACTTTAAGTTTCTTGAGAAAGGGAGGTCTTACTATCCCTGCAATTAACAGGATGCTCACTACTTCTTTGATAAGTGATTTGCTAAATTGATTTAGTTTAATTCAGGTTAGTGGGGTATACCATTTTAAATAACTTGCTATATGCCCTGAATGTTTCGATGTGCCAGGGAGTAGAGAGGAAAAAAATATACTCTAATGTTCCCTACCTTAAATCTTATAAGAAAACTGGAAAGGAAAGACAAATATTACTACCACCCCACCATTATAGACAGAGTTTTAAACAATTGTGCTCTAACAAAGATCTTTTTACAGTTAATCACTCTCTGTGCAAGCATTTCTCTCACACATTTTCCCTTCCTTCCATGTTAATGAGGTCCAAGTTTCCTTACGTTGATAAGCATTGTGACAACTGGTGTTACCCAAGAAAGAAGGGGACAAAAGTACTTACCTCATGGTAAAGTCTAATAAGAGATAATTTATTCACCTGACACTTGGTGCATTAGCATGCAAGATGAACTCATTTTATTGACAATCAGCATACTGCTACTCCTAGAGGGGAAAAAACCCAACAATCTCCTTCCGTTTCACACTCCCCTCTTTCCATCTTTCATCCTCATGCACTCTCTTCCTGCAACCCAGTGGAAGTGCTAACAATGATGGTTTTGCTAACATGAAGATTACATTGTTAACTACCAATGGAAAAAGTACATTTTTTAAGTTTACAGAGGAGCCAGAAGAGCTACAGCTTCTACCAACTCCCCAGATTCTACCCACCACCATGAAAAGATGATAGAAGTTACAGTTAAGTAAAATGTCCACCAGAAACATTTTGATATTATTTCAGTGTGATTTCTCATGAACTCACAGAGGATCCAAGGGCTCCCTATTTATAATCCTAGCCTTGGAAGACTAAAATAATATTTCCTTGTATGACATGAGAGGCCCTTCTCCATTGCCAGTCCATGCCTGAGTGCTTTCTGGCCATGTCCTATCTCTCATTTCATGCTTTAGCAATTTCTGAGATCTTTTGTAGTTCATAGAACAATAAGGCCTCTCTTGCCTTAATGCCTTTGCATATACTGAACTCTCTGGGGTTTGCCCGGAAGGCACACTTATTACCAACCTTCAAGATCTGGCTTAATAACTAAGTTCTCTGAGAATTCTTTCCCACATTTAAAGCCAACTTAAAATTTTCTTTTTGTATATTCTTATCAAATCTTATAGAAATGACCATCAAACTGCACTGTAATTGCTACTCTATGTCCCCACTTAAGAGAACTCTTTAAGAGCAAGAAATTTATTTATATAGTTTTTCTATACATATGATGTATTATGCAAAAAATTCACTGCACTTTCTGTTCAATAAATGGCTGAAAAGTGGCTCTCTAATTCAATAGCTTTGTTGGTTCTCATTTTCAGATTGCCTGGGTTGATACCCTGGCTCTACCACTTAACAAGCTGTGTGATGTTGGGCAGCCACATGTCCTTGCAGTTTCTGTGACTATGTCTCCAACCCACTCTACATCTTTGCATCTCTACTGAAAACACAAACTCTTGAGAGAGAGCACCGAATTGACTGCACTTCGGTCACCTGTCTTCTTCTGGCCAATCTGGGCAAGGAAAGGGAGATCTGGAATGAGAGGCAGCCATTTCCTCCAGGACCACACAACTTGGGGAGTTCCCCAAAAGAAAGATAAGGGTGCAAGTAGGGATGGTCACCAGGGACTGGGGAAAGAGGAAATGGGGAGTTATTGTTTCATGGCTATAGAATTTTGGTTTTGCAAGAAGAAAAGAGTTCTGGAGATGGATAGTGGTTACAGTTGCACAACAATGTGAATGTACTTAATGCCACTATACTGTACACTTAAAAATGGTTTAGATGGTAAATTTTATGTTATGTGTATTGCACTAAAGTTTTGAAAATAATTAAAAGATAATCAAGTTAAAAAACAATTCAAATAGGAAAGAGGGTATTGACAGTCAAAAAATGGTAGGTGTTCACAACAGAGCCCCCAGTAAGAAGTGCTTAGAAATTACCTAGAGCATTGCTGGCCTCAGGGATACTTTGCTGCTGTGTGGCCTTGGGCAAGATTAGATTGCTCCCGGTCAATCATTGCTCTGCTT